>NC_000002.12:229610830-229913860 GCF_000001405.40 Homo sapiens | reverse complement strand
TACATAATTAGTTGTTTACATTTTAACTTAACTGGGTTTTTGGCCTCTTCAAGGTAGAGATCTCATTCTTTTATCTTCACAGTGTCTAGCACAAGGCTTCCAACATAATGCATTGTACATGGTAGGTGTACGTGGTAGTGTGTTCTGGTGTGACACATTGAGAAACGATGTTGTGAAATAATATTAGCATCGTTTGCCATAATTTACTTGCTTGTTTTCATTTTTCAGGGGTTGGCAGCTGAGTGTAGAATATAAATTTTTCAAAATTAGGCTCATTAAAATCAGCTACTTAAGGAATTGTTAAGACCCTAGAATATTTTAGTTAGTTGGTTACCCCAAATTTAGCATTTGGAGATGATGTTTATTAGTAGATGATGATTTATTTATCAATACATATTTATCAAGTGCTTACTGTGTGCCACAATTGTGCTTGACAGAATATAAAAGGGACCTGAAACTTATTCCTTGTCTTCCAAGTTCTGTTATGTTTCATATAGTTGATATTTATCTTATTCCATCACAGCTTATTTGTCTAAAACTGTATATAGGAGTATAGTATTTAGCATAGAGAAATATTCTGTAAAATTCTAAATGTAGATTTTCTGCATTTAGAAAATCTGATATTAGAATGTAAATTAAGAAACATGAATTAGGGCATGATTTGTGGCTATACTAAATAAATTGTTGAAGCATCTTCATTTACAAATATTCAGCCAGGTGCTGTGGCTCATGCCTGTAATTCCAACCCCTAGGGAGGCTGAGGCAGGAGGATGATTTGAGCCCAGGAGTTCAGGACCAACCTAGGCAACACAGCAAGACATCATCTCTACTAAAAATAAAAAATTAGCCTGATGTGGTGGTGCATGCCTGTAGCCCCAGCTACTTGGGAGGATTGCTTGAACCCAGGAAGTTGAGGCTGCAGTGCGTCATGCCACTGCACTCCAGTCTAGGCCACAGAGTGAGACTCTGTCTCAAAAAACAAAAACAAATACTCATCAGCAGCTAATGTGAGTGCATATCTGGTTCCATACAAGATCTGCCCTCTTAGAGGGTGCTGAAAAAGAAGAGATTTATAAAAGGAGATTCCTTATCTTGAAATGTACTTTGTTGTAGATGAGTTGAAACTTACGACTACAGCACACAACATCTAACATTGTGCATATTTGTTATTAAGTACAAGATCGAGTTTTATACAGTGGGTACTTGGAAGTTTAGAGAGGTTCAGTTCTGGGTTGAAGTTACTTAGGAAGACTATGAAGAGAGAGGGGCTTAAACTGGCCCTGATTGTTTGGAGGAAGATATAGAAGAATGGGGAGCTTAAAGGTGTAATTGTGGTGAGGATCTAATATTAAGGTAAATGGGCTCTCTGGAGTAGAGGGTCCATATATATGAAATAACAGGAAATTGGGCTGAGATTATTGAAGTTCTTAAATGGGAGATCACGGAATTAGATTTAACAGATTATGTTGAATGATTGTTGATCCCTGAATAGGTGATGTGAAAAAGGTGTACAAAAATATTTATGAATGAACTGAAAACAAAAATAAAAGTGCTTTTAGATGTCATTTTTTATGACAGTGCTTCCCTTTCTGATACTACATATAAAAGTTTTTGTATTAAGTTTTGGAGGAGATAGAAGTAGTGAAGGTAAAACTTCTTGTTTTTTCCTGTTGTTTAAAATGTTAAATAAGCAGAAGCTGGTTTATTGTCTAAATGACCCACACCAGTCCTCTGTTGGACACAGAAGTCTTCCTTTAGTGGAAGCTATCAGTCATTTTGTCTCAGCACATTCAACTGTTGTTTGTTCAGATTTTTTGTAATTCAAAATACTTTTTGATACCTAATGCATGATTTTTTGTGAGTTGTCCTCAGTAATTTGTAAGTCTTATATAGGGAAACTTTTGCTTAGCGTTCAATACAGTGAAATTATGTTTAAAACAAAAGTGAATTGTGGCTTAAATATTTAAATACTTCTGGTTTTTTTTTTCTAGCCATTACTGACTCTGGGATAAATATGTAAATACTTTTAAAAAGTACAAATTAATATTACATAGTTTAATCAAATTAAATATTCTAATAAAATATTCGCTTTGCACTCTGCATAGTAGAGTTGTTACCCCTTTAATTGTTTTTAAAATTTTATTTTGACACATAATATGTATGTATTTATGGGGCACTTAGTAATGTGTCAATACATACAATGTATAGTAGTCAGACCAGGGTAATTAGCATACCATCATCACAGACACTTATTATTTCTTTGTGTTGGGACATTCAATATCTTCCCTCTAGCTATTTGAAACTGTATATTAAACTATAGTCACCCTGCAGTGGAATAGAACAGGAGAACATACTCTTCCTATCTAGCACAGTTTTATATCCTTTAACAGATACCATTACTTTTATACAAGTATGTATACAGGATTTTAAAAATGAGAAGTTAGGTTGTATGGTGGCTGAAGAGAAACTAAAAACAATTTTTTTCAGTGTTCTGATAGCTATGATATTTAGCTTTCTTTAGCAGCTTTTATTTCTGGTGTGTTCTTACAGACTTTCCTAATTGCAGTTTGGATTAATTTGATTCTTATGTAGAAAGCAGAGATGCTAGCTATGCAGATTTATGACTCAGAATTGTACCTGTTTGTAGAGTAAGGAAGGCTGTATTGTCCAACATTTTGTGGACTTTAGAATAAAAATATTCGTGAAGTCTATCTGTTTTACTGCTGTAGCACAAGAGTGCCTGTTTTTCTGTAAAACAGCCACCCAGCTTCATATATTTTTTCCTTTATATGAAGCATGTATTTTCATTTCTTCCCACCTAGGGAAAGCAGCTTAGTCTCAAGGGAATTTGACCCTGCTCTCTACCCTTCCACCCCAGGTCCAAATGCATTTGTGCCCTTCCCCCAGTAGATGGCAACAAGTAGGCTGATGTTTAAGAAGATTCAGTAGTCTTAACTTTGTGATCAGACCTATTTACTAATTATTTCTCAACTGTCATTAGTAATGTTAGTGTTGATTTTCACATTCTGGCCTCAAAATCCTTTCAGAAAACTAGACTGTTAATTGCAGAGTTCATCTTTTTTACTCTACTCTTCATCCTGCCTTTTGAAAAGTGTTGCCTTTCCAGTTGCTGCTATGAACTAAGACTTGGGGTATTTCAGCCTTTGGTGTGGTGCTGTAAGATAATCTCCTTCTGCCTCTTCTAACCATCTAGTATTACTTTTCAGCTGCCTGTATATTAGGCCATGACATTTTTTCCAGGTATCTTGTCATTACAGAAAGTAAGGACTACTGAAAGGAATTACTGAAGAGCTAATACACCATCATTTTATATCTTCATTGTGGTACATGTTTTAATTGATACTCAGTTTATTTCTTGAATCATTTAAGGAATTGGTAAACTTATGTTTGCTGGAATACCAGAGTTTCTTTCTCTTCTATAAAATGGGTCTACTACCTAACTCATGTGTTTACTGATATTCAGCCATAGTGTTACGGTTTTGTTTCTTATTACTAAAAAAGAAAATGAAGGTGATTCATAATTACAGAGTTAACTTCTGAGAGTTTACTGTATCTCAAGAAACTTAGAACTTTTTCATGATTCCTGCTGAGTTTATTTAAATTTTTAATGCAATAGTAAAGGATTTGGGAAGTTTTCCATATTTCTTCAGACAGTTGTAAAGTTAGGAATGGCTTAATCTATCTATAGTTATTTTAAGGAGTGTAAAATCAAGGACTTAGTAAAACAACAGTTCTAAAAAAATTCTGGAATTGTTTCTATTTTAAGGGCTAGTATTAGAATCATGGCTCAAGGAAAGGAGTTATCTTGGTTTCAGCAACTGCTGCATTTAGCTCTTAAAGGTGTTGCTTGAATTGCATGTAGCAATACTCTCAAACCTAGAAAAGCAATCATTTAAGGCATGTCAGTGCAGTTACTCTAGCAGTGGATATGGAATTAATACATGTGAATTATAAGCAAATGGTATATATATATTTTTTGTTTTTAGAGTTGGGTGTCTCACTCTGTCTCCCAGGCTGGAGCATAGTGGTACAATCATGTCTCACCATAGCCTTGAAAGCCCTTGGATCTTGTGATCCTCCTGCCTTCACCTCCTGAGTAGCTGAGACTACAGGCTCACACCACCATACCTGGCTACTTTGTTTTTTTTTTTTGGTAAAGACAGAATCTTGGTTGCCCAGGCTGGTCCTGAACTCCTGGCCTCATGCAGTCCTCCTGCCTCAGCCTTCTAAAATGCTGGAATTATAGGCATGAGCCACTGTACCAGGCTTTTTTTTTTTTTTTAGACAAGGTCTCAACGCTGTCACCTAGGCTGGAGTCCAGTGGCACAGTCACTGCTCACTGCAGCCTTAACCTCCTGGGCTCAAGCGATCTTCTCACCCTAACCTCTTGACTAGCTGGGACTACAGGTGTTCACAACCACATCCAGCTAATATTTTAATTTTTTTTTTTTGTGTGTGTGGAGCCAGGGTGTCCCTATGTTGCCCAGGCTGGTCTCAAACTCGTAGGCTCAAGTGATCCTTCCACTGTGGCCTCCCAAAATGCTGAGATTACAGGCATGAGTCACCACTCCTGGCCCTTATCAGGGTATAATAAGTATTTTTGAACACTTCTTATTTCAGGCCCTAGGCCAAGATTTAGGATTATAAAGATATATAAAATGTAGTCCTTGGCCTGGAGTTTACAGTCTTAAAGGGAGAGTGGTAAACTTGGACAAAACTAACATAAAATCTCTTTTTTTTTTTTTTTTTTGAGACAGAGTCTCACTCTGTCACCCAGGCTGGAGTGCAGTGGCGTGATCTCAGCTCAGTGCAACCTCTGCCTCCCAGGTTCAGGTGATTCTCCTGCCTCAGCCTCCTCAGTAGCTGGGACCACAGGTATGTGCCACTGTGACTGGCTAATTTTTTTTATTTTTTGTAGAGGGGTCTCGCTATATTGCCCAGGTTGGTCTTGAACTCCTGGCCTCAAGTGATCTGCCCGCCTCGGCCTCCCAGAATGCTGGGATTACAGGCATGAGCCATCATGTCTGGCCGCATAGCCTCCCAAAGTGCTGGGATTATAGGCGCGTAAGCCACCATGTCCAGCAGCATAAAATCTTTTTTTTTTTTTGAGACGGAGTCTCCCTCTGTCACCCAGGCTGGAGTGTAGTGGCGCAATCTCGGCTCACTGGAAGCTCTGCCTCCCGGGTTCATGCCATTCTCCTGCCTCAGCCTCTCCGAGTAGCTGGGACTACAGGCGCCCGCCACCACGCCCGGCTAATTTTTTGTATTTTTAATAGAGACGGGGTTTCACCATGGTCTTGATCTCCTGATCTTGTGATCCGCCTGCCTCGGCCTCCCAAAGTGCTGGGATTACAAGTGTGAGCCACCGCGCCCGGCCTAAAATCTCTTAAACTGAATTGTGAGACGTTACGCGGATGCTTCATAAGATGACCAACTGTTTGGAATAAAGAATATGGTAAAAATACTACCAAGATATTTCTCAGAATAGTTGCATTATTTGCATCTGTATATATTTGCCCACCTTGAATTCAGATTTAAATTCCTGGTTCCCTTTTTGATGTATCACTTTAAAAGGTATATAATATAGTCTAATGATCTAGGTCAGTCCACTGGTGTGGAAAATGAATGGGATAAGAATATTAAGAAAAGGCATCTTGAATAATATTAGCAACTAACCTGTGTTGAATCCTTCCCTTGGCTCAGGGCTGGGCCTGTGGTACTTTATATAGCTTAGCACAGTCTGCTGGTGGAGGATAATGTGATAATGTATGAATAATGATAAGTTTAGTGAAGTGGGTAAGAGCGAACACTGAGATTCAGTTTAAATCTAGGCTCCAACATTACTAGTTGAATAACCTTTTTTTTTTTTTGACACTAGTTCTCCCATCTGTAAAATGGAAGTAAAAATAGTATATATATCCTGATTGTTATGAGGATTAAATTAGTTAATATATGTAAAACATTTAAAACAATGCCTGGTATAGGATAAGTGCTTGCATTTGTAAACTATTATTATTATTAATTTGTTATTTTTTTCTAGAGATAAGGTCTCTCTGTTGTTTAGACTGGAGTGCAATTGTGTGATCATATCTCACTGCAGCTTCGAACTTGTGGGCTCAAGTGGTCCTCTCGCCTTAGCTGTGGAGTAGCTAAGACTGCAGACATGTGCCACCATGCCTGGTTAATTTTTTATTTATTGTAGAGATGAAATCTTGCCACGTTGCCCAGGCTGGTCTTGAACTCTTGGCCTCAAGCAATCTTCTTGCCTCAGCTTCCTCAGCATTGTAAGAATACTATTTTTAGTAACCATGCCTTTTGAGAGACAGTGTTTTTATTTTCCTTTCCTTTGCATCTGAAAAGACAGTTTTGAGAAGATGGATTTTTCTGATACTATCTTGGAATTATTTGAGTGGTAGAATTTTAGAGTTGAAATGAGATCATTGCGAGTGTTATGGACTCTGCAGCAAGATGAACTTGGGTTCTAGTTTTTCCTTGTTTGACCTTGAGCATGTTACTGTGTAAAATATAGAAAATACATACTTTTCAGGATTCTTTTCAGTTTTTAATGAGTAAATGAAGTTCTTACCTAGCACAGTGCCTGGTTCCCAGTTGAGTGATCAAATAGTATTTGTTTTATTGTAAATGTTAATAGTTCTCCTAAATGGTGCCTTATTTTCACAGTTGGTGGCAATGTATAAAGTTACAGTCAACAGTGTGTATTTATTTTTAAGATGTTATAATTTAGGTTTTGAGTAAATTTAATGGACAATTAAAATGGAATCTAAAAATTGAAAGGAAAAATAACCCTGACCCAGATTACACACTTAGAAAAGTTTTGTGGGGGGCTGTTTCTAAATTTGATTTAGGTTCAGGTGTTTTATCACTGCTAATTATAGTCTCTTTGACTACTTACAGTTTCAAATAAATAAGGTCAGTGTTAGCAGTGTGATATGGCATACATTTTTTGATGTCTTTATTTTGATATAGTCTCAGATTTATAAAAATCTTGCAAAAATAGTGTAAGGAACATCCCATATTCCTCTTTACCTAGTTTCAAGGTCTTTTTTTAATCGCTAGAGGATAAATTTCTTATTTTTTTTTCTTTTTTTTTTTTTGTTTTGAGGTGGAGTCTTACCGTGTTGCCCAGGTTGGAGTGCAGTGGTGTGATCTTAGCTCACTGCAACCTCTGCCTCCCAGGTTCAAGCAATTCTTCTGCCTCAGCCTCCCAAGTAGCTGGGACTACAGGTGCCCGCCACCATGCCCAGCTAATTTTTGTAGTTTTAGTAGAGACAGGGTTTCACCATGTTGGCCAGGATGGTCTCGATCTCTTGACCTCATGATCCACCCGCCTCGGCCTCTTAAAGTGCTGGGATTACAGTTGTGAGCCACTGAGCCCGGCCTAATTTCTTTTTTTTTAATTAATGGAAGTCTTTTATTTATTTTTTTTTTTTCAGAAATAGATGTAAAACCTGATGAAGAAAGATTCATGCAGTAAACAGTAAACATGTTTCTTTTCTTTTCTTTTTTTTTTTTTTTGAGACAGTCTCATTCTGTCAGCCAGGTTGGAGTGCAGTGGCACCATCTCAAGCTCACTGCAACCTCCACCTCCCAGGCTCAAGCAGTTCTCCTGCCTCAGCCTCCAGAGTAGCTGGGATCACAGGCGTGTGCCACTATGCCCAGCTAATTTTTGTATTTTTAGTAGAGACAGGGTTTCACCATGTTGGCCAGGTTGGTTTCAAACTCCTGACCTCAGGTAATCTGCCCACCTCGGCCTCCCAAAGTGTTGGGATTACAGGCGTGAGCCACTGCGCCTGGCCATGAACATGTTTCTTTATGTGGTTCTTCAACAGTTACTATATAGGTGTTGATTTTTCAGAATGTTCTGAATGCACTGTAATGTTTTGTGCCTGAGTTGTGGCCATCATTAGTGAACATTGGTTTATTATACTTAGCCTTAAGGCCCTCATTGGCTATTGGATACTCCTAAATGGCCTGCTTTTTATAGAACTTAATTGCTTTGTGCAGTGCATGTGTTCTCTCCTTGCTCTGATTGGTGGGCGTCTTGGTGTTTAGGCACTGTGAGCTACACCCTCCTCCCCCAGCTTTTAATATGCATTGAGTTGCAAAACTACTTTCTAGACTTGTGTACCTTAAGTTCAGGGTAAAGGCTTGCATTATGTGGCTTTAAGACAGTGATAATTTTGGTAGCTCAAAGGTATTTTTAAAAGTATATTCGTTATTCTCAGCACTTTGTTACCTGAAGGGATCAATAATGCTTTTGTTATTTTTGAAGATGGTTTAAACCTTTTGTGTCTGAAAACTGTTTTAAGAGACTGCAGAGAAGACAGTATAATAACTGAGGGCCTTATTCTACAAGTGAGGGTCTGTGGTGTGCTGGGTATTCATTATTGTGTATAACGTTTTGCCCTTGACTCTTTCAAAATATATCTTCTCTCTTCCTAAATGACTTTGTCTTTTTGCCTGCTATAACTTAGTAATGACTCCTATTATCTGCACTTGCCCACTTGAAGAGTCTTTTTAAATACACTTTTTTTTTTTTTTTTTGAGACGGAGTTTTGCTCTTGTTGCCCAGGCTGGAGTGCAATGGCGCGATCTCGGCTCACCGCAACGTCTGCCTCCCAGGTTCAGGCGATTCTCCTGCCTCACCCTCCCTAGCAGCTGGGATTATAGGCATGTGCCACCACGCTCAGCTAATTTTGTATTTTTAGTAGAGACGGGGTTTCTCCATGTTGGTCAGGCAGGTCTCGAACTCCCCACCTCAGGTGATCCGCCTGCCTCAGCTTCCTGAAGTGCTGGGATTACAGGCATCAGCCAGCGCACCCGGCCTAAACACACTTTTTATTTTAGGTCAGTTTCAGATTCACAGAAAAGCTTCAGAGATAGAGTTCTCCTATACTCCACATCCAGTTTCTGTTTGTGAAAATTTTAACATTAGTATGGTACATTTGACACAACTAATGACCCAGTATTGATACATTATTACTACCTATACTTTATTTGAATTTTCTTAATTTTCACCTAATGTCTTTCTGTTCCAGGATCCTATCCAGGGTGTCACGTAACATGTAGCGAATGACTTTTTAAAACTTATGCTTTTTGAGGCATTTATTTCTGATTATAAAGTATAGAGCAATTGTTAAAATTTGAATAAAGAAAACTAAGAATCACCCCCAATTTTGCCACCTCATATAACCACTATAAACATTTTTGTATGTAGTCTTTCCTTCTAGCCTCTGTTTTAATAATAGCAGATCATATTGCTTTTCCTTATGCTATTATATGATGAGCATCTTCCTGTTGCATTATTAGTTCTTCATTAATGTGCTTTATATTTACTTAACCATAATTGTTAAAATCTTTCCCTTTTTGTCAGATTAAAATTTTTTTTTTTTTTTTTTTTTTGGAGATGGAGTCTCACTCTTTCCCAGGCTGGAGTGCAGTGGCATAATCTTGGGTCAGTGCAGCCTGTACCTCCTGGGTTCAAGCGATTCTCCTGCCTCAGCCTTTCAAGTAGCTGGGACTACAGGCTCACGCCACCATAGCTGGCTAATTTTTGTAGTTTTAGTAGAGACAGGGTTTCACTATGTTGACTGGGTTGGTTTCAAACTTCTGACCTCAGGTGATCCATCCTCCTTGGCCACCCATGCTGGGATTACAGGTGTAATCCACCACACCTGGCCAGAAACTATTGTTAATAATCCTTTTTAAAAATGCTAGCTTTGTACTCATATCTGTGAAGCCATGCTTTTTTAAAAAGTTAATTTATTTTTATTTTTATTTTTTGATACAGGGTCTTGCTCAGTTGCCCAGGCGGGAGTGCAGTGGCTCCATCTTAGTTCACTGCAGCCTTCACTTCCTGGGCCCAAACTATCCTCCTGCCTCAGCCCTCCTGAGTAGATCAGACTATAGGCGTGCATCACGATGCCTGGCTAATTTTTTTTTTTTTTTTTTTGTATTTTTGGTAGAGACAACATGGGGTTTCACCATGTTGCCCAGGCTGGTCTTGAACTCCTGAGCTCAAGTGATCTGTCTGCTTTGGCATCCCAAAGTGCTGGGATTACAGGTAATGAGCCACCGCGCCTGGCCAAAACCATGTTTTTAAATGAAATTTTCCTCCCTTATCTTTTGTATTACCTTGGAGTATCTTGCATTAACTTGGGATACTTGTAATATCATTTGTATTAACCTTGTGCAGGATGTGGCTCTTTGCTTGTGGCAGCCCAATGGGAAGAGTAAGAAGACTCCTTGTTGTGGCTCACAGGCTCCTACATGGCCACCTCTCTGACATCATCTCCTGCTTTTCTTGCCTTCTACTTGCTCTTCTTGCTCCGTGGAACGTCATCTTCTAGATCTTAATGGCTGTTTCTTCATGCGTAAGGTTTTAGCTCAGATGGCCTTACTTGGTCATCCTATCCATAATAATTCCTTTTTCTGATAGGAACATTTTCACCTGCAAGTAAATAGAAAACTTGACCAACAAGGCCTTAAACAGATTGGGGTTTGTTTTTCCTTGCACGACATGGTTCGTTTGCACAGTGGTTCCAGCAAGGGCCAGGCTCTGTGTGTTTCTGCTCTGCCATTCTAAGCAGCAAGTGGTTCTCACGGTTACTGAATGGCTGTCAAGGCTTGAAGTCATTGTGTCCATTGCATTTGAGTCAGGAAGAAGAAAAGATACTGTTGTGTTCCTATTGTTGTTTATCTAGAAAGCAAAAGTATTCCTAGAGGATGCCTAGCCTGTCTCCCTGTATATCTTATTACTGACAACTGGATCATACTTCTGGCAAAAAAAAAAAAAAAAAAGAAAAAAAGAAAAAGAAAAAAAAACCCGCACACAGTAATGGTATTTTGTACACAGCCAGGTTTAGACCATTGGCTTTTAAATTCTTCTAATATGCAGTCTAATATGAATGACCTACTGTGTGTCAGCACTGTATGTGAAGGCATATCTGTGTAACTGAAGTAAGTTGCATGAGCTGTGCTTAATGATTATGCATGCTCTATTTTCTTTTCTCTGTTTCATTTGAAAGTTTTGGTTAGGACCTTTTAAGTCTGGATGCCCTGAACCTTTTTTGAAGCATAGATTCTTTAGCAGTCTGAAGCTCGTGGATACCTCAGAATAATATTGTTAAATTCACAAAATTAATACCCATAAGATTCAAAAAAACCAAAGATCTCAAAATGTTGGAAGTCTAGCTCTCAAACTGTGAAAGCTGGTATGTAATCAGTAATATGTTTATTAGCACTGTCAGTAACGATCTAGCAGCTTCTCAAAGTAGTTGAGTGTAAAGGATAGTTTGAGGTATCTGCAGCAATTGTAATGTGATATAATATCAGTGATTTCTTTTGGTACAAACTTAAAGGTACCGCCAATAATGCTGTGGTTTGTTGCCTATTCATATGAGAAAGAAATGTTAAAATTCTTTTTTTTTTGGTGGGGGGAGGACGAAGTCTCGCTGCATTGCCCAGACTGGAGTAGAGTGGCGCGATCTCGGCTCACTGCTACCTCCGCCTCCTGGGTTTAAGTGATTCTGCCTCAGCCTCCCGAGTAGCTGGGACTGTAGGCACGACCACTATGCCCAGCTAATTTTTGTATTTTTAGCAGAGGCGGGGTTTCACTATGTTGGCCAGGCTGGTCTTGAACTCCTGACTTCAAGTGATCCACCTGCCTTGGCCCCCTCAGAGTGCTAGAGTTACAGGCATGAGTCACCATGCCTGGCTTTAATTTCAATTAGAGGTTAGTGAAATTATTTCTTCCAAGTATAAGAATCCTCATTATGAACCAGTGGTCTAAATTGATTTCATGCCTCTAATCTTGAAGTTTGAAAGAAATAACTGGCTTTAGCCCAATCATGACTCATCCCTGAGGGCGAGGGAATAGCCTGCTTCCTGGGAGGTTAAAGGCGGTTGTAGCTGGATTCTTTTAGCAGGGAAGAAAGGTGGGGTAGTTGGAATTTGGGTAGGGAACCCTGTCTGCTACCATCTTCTGTCTGTAGTCTCTACTTCTTCTTATCTTCTTCTCTTCCCACTGCTTAGTTTTCCTCACAGAACTGTCTGGTAATTGCTATTTGTCTGCCGACCCTGGTAGAGTGTATATTCCTTGAGGGAAAAGACTGTCTTATTACCTTCCAGTTCCTAAAAAACTGTTCTGAAGTAGGGTAACAGTAAAAATAAAATTCGGTTCTCATTTTTTTTTTTTTTCAGACAGTCTCATTCTGTCACCCAGGCTGGAGTGCAGTGGTGCAATCTCGGCTCACTGCAACCTCCACCACCCAGGTTCAAGCAGTTCTCCTGCCTCAGCCTCCCAAGTTGCTGGATTTACAAGTGTGCGCCACCACACCTGGCTAATTTTTGTGTTTTTAGTAGAGGAGGGGGGTTTCACCATATTGGCCAGGCTGGTCTTGAGCTCCTGACCTCAGGTGATCCACCCACCTTAGCCTCCCAAAGTGCTGGGATTACAAGCGTAAGCCACCTCGCCTGGCCAAAGTGAGCCACTGCGCCTGGCCAAAGTTTTCCTTATTATGTAATACTTTTGAAGGTAGAAAGCATTTTGTGAACAAAATAGAATTTTTAAAAACAGCTTTATTGAGCCGGGTGTGGTGGCTCATGACTGTAATCCCAGCACTTTGGGAGGGTGAGGCAGGCGGATTACCTGAGGTCAGGAGTTCAAGACCAGCCTGGCCAACATAGTGAAACCCTGTCTCTACTAAAAATACAAAAATTAGCCAGGCGTTGTGGCACATGCCTGTAATCCCAGCTACTAGTGAGGATGAGGCAGGAGAGTTGCTTGAGCCCGGGAGACGGAGGTTGCAGTGAGCCAATATTGCGTCGCTGCACTCCAGCATGGCCGATAGAGCAAGACTCTGTCTCAAAAAAAAAAAAAAATAGCTTTATTGAGATATAATTCACATGCCATACAATTCACCTATTTACAGTAGGCAGTACTTTTTTTTTTTTTTAAAGACAGAGTCTCCCTCTGTTGCCCAGGCTGGAGTGCAGTGGCGCGGTCTCAGCTCACTGCAACCTCTGCCTCCCGGGTTCAAGCGATTCCCCTGCCGCAGCCTCCAGAGCAGCTGGGACTACAGGTATGTGTCACCACGCCCACCTAATTTTTGTATTTTTAGTAGAGACAGGGTTTCACCATGTTGGCCTGGGTGATCTCCAACTCCTGACCTCAAGTGATCCACCCGTGCTGGCCTCCCAATTGCTGGGATTACAGGCGTGAGCTACCGCACCTGGCCAAATTCTATTAACTTTTAGGTTAAATTTTAGAATTAATGTTGTAATGTGCTGTCTTCTTAGTTAAAAATCTTATCAACTGAAAAATATCTTAATCATCTGTAGTATGGGACTGCAAATGGAAACTGTTATTTGGATTTCTCTTTAGGAAGAAATACCCCATTGGCAATTTCAATTTACTATTTCTACTTAAATTATTTGAATTTAAACATCTCGTTAACTAGAAAATACGTTTGTTGGTTATGATAGTGTCACTTCAAGCAGGTTAGATAGGAAACAGTTATTGGAAGATGCCAAATTCATTTCAGAACCAAATTCAAGTATAGTGATGACTCTACTTTTTGCGAAACAATTTACCAGGTTTCTGTTTGTTTTTTAATTCCTAGGTTGTAGAAGTTCAACTAAAGCAAACATGAAATGTGTGATGGACTTTTAAGAGCTTCCTTTGTATAACAGTCTGTACATAGTGTGTTAAGTTCTCAAGAATCTCTCCTTAAAAACTTTGAAGTTATTTTGTGCAACTGTGTTTTGAATAAACCCATGTCAGTTAAAAACAAACCAAACAACAGAACTTCCATAGGCTTTCTTTTTGTATGTAACAACTTGTTTTAAAAGACCTATTAGCGCCTTCTATATATTTGGTATGCAGTTTGTTTGGAAGATTATAGGTGTGAATTGTGTATTTGGGTTGTTTTGTCATTTCAGTTGTTTGCATGTTTTCAGGCTTTCCTTTGAAACCTATCCACAGTTATATATTGCTCATTCATTCATGCCCCTAGACCTTTCTGAAGTTGTCTCTTGCTAGAACTCCCTTTTTGCCTCCCATTCTAGACCATTCCACTTCTCTCTTGGGGAAATACCTTATTTTCATGAGTTCTTATATACCAGCTCTTCCTGGAATGTGTATTGCCACCCCTAGGGCTCGGGTTGCTCTTCTCTAATAGTACTTAGAGTAGTAGTTTGTCGCCTTTTACTCCAGTTACTTGTTTCCATTTTGGTCTTCCGTTGGTCTGAGCTTCCCAGCATTCTTTTAAACCTTGCATGCATCCTACCAAAGATTCCAGTATCACCGCTGGCTATCTGCACACCTCACTTCAAGTTGTCTTTGAAAGAGGGCTTGGGCTAGCTCATGTCTTTCACAGCTGATAGCACAGGGTAGAATCTTGGTCTAGTTTATTCTAGCTCATTCTTGCTGGTTTTCCTGATTTTTTTTCCACCTGAGGAAAACCTTAACTGTTCTAACACTTTGGAGGTGTGGCAGTACCTCCTGTTTCTACTTCTTTTTACAGTTTTAACTATTTTTCTATTCCCTGTGGCTGAAAAAGTGATTGCGTATATAAATTTGGTGGCTAGACCGTGTGCCATGGCTTGTGGCCAAGGTGGGTGGATTGCTTGAGCTCAGGAGTTCGAGACAGGCCTGGAAATCTCATCTGTATTAAAAAAAGAAGAAATTTGATGGCTGTGGTTTTGTTTAGCCCTCTTTTTCTTGCTTTACTGGTTTCTTAATGTTTTTCTCTTTTACTTCAATAAGGAATGGGAAAAGAAAATATACCATTTTATTGTTTCTTGCTGATGACTTTTAGTGTATTCAGCAATACTGAGCACAGTGGCTCATGCTTTGGGAGGCCAAGGTTGGAGGAACGTTTGAAGCCAGGAGTTTAAGACCAGCCTGGGGAACAGTGAGACACCTCCCAACCTCTGTCTCTACAAAAAATAAAAATAAATTAGGTGGATGCGGTGGGGCACACTTATAATTCTAGCTACTGGGGAGGCTGAGGTGGGATGACCACTTGAGCCCAGGAGGTGGAGGTTATAGTGAGCTTTGATTGTGCTACTGCACTCCAGCCTTGGTGGACAGTGGGACCCTGTCTTTAAAAAAAAATTTAAACAAAATGCTATCTGATGCAAATTTTAGAGAAGAATCTTTTTTTTATACTGTGTATTATCACTTAAAAAGTTGATTTTTTTATTACTGTATATAGTATAATACAAATAGAAAGTTTTGATTTGAATTTACCCTTTTAAAGGTCAGTGTATAAGTAAATTGGCCTGAGAGTCAGGCGACTGGAGTTCTAATTCTAATCCTTAGACGCTTGAGCATAGATGAATTTCCTTTGCGTCTTACTTTTTGTGTTAAATGTGAGTAATGGCTTTCTCTTGCTATAATTCTGGGGTTATTAGGGTTAAAGAGAGACACATGTTAGAAGTCTTTGTACATTGTTGTTACTTCGTGCGCTGTGGCTTAATTTTGTCTTTGTTATTGGGGGAAATCTCTGAATGAGTCAAGTTTACACTAATGTCAATTTGGAGGTGTAAAAAATAAAGTGGGACTTAAAAAATATTCAAACATTAATTGAATGCCTGCTTACCTAAGACTATTACTTGACATTGACTTATCAATGTGTGTCTAATGAAATCCTTAAGAATGGAATTAGGCAGCTGGGCCTTAGGGAAACCAGTATTTCCGAAACTATCACCTATTGTCTCTACTGTCTTTGTGTCTGCTGTCTCTCTCTTTCTCTCTAAAGACTGCTTTCTAATTTGACTGTATTAAATACAGCCATTATAATGCCAAACTTAGGTTTTACAATCTAGGTACCCAAAGAGTCTTGGGAGGAGACTCTCATTGGTCCATCATAGGTTGTTTGTTGAGTCTTGAATCCTGGTTAACTTGTGGCAGGTGTTGTGACTATCTGGAAGGGTGTTAGGTATTATGTTGCAGCATTCATAGGAGTCTGTGGGAACATAGGGGGGAGAGAGAGGAGGCAAACATGGTTGTCTAATGTAAGTACCCACTTGCAGAGGCATCTAACGAAATGTCTAAGTTTGCAAAGTGCCATGGGGCTCTTCAGAGTTGTAATTATGCAGAAGTATAGAGAACTTTAAGGCAAGAAGATTTTGTAAAACTTGAATAGATAATTATCTTTATTTATTTAGAGACGGAGTCTCACTCTGTCGCCCAGGCTGGAGTGCAGTGGCACGATCTCAGCTGACTGCAACCTCCGCCTCCTGGTTCAAGCGATTCTCCTGCCTCAGCCTCCGGTGTAACTGGGATTACAGGCGCATGCCACCACACCTGGCTAATTTTTGTATTTTTAGTAGAGACGAGGTTTCACCACATTGGCCAGGCTGGTCTCCAACTCCTGACCTCAAATAATCCTCCCACCTTGGCCTCCCAAAGTGCTGGGATTACAGGCGTGAGCCACTGCACCTGGCCCCTTATTTATTTTTTAGTTGTCTTGTTATATTGGTTGCTGAGAGAAGTGTTTTAAAATCCACTTTGGATTTGGTATTTTTTAGTTTTTTAATATGTAATATTAGGCCTTGTATATAAATGAAGTGTATATAAATTGAGAATTGCAGTGTCACTGGATTAAACCCTTTTTCACTATGGAGGTACTCTTTTTATCTCTGGTAATGCCTTTTAATGCCTTAAAAGACTTCTTAAGAGTAGTTTTAGGCTCACATAGCAAAAATCAGCTGAAGGTACAGAGATTTCCTGTACACTCCTCTACCCCTCAACATGCATAGCCTTTTCCTGTGATCAACATCCCCCACCGAAGTGGTACATTTGTTACAGTCAGTGAACCTACATTGATATGTTATTACCCAGAGTCCCTAGTTTACATTAGGATTTATTCTTTTTGCATCTTCTATCAAATTTGTAATGACATACAGCTACCATTGTAGTATTATAAACTGTAATTTTTACCACCCTAAAAGTTTTTATTACTTTTAAAAACAAGAGTCTTATTGTAAAGTCTTTTTTAGATACACCAGCTTTGCCTAGTGTTTGTATGGTATTTTTCATCTTCTTTCATTCTGTATTCTTGTTTCTTAGATTATCTCTTGTAGTTAGAGTATTTTAAAAGCCTAGTCTGATAATCTTAACTAGAGATGGAGTTTTACTTCATTTTATTTTCTGATTTGTTGCCTTCATAATAGTTTATTATTATTATTTTATTATTTTTGAGACGGAGTCTTGCTCTGTCACCCAGGGTGGAGTGCAGTGGCGCCATCTCAGCTCACTGCAACCTTCACCTCCCAGGTTCAAGCGATTCTCCTGCCTCAGCCTCCTGACCATGCCCAGCTAATTTTTGTATTTTTAGTAGAAACGGGGTTTCACCATGTTGGCCAGGCTGGTCCCGAGCTCCTGACCTCAGGTGATCCACCTGCCTCAGCCTCTCAAAGTGCTGGGATTACAGGTGTGAGCCACCACGCCTGGCTGAGTTTATTATTTTTAATAGAGAGATGATTCTAGTCTCTGCCTGCCTGTTTTACAAAGTAAAACAGTATATTTAACAAGGTCTTTTTGTGGAAAATACAACGACCTTAAAATGATAACTCCATTTACCAAGTTCCTGTTGGCCTTAAGATACTGTCATTTGAATAAATTTTTTTGAATCTTACTCTATAGTATAATATAGAGTTAATATTCATTTACATTTAGCTGTAAAGGTGACAACCTTTACTTTTTCCTGGGCCACTTCTTTTCTGCTGGTGGAAAAACTTTTAATCTGACCAAAACTTCATTCATTGGAGATAATTTCACTTGGTGTAGAATGTTTTATTTTATTATTTTATTATTATTTTTTTAGAGATGGTGTCTCACTCTGTTGCCCAGGCTGGTATGAAGTGGTGCTATCATGGTCACTGTAGTCTCAAAATTCTGGGCTCAAGCGATCCTCCTGCACAGCTCTACATGTGGCTAGTTTATTTTGTTTTTGAATTATGACATGTCTGGGTTTAGATGTCTTTTATTTATCCTGTTTGAGCTCAGTTAGGTCCCTCGCATCTGTGGATTCATATCATTTACTGGTTCTAGAAAATTCTCAGCCACTAAATGTTTAGATATGTCTCTCACATTTCTTCACTCTTCTACTTCTGGAATTTTTATTAAACTTATATATGAATTTCTCACTTTATTCTCTGCATATCTTATTTTTAATCTTTTGTTCTTTCTGTGATATATTTTATATAATTCCTTCTGTCTTCCACTTTGCTGTCTTTGTCTAATAGGCCGCCACACCTATTTTGTTTTTGACTTAGGACATGTCTGGGTTTAGATGTCTTTTATTTATCCTGTTTGAGCTCAGTTAGGTCCCTTGCATCTGTGGATTCATATCATTTACTGGTTCTAGAAAATTCTCAGCCACTAAATGTTTAGATATGTCTCACATTTCTTCACTCTTCTACTTCTGGAATTTTTATTTAAACTTATATATGAATTTCTCACTTTATTCTCTGCATATCTTATTTTTAATCTTTTGTTCTTTCTGTATATATTTTATATAATTCCTTCTGTCTTCCACTTTGCTGTCTTTGTCTAATAGGCAGCCAGACCTGTCTGAGCTTTATTATTTTATTTTTCATGTTAGAAATTCTGTTTGGTTGTTTTCCAAATCTATGTAACATTTAATAGTTTTTCTGTTTCATTTATCTTTCTCATGTTTGTCCTTTATGCATCTACACATTGTGAGCATTTTAAGATCTGATAATTCTCCTATCTGAAATGTTTTGTGTCTTTTTGCAGGTTTTTATTCATGATGCCTTGTTTACTTGAGTGTTATGTATATTCTGTTCATTGTCCTTAGATTATGTGTAGCATTTTCCGAGGCCTAAAGGTGCCTTTCTCTAAAGGTTTACTTTGCTCTTGTCAAGTATTTAGATGCACTAAGAGCTTGCTACCCAAAGTATGGTTCTCAGACTGGCAGAGAAGTTTTTTTAGGAAACATGGCACCTCAAGTTCTATCCCTGTATTTTAACAAGAATGTGAATTTTAACAAGATCCATAGGTAATTCTTAGGCACGTTAAATACTGAGCATCGCTGCGTTAAGTGATCAGTAGGATTTGAAGTTCCTTGGCTTAAAGTTTCTTGGATCATTCACCTGATTTGAAATATGCCTACAAATCTTGGCCACACATGTATAAATTCTCAGGTATAGATTTTCTTTTCCCCTTCCTTCTCTTCTCTCCTGCTGTCTCCCCTGTCTTGCTTGCTTTTTTTAGCAACAAGGCAACTTTCCCAGCAGTCGGTTTGGGATGGGGTTCAGGAATATTTCTGGTCATCTTCATCATGAAAGTGTATCCCATAGTTTTTTTTCCCTTATTTCATGAGTTGAGAGTTGATAAAGGCCTTTAAAAACAATATTAAATTGTGTAATCCTTACACAGGGGCCATGCTATTCTTCTCCGTATAGTTCCACTTTTAGTGTATGTGCTGCCAAAGTGATCACGATAAAGACTTTTTTTAAAAAGCTTGAAATGATATTAGATTCTTGAGTATTTTGGGTTTGGAAAGTCGGCGGGGGGTGCAGTTAGCTTCAAACACAAATAATCAGCATCATTAGTTATTAGGGAAATACGTATTAGAACAATAATAAGATACTACTACACACCCAGCAGAATAACGAAAACTTTTTTTTTTGAGCCAGAGTCTCACTCTGTCACCCAGGCTGGAGTGCAGTGGTGCCATCTCAGCTCGCTGCAGCCTCCATCCCTCAGGTTCAAGTGCTTCTCTTGCCTCAGCCTCCCGAGTAGCTGGGATTATGGTTATGCAGCACCAATCTGGCCACTTTTTGTATTTTTAGCAGAGATGGCCAATACTTTGAGAGGCTGAGGTGGGCGGATTGCTTGAGTCCAGGAGTTTGGGACCAGCCCGGGTAACATAGCAACATCCTGTCTCTACTCACCTCCATCTCCCCACAAGGAAAGCCAGGCATGGCGGCACACACCTATACTCACAGCTACTCAGGAGGGTGATCTAGTGATTCTACTCTTAGTTAATTCTGCTCAAAAGAGATGAAAGCATGTATCCATGGAAAGACTTGTAGAAAAATCTAGCAGCTTTAAACTTAACGGGCAAAACTTAGTCCATCAACAGAAAAATGGGTAATCAAAATGTTCATATTCATACAGTAGAATATTCAGCAATAAGAAAGTAAAAATATTGATAAAACTCAGCAACATAGATGAATCTCAGGATATTATTATGCTGAGTCAAAGAAGCCTTACACAAAGGAGTACATACTATGTTTCCACTTACATAAAATTCTAGAATAGGCAAGACAATGGTAAAAAAAAAAAAATTAGAACAGTAGTTGCAGAGTTGGGAGGTGAAGTGCAGGGACTGATTGGGGAGGAGCGTGAGGAAAGTTTCTTGGGTGATAGACTGTATATCCTGGTAAGGATTTGGGTTACATAGGTGTGTGTGTTTGTCACAACTCATTGAATTTTACACTTAACACTTGGGCATTTCGTTGTTGAAAATTTAACTGAAAACATGAAGCAAAATTTGGAAACTGTTTTATGATACATAAAGTATAATGGTGCCTGCAACTTACTTTGAAATACATCAAAAAATAGGATGGATAGTTGGCAGACACAGGGGTACGTAAATGAGGATATGGATACATATGTAATAAAACATATGTAAAACTTTTCATTGTAGAAGCTAGATGGGACTTACAGGTATTGAGCAATTCTCAACTTTTTTGTATTTTGAGAAATTTTATAATCTGCATGCAGGGGAAAGGTAGTGAGAAGTAAAAGAAGAATCAAAATGGAAAGTTCAGGAAGATAATTCAATTTGTGTAACTAGCCTGTTTTACAAATGTTGTTCAGTTTATGTTTATGCCCATTTGAAGATGAGTGGTAGCTGTAGTCTTACTGATTTGAATGTGAATATGGCTTTTTATTTTTTATTTTTATTTTTTCGAGGCAGGGTCTCACTCTGTCACCCAGGCTGGAGTGCAGTGGTGCAATCTCAGCCCACTGCAGTCTCCATCTCCTGGGCTCAAGCAATCCTCCCACCTCAGCCCCGAAAGTCGCTGGGACTAGAGATGCGCACTACCATGCCCGGCTAATTTTTGTATTTTTTGTGGAGAAGGGGTTTCGCCATGCTGCCCAGGCTGGTCTCAAACTCCGCTCAAGCAGTTTGCCCACTTTGGCCTCCCAAAGTGCTGGGATTACAAGTGTGAGCCACCGTGCCTGACCTAATTTTTTTTGTATTTTGTCACATTATTCTCAAATGGGTGACAATGTCTTTACCTCTGAAAGGCATAATGATTTCTTTGACAGATGAGAAAACTCAGGCTTAGTTATGAAATTTTTCCAAGATAACATGACTTAAAATGGTAGAGCCAGGGTTTGAACAGACTCAAGACATAGGTACTTTTTACTACTTCTCTCTCTGCTCCACTGTTGACATTTAGGTGTATTTTTGCAGACTTTTTTCCTACACATATATAAACAAATACATACCTTTCCTTCCCCCTGCTTCTTTCTTATGCTTTGAGTCTCAGCTTAAAATGTCTCTTCAGAGAGCTGTTACCTGATGATTCAACCCAAAGTAGCTTTTTCCTTCCTCCTTCCCATTATCCTCTACTCCTTCCTATTTTTCTCCTATTTCACTTTTCATGGGACTTACCACAATGTGCATATAGTTTGTTTATTTTCTCTTTCCAATTGAGGTGAGCTCCATTGTAGCAAACAGTATTGACACCTGTCAAATAGGCCTTCAAATATTTGCTGAAGGAATGAATTAACAATGTTCTGTCTATGAATGTCAGTGCAGTATATACAGATTTACCCCTTTGCTTTTGAGGACCTCTAAATATGCCATAGTATTGATACAGTATACTTATTAACTGTTCCTTTGCTGAGAACATTCGGATCATCTCCATTTTTCCACAGTGACATACTGCAGTGACCATCGTGATTACATCCTTGCTTACTTGTGCAAGTATTTCTTTAGGTTAGATTCCTAGAAGTTTCTAAGGATATCAGTGGCAGTTTTTAATTGTGGGAGTTGGGAGAGTCATGTAAAAATTACAAAGGAATAGAAGATGATACGTAATGATACCAAAACAATAGCGTAAATCTGTGTCACAGTTGTCAAACCTAGCTGATACTAGAAAAATAGTTATTTTGCTTTTTTTCCTTTTTAATTTCTTTTGGTGTTTTTGTTTTGTTTTGTTTTGACGCAGGGTCTCCCTCTGTCACCCAGGTTGGAGCACAGTGGCACAATCATGGCTTGCTGCAGCCTTGACTTCCTGGGCTCAAGCAGTCCTCCCACCTCACCACCTTAGCCTCCGGAGTAGCTGGGCCTAGATGTGCATGTCACCACACCCGGCTATTTTAATTTTATTTTTTATTTTTGAGACAGTTTCGCTCTGTCGCCCAGGTTAGAGTACAGTGGCATGATCTCAGCTTACTGCAGACTTCACTTCCCAGGCTCAAGCAGTCCTCCCACCTCAGCTTGCTGAGTAGCTGGGGCCACAGATGTGCACCACCACCACGCCAGGCTAAATTTTTTTTTTTTTGGTAGAGAGGGGGTTTCACCATGTTGCCTAGGCTGGTCTCAAACTCCTGAGATCAAGTGATCCTACCGCTTCAGCCTCCAAAAGTGCTGGCATTACAGGTGTCAGCCACTGCGCCCAGCCCCAGCTAATTTTTAAATATTTTGTAGAGATGGGGTCTCCTTATATTGCCCAGACTGGTCTTGAACTCCTGGGCTCAAGCCACCTTCTTGTGCCTTGGCCTCCCATAGTGCTGGGATTATAGGCATGAGACATTGCACCCAGCCTATTATTCTAAGAATGGTTTGATTTTCCCATACCCCCATTCTGATAGGGTCCAGGAATCTGTATTACAGAAATTTACGTTTGGGAAATACAGCTCTGAATTTTCTCTTGGCTCCTGGTTTGTACGTATTCTGGCTCAATATAGAGGCAGTCTTTGGCATCTACTTATTTTTGGTAAAAATGCTAAATGTAGAAATGTGGGGCATTAGTCTATAGAGTATGGCATTTAAAATTTTTTTTTAACTTTTGAAAAATATTCGAGACATTCTAAATGAATTTAGGTATAATTACTCTGAAATGCATGATCTTAAACAAAAATTTGACACTATTATTCACCAGGTGTTAAAGTTACAGTCTGTATTTTCTCCCCGACTTTGAGTTACATTTTAATGCTTCCTTTCCCCCACCTTAACTATAATCTTAATAATTTTTGTTTCTGACAGTTCCCCAGGTTGTAGCTCTATTGATGACAGGCTACATACTTGTTTGGAAAAGATTATAACACAAATCCATGGTTATCACAACGTTAAAATATTTTTTATTGTAAGTCAGGAATAGACGTCCTAATCTGAACTATGTTAAAGAGTTAACCTCTGTAGGCTGGGTGTGGTGGCTCACACCTGTAATCCCAGCACCTTGGGAGGCCGAGGCAGGTGGATGGAGGCCGAGGCAGGCGGATCACCTGAGGTCAGGAGTTCCAGACCAGCCTGGCCAACATGGTGAAGCCCCATCTCTACTAAAAATACAAAAATTAGCTGGGTGTGGTGGTGCGTGCCTGTAGTCCCAGCTGCTGAGGAGGCTGAGGCAGGAGAATTGCTTGAACCTGGGAGGCGGAGGTTGCAGTGAGCCTAGACTGCGCCATTGCACTCCAGCCTGGGCGACAGAACAAGACTCCATCTCAAAAAAAAAAAAAAAAAGAGTTAACCTCTGTGATGTCATTATTATGGTGGAGTTCACAATAGTGACAAGAATATATATTGAAGAGAATATTTTTGAAAATATTGCCTTATTATGTGTGTCTGAATGCTGGAAAGGTCATTTACCAAATATAAAATTGTTTTTGTCCATAGGGAGCACTTTGCTGTAATCTACAGGGTACCTTGTACTGTGAATAACTTTTATTCTTAGCCAGGAGGTTTCTGTCTGTCGCTTAAGGGAGAGAAGCATTTACAAATCATTCTTTCTCTGCTCCCTCAGCAGCTCCTCATTTTTCATAATCACCTAATGAGTCCCTAATAAATGGTATTATTATATCTTTATAAGGAAGAACTTTTAAAGTACCCCATTGAAGAAAAACTGAAATAAACATTAGGTTGGAGTCTTAAAAAATTTGGAACTGAATCCGATTTTAGAGACTATCTAGTCTGATACCCTTAAGAGGAAGTAACTAGAAAGACTATTGATAAGCTGACCTCCTATCCCCATTCACTGGCTAATGATGGTAGCCAACAGGATTGTAGACCTGTTAAAATTGGGTCTGTGCACCATTTTTGGCATGTGGACTAAAAGTTGCTGTCTGTGTGCTTTTGAGACCTGAAGAATATCCTCTGTTACATGAATGCAGTTAGTATTCTAATGGATTATACAAGCCATCTGAGCTAAGACAGGATTTATATTAGGGAATGAGTGGCTCTGTATTTTAGAAATAGCTTAGCAATAGCTATTCAGGATAATTGATCATCTTACAGTGTTCTACAAAATAGATTTTTGGTCTATTTTGGACCTCCTTGTGAAGGGTTACCTCCTTTCTTCTTTGCTTTTCTCACACCTGTTAATCACAGATTCAACAAGTTAGGCACGTACTTCCTTACTTGGAGTTGTCATCTTCTCATGCCTCAGAGATTGATATGCTCTTCTGATCCAAAGCTTATGCTCTTAATTTTTTTCCCCCTGCGGGATCCTGTTAGTAGACTGTCCTTTATTCCCAACCTTTTCTTTCAGTAATTCTTTTCTTTACCTAAATACATATGCTCAAAATTTATTTTTTTAAAAACGACAAACAGGGAAATTACATATATCCATGCAAACACAGCCTTTGTCTCTCTGCCTTCCCTTCTCTCCTGGCTATTGTCTCTTCTCTTTATAAAGTCTAGCACTTCCAGAAGAGAGTTGGTATTTATTATCTTACCTTATACCCTCTCCTTCCCCACCATTTCTAGAAATAGCTCTCAACATTTTCTTTTGTTTTTTTTTTGGAGGCAAAGTCTCGCTCTGTCCCCCAGGCTGGAGAGCAGTGGCGCAATCTTGGCTCGCTGCAACCTCCGCATCCTGGGCTCAAGCAGTCCTTCCACCTCAGCCTCCTGAGCAGCTGGGACTACAGGCGCGCTACCACGCCCTCGCTAATTTTTGTATTTTGTGTAGAGATGGGGTTTTGCCATGTTGCCCAGGCTGCTCTCGCCATTTTCTAAATCTGATGGACATTTTTGAGTTTTTTGAACTCTGCCTATCTGTCTTCCTCTTGGTGTCTGCCAACACCACTATCCTGATTTATTTTCCCAGTGCTTGTGGTAAGTTCTTGATTTTCCTTGACTGGATTCTTTTTTTTTATGTTTTCCTTAGATTTTAGCATTTCCCAATATTTCATCCTGGGCGTATTCCTCTCTTTATGCTGTCTGTTTTTCATAGAGAAAATAGAATCTTATTGATTACCTTGGTTTCTCTTACCTCCTGCATGTCAGTGTAATTTCTCCCATCTGTATATCCAGTTGCCTACATAATTCTCAATCTTTACTTCCATTTGCTTATTGAAACTCTACCTGGATACCTACATGATGAGTCAGGTTTTATATGATTAACACTAAATGTACTCTTTCTGCTCATGTGTATCATTTGATAATGCTGCTACAATCATTTTGTATAATTTTCTAAAGTTAAAAGCATGACTTTTAGAACTATAGAATGTAAATAGCAAAGATACTGTTTGACTAGTTAATAAGGACAGGAAGCTGTTGTAGTAAAGCTAGTTTAAAGAGCATTTGGGGAACTGGGTATTTATAGGCAATTTAATAAAGAATTTTAGAATGAGATTACTGATAACCTACAGGCAACAAACTGCAATCTTTGGGGTTGTCTTTTCTTCTGTACATAAACTGTATTTCTCCAGACTTAAATCTACAGGTTAACATGTAACTTTAATGTCTGAACCCCTGATTAATAGTAAATATAATAGCAAAATTAAAATATGATGCTCTTGCAGAAAATTAAATAATTCCTAGGTAAGCCTCTGATGTAGCATTTCCTAGGACATTGAAAGGATGTGCAGTCATCTTCTTTATATGTTTTAGATAACTTTTCTTAACCTTTGTCACCAGTGTAAGAAATTTGAGTCATTTTAGGGTTTATATTTGTCTGAAGTCTGAGAACCACAGTCTTAGACTATTCTTTCTCACTGTGTAGATCCTGTCATCAAAATGTTTCTTGACCCCGTCTTCATTTTGCCTTCTTCCATTGTTAACAGATCCTCATCTACCCTTAGATCTGTTTGGTAGCTTTCTACTTGATCTGCCTCCTTATCTGTAGGTCTTAAATGTAAAACTTTTTGTTTCTGGCCCTTCATGATAGAGTTTAGGCTTATTTTCAGGCTCAAGGAACCACTCCACATCCCTGCATTATAATTTATTCTCTCATTCCTCCATGTCTTTCCTCACTGCTCTAGCATTTCAAGGAACATCAGCAGAAGTGACTGGTCATCCTCAACCTGTGAAGGCAAAGTTAGCCACCTTTTTCTTCTTTGTTTAGAGTAGTACATTTGATCTTGCTTCTCAAATCAATTTAGCATATTTTATAATTATTCACTTAATGATTGGCCAGCTAAGCTGATTTACCAAATGGCAAAGGATCAGAATTTTCTTTCTATCCCCCATAATCCTTTAAGCTTGGGATGTCATGGCTTTCTAGTATTTTGATTTTTTTTAAGGTAAATACATAATTATTTTTCCTTGTTTGCTCAGTCAAACTTGTATTTGAGTGCTGAGCCCGTCCCCTATTAGCTTTGTAGCCTTAGGGTTATTTTAACTTACTGTGTGTCATGATTTCTTTTTAAGAAGGTTATTTGCACTACCAGTTTTGTAAAGTTGGTGTGAAAATTAAATGATTTAAAGCACATTGCCTGGTACATGCTAAGCACAGAATACACGTAACCCATACTTTACTGTTCAACTTAAATCTTGTATTTTTTCCATTAAATATTGTTTTCTAGTGTTATAAAAATACAATTTGAAAATACTAGTTTGGCCGGGCACAGTGGCTCATGCCTGTAATCCCAGCACTTTGGGAGGCCAAGGAGGGTGGATCACTTGAGGTCAAGAGTTTGAGAACAGCCTGGACAATGTGGTGAAACCCTGTCTGTACTAAAAATACAAAAATTAGCCATGCATGGTGTTGCACGACTGTAGTCCCAGCTACCCGGGAGGCTGAGGTGAGGCAGAAGAATCGCTTGAACCTGGGAGGTGGAGGTTGCAGTGAACCGAGATCGCGCCATTGCACTCCAGCCTGGGTGTCCAGTGAGATCCCGTCTCAAAAAAAAAAAAAATGCTATTTTTACATGTTGTATAATATCCCGTTATCACATTCAAATGGTTTTGATGCCCATAAATTGCATTCAGTGCCTAACAGACCCTAACGTAGCCCTTTCTCTTGCACTCAATGGCCCTTACTCTCCTAATTTCTCTATAGAACTTTTCTGATTAACTGGAAAAAAAGGCAGTAAATTTCTGTTGCCCTTAATTCAAACGTGAACTAATAAACTGCATTGTGCTGTTCTATATCAGATACAGCTATTTCAGGTTTGACATATGGCTACTTAAGAGTTTGACATTTGACTTACGAATATACCATACAAAACTGCTGATTTTGTATTGCTTCCTTCCTAAATCAAAGTAAAATAATAAACTGTCCCAGTGGTTTTGTAGAAAGTTTTTGTTCTTTTTCCCCTTCAATTCCTTTCTGGCACATGATGGACCTGATGATTTCCCCCGTTTTTCTTTAAGATTGTACTTAATAAGTACTCATTAAATGGCAGCTATCATGTTCAGGTAAGGTTCTGAGAGCCTTATATGCAGTTCTCTAATACTTAAATCCCAAAGTATAATATTGTCTCTAATTAAATGGAGAAACAAACTGAGATGAAGGTAAGTACTTGTAGGTCTTACCAAGCAGCAGAGGCAGAATTTGAGCCTAGGTGGGCGATACAGAGCAGTAAGCTCCTTGTGAGGAGGGATTGTCTTGTCATTGTTTCTCGGCACCTCTCAATCTCAGCACCTCTCAGTGCTTTTGGGGAATGTTAAGGGTTATTCATTCCCACTTTAAAGATAGGCTTATTTGAAGTCCTTGCTGTTTTTAGGTAGGCAAGAATGACTTCTTTTATACACAAGGGTGATTTCTATTTTGTTTTATTGTAGTGGTTTAATATATGCTGCCCCTTACCACACTTGGTTCTGGGACCTAGTCATTTCCTTCTTTATCTGGTGTGTGTAGTTCAGAACTGGAGCTCCAGATGTCAGTTCTTGCTTGCAGTCTGCAGGTCTGGATGCCATTACTTGTTTCATGCAGGGTACTAATTTTGTAACATTTCAGTTTCTTTATTTGTAAAATAGGACTAATGGGCAATGGTTTATATGACTCCTTGTCACATTTAAATTTTACAAAATGAGTAAAGTACCTTGCAAATTGTGTTTATTACTGTAATTTACCTCCAAGTTAATGATCTGAAGCTAAACCAAGCCTTTTTGGAGGACCAAATCTAAATAAGTCCGTAAGAAATTAGGGGGGTACATACTGGACAAATGAGATTTACCTGTTGCAAACATAGCAACATGTTTGTAACATACCTGTTCCTCTACCAAATACTGTAGGTGGTTGTAACAAAATGGTAAATATTTGTGTGTCTAAAAATATCCAAACATAGAAAAATCACAGTAAATATGTGGTATTATGTAATCTTATGGCACCACTGTTGTATTTCTGGTCAGTTGTTGAACAGAATGTCACTAGTGCAATATGTGGCTGTATTTTTTGTTTGTTTGTTTTTTTGAGACGGTCTCCTTGTGTTACCCAGACTGGAGTGCAGTAGTATTATCACGGCCTGCCACAGCCTCGTCCTCCCAGGCTTAAGTAATCTTCCACCTCAGCCTTCTGAGTTGCTGGGACCACAGGTGTGCACCGTCCTGCCTGGCTAATTTTTAAGTTTCTTACAGAGACAAGGTTTCTGTACCTGTGTTGCCTGGGCTGGCCTCAAACTTCTGGGATCAAGTGATTCTTTTGCCTTAGCCTCCCAGCAGCAGAGACTACAGGCATCCACCACCGTGCCTGGCTTTATTTTTTTGCAGGTGATTTCTTTCAGTGTTCTGAAAGTTCTGTACCAGAGGAAGGATTGAATTTTTAAAAAATGTTTTGGGTTTTTTTTAGCCTTTCTTTGTGTGCGTATGATATTAAGAATTTAGAAGAAAAATTAATTTCCGGCCAGGCACAGGCAGTGGTCCACGCCTGTAATTGCAGTACTTTGGGAGGCCGAGGTGGGCGGATCACTTGAGGTCATGAGTTCAAGACCAGCCTGGCCAACAAGATGAAACTCCATCTCTACTAAAAATACAAAAATTAGCCGGGTATGGTGGTAGGCATCTGTAATCCCAGCTACTCTGGAGGCCAAGGCAGGAGAATCGCTTGAGCCCAGGAGGTGGAGGTTACAGTGAGCCGAGATCGTGCCACTGCACTCCAGCCAGGGCAACAGAGCAAGGCTCTGTCTCAAAAAAAAAAAAAAAAAAGAAAAGAAAAATTGCAAAATGTTTTTAGTTTAAGTTTTCCTTTAAGGACTATTCTTGATAGATATTTTAGGAATGAATTTTTAAATGTAAATATAAAACAACAACATACAGGTTTTTGGGTTTTTTTTTTGAAATGGACTCACTATTAGTTGGGCTGGAGTGCAGTGGTGCAATCTTGGCTCACTGCAACCTCTGCCCCCTGAGTTCAAGCGATTCTCCTGCCTCACCCTCCCAAGTAGCTGGGATTTTACAGGTGCGCACTACCACACCTGGCTAATTTTTGTATTTATAGTACAAATGGAGTTTCACCATGTTGGCCAGGGTGGTCTCGAACTCATGACCTCACGTGAGCCACCGCGCCCAGCCGATTGTTTTTGTTTTTGTTTCTCTATGTGGTATTTGCGTGTAGAGTTAAATACATTTTCACATAAAATGAAAAGTCATTTAACTTAAACAGTGAATAAGTTGGTTGTATACTCTGTGATTAAAATTGTCGTGAATTTGTTTTCAACCTTGAAGACATCCATTAGCCTTTTTGTTTTTCCTGTTAAAGTCATACATGTTCTCTATTTTATTTCAGTACCTTAGGACTGAATATCAAAGGTTTTATGTGAAAAATCTTGATTAGTTTTACAGAAATGAAGGTATGGCCATGGTTAGAAAAGACTAGTGTATTTCAGGATTTGATAGGGATATTAAATTGGGTTTATAATTCTAGTTTCACACTAGGAGTTAATCTGTTAAGATGGAATCTTCGAGTTCATATTCACTACCGGCTATGAAAACATAACTTTTAGCAGTGTAATAGTGTAATTCCCACTTGTGTTTTAAAAATTAAGTAATATATGGTAGACATAAGTAATTGGTCAAGTCAGTACAGAATATTCTATAAGGAAAACATTCTGTAATTCATTGCGTAGAGAAAACTTTTGGCCTCTGGGTTCTTAGCTGAAGCCAAAGAGGCATTAAACTTTTTTTGAAGTTGAGGTGGTGATACCTATGAAGTGTGTAGAACTGCTCAGTACCAGGATTCAGAAGACTGGTTCTTCAACAAATTACTTGGAACTTTCTTCATTTGGATTTGTCTGCAAAGTATAAGGGGTTGAACTTGATCATCTCCGAGGGTCCCTTCCAGCCCTCTGGTTTTATTGATACCTGGCAGAGGGAGAGATCCTGTATCCATCATATGTTAATCTTTTATTTACTTTCAGGAAATTAAAGTTCAAATGTTTTACAAAGCCTGGCCTCTTTTTAAAAAGATGAATTTATGCTTTAACAGCAGGGAGTAATTTGATAAACAGCTTTGTTCTTACCTGCTATTCTTCCTCTTATATCTCAAGAATTATCGACAAATAGGCTGTTGGCTGATAATGGTGCTGGTTGACCAGCACTGAAGATGTTGGGGAGCATTGTTAAGGTTACCTAGGTGACTCTAGGTCAAAACAACTAGCCTGACTTAGTTTCATTTGAATGACTTAACACTCCATGACATACAGTAGGCGTTTAATAGCAGAAGGTGGGCAGGTGACAACTACTAACCTTGTTTATAATACTATTCTTTGCCTTTTAAAGTGAGAGCAGCAGTATCATCCTATTCTCTTGTATCTGTCCTTGCTGTTTGGGTCCAGGTGAAATGGCATTGAGATGATTGAAGTAGAGAAATTTCTAACATGAATTTTGAAAAAGACTGGCCTTTTATTCTTTGATGTGCTGAACTTCTTGGTGTATCGCAGTATACCCAGGAAAGCTCTTTTAAACTATGTCTCCAATTTTTGTGCCCAAAGAATGAGGATCTGAGGTTAGGGGACAGGCATTCATATTTTGACAAAGCTTCCCAGGTGATTGAGATGTTTACCCTTAATTAAAAACATTTCACTTTTGAAAGTATTTTGCCAAAAATTAAGACTCATATAGACAGTGATTTTTATGGTGAAGCCTTTCCCAATATATTAGATTTTATTTTACCACAAGTATTTTTATTCTTTTGAATAAATGTTTATAGTAATAATAATACTTAACATGTACTGAGCACTTGCTACATGATTGGCACTGTATTGAGTAGTTTACATGGATTTATCATTTGATCTTCACAACTGCCATGTGAGTTCTTTATCCTCATTTGATAGATTGAAGCACAGGGGGAAGTATGTATGCACACACTCATATATGCAAGATTATGTACAACTTGTTAGTGTTAGAGTCCAGAATTGAACTTGGGCAGAGACAGTTTGACTTGAGAGCTCTGTACTTAAAGCTGTTATGCTAGAGCAGCCTGTTTAATTCCTTATAAATTGACAATCAGTCTCAATGACAACAAAAATGATTTCTTCCATTCTAAACTCTGGATCCCCCAGTCCTTTCTCAAAGGCAGTCATTATTAACGAAGTATGTTTCATGCATCTTTCCATGAATTTTTAACGTGGACAGTATACAGAAACTTATATACAAGTCTTCTTGGTATACATACACACAAATGAGAGTTTCATATCTTTCCATATCAGTACGCATAAGTTTAACCTTTTCTTCTCTCTCTGCCTGCCTCTCTTTTAATGTTTAATTGTATTTATTTTTTTCTTTCTAAAACTGACTATCCTTAAATTAGTAATTTGAACTTTCTAATTAAAGTTTATTATATTAATTTGGACATATGTGATAGAAACAGTCTTTTTCTACTGAATTGTATCAACAATATAACCCAAAAGAAAACTACTTTCTTATTACAGTATAAGGAATCTCTAAAACAAAATCCAGTACAGTAATAGATTTAATTATGATTAATTTGCATTCTCTTTGGCACCAGTTTCTATAATGTCATATGTTCACTCTCTTTCCCAGTAAATAGAAGTAATGAAAGAACTCCACTTGGAATTTGACTGCAGGCTTACAAAAAATAGTGCAAGATTTTATTTGTGCATGTCGTAATTCTATGATTGTTATGTTGGCTTGTTTTACCAGTTAAACTAATTTTCTGAGTTTCGATATTTTATCTGCACAATCATTTCTTATAGAAAGTTCAGTTTGATTAAGAACTGTTTTGAGCTAAATTTGAGCTAAAAATACTTTCGCAATTTCTTGTTGCTGACAACTCTGTTGAGGTAGGTAACGTACTGGTTTTAAAGGAGAGTAAATTAAAGGTAGAGATTATTTTGTCCAAGGTCACGGCCAGCAGAGCTGCTGTTGAAAATCCAGAATATCTGAGACCATTGCTCAATTTACTCTATTTGAGCTGTTTTCTCCTCATCTTTTCAGTAAGATACTATAGTTTTACAATTTTGTTTGTTTTGTTTAGTTTTGAGGTGGAGTCTCACTCTGTTGCCCAGGCTGGAATCCAGTGGCATGATCTAGGCTCACTGCAACCCCTGCCTCCCGGGTTCGAGCGATTCTCCTGCCTCAGCCTCCCAAGTTGCTGGGTTTACAAATGTGCGCCACCACACCTGGCTAATTTTTGTATTTTCAGTAGAGACGGGGTTTCATCATATTGACCAGGCTGGTGTTGAACTCCTGACCTCAGATGATCCACCCACCTCAGCCTCCCAAAATACTGGGATTACAGGTGTGAGCCACTCCACCCGGCCACGATTTTGTTTGTATTTATTTTTTCATTTGTTATTCACAACAATACTGTGAAGAAGACATGACATACATTGTTAATTCTGTGTCTAAGGAATCCTAGGCTTAGAGGCTGTGATTTGTACAAAGGCAAACTTCTTTAACACCTATTCCGTCACAAGACTTGAGCCATCATCTTTTGACTTGAGGTGTAGTGCCTGTTTAGGCACAATACTAGAATGGGGAAACGAAGACATATTTCTACCTGTGCTCTGTTTTCTTTGAATTGAGAATTTTCTGGCTATTCCGTGAAATCTAAGTTAATTTTATATACTGAGTCCGGGACCACATGGCTTGAATATGTTACACGTACCCTGACATTTTGTTAACACGTTGATCAGTCAGACTTCACAGTTCAGTGAGACATTGCAGCATGGGTGAAGGCTGTAAAATCAGATAGTTTGCAGAAAATTTCCATGTCACCGTAAGTTCCCCTCATTTCTTTTCCATATTGTATTTTGTACATCTGATAAATTTTGTTTATTTTTTTTTCTTTTAGTGAATGGTAGTGTCTAGAAAGGGTATGTCCCTTCAAGAGAGAGGTGCCAATGTCCAACCGGCCTAATAACAATCCAGGGGGGTCACTGCGACGTTCACAGAGGAACACTGCCGGGGCCCAACCACAAGACGACTCAATAGGAGGAAGGTATGTATTTCATGGTAATTTGAAAAGGAATTGGGAATAAAAGAAAAAATATTTTTAAGCCTCCTTGCGAGGTCCAAAACTTGAATGGTTCATTGCATATGGGTAATTTTTCCTGATTTGTGAGCCAGGTACTTAAAAGCAAACTGGAATCCAAAGCAGTTCCTAAATTTTTCCCCAGATATGCTAGACTCAAAGAAGTAGTTCATAGCCACTGACATGATCAGACACCTCATTTAGCATGTGGTGTGTCATGTTTTGTTTGCCCTTTCTCTTCACTTCGTTAAATGTATGTTACAACACATCTTTCACCATTCGTGGTCTTTTTCCTTATGTGTTGACTTAATGATACTTTATGGAAAAGAGGCCTCATTTGTTTTAAGAACTTGAGTTTTAATACTCAGCTTTTGAGCTTTTGTCCTCATCATGCCTTTTGACAGCATAGATATTAACAGGGTAGTGAGGCACTCTGACTTTGTTAGTGAACGAGTTGTCTTATGTTTTTAGTGGTCTGGTGTTTCTTTTTAGTTGGAGTAGTTACATATGAAGTAGTGTGAAGAATCAGATCAGATGTGTTTTCTTGAATGTAATACTCCAAGTCAGATTTAGCCAAGGACTGTCACTTCATGTAAAAAATACTCAGAACTCTTCTTGCAAGGCCTAGTTCTCTAATTTTGGGACTAACATTGATTACGTTTAGCTTGTGATGGATAATTGTTAAATTTTTTTGTTTTTGAGAGTCTCATCGCTCTGTTACCCAGGCTGGAGTGCAGTGGCACTATTTCAGCTCACTGCAACCTCTGCTTCTGAGGCTTAAAAATCCTTCCACCTCAGTCCCCCAAGTAGCTGGGATTACAGGTGTGCACCACCGCACCCAGCTAATGTTTTTTGAGACACAGAGACAAGATTTTGCCACGGTGGCCAAGCTGGTCTCAAACTCCTGACCTCAAGCGATTCACCCGCCTCGGCCTCCCAAAGTGCTGGGATTATAGGTGTGAGTCACTGCGCTCAGCTGCTGAATTCTAATAGGATTATCTCATACAGCAGTTTGCGGCCATAACCATGAATGCATATTATCTAGTAAAGTATTTAAAAATTTTTTAGGCCGGGCGCGGTGGCTCACACCTGTAATCCCAGCACTTTGGGAGGCCAAGGTGGGCGGATCACGAGGTCAGGAGATCGAGACCATCCTGGCTAACATGGTGAAACCCCGTCTCTACCAAAAATACAAAAAAATTTAGCTGGGCATGGTGGTGGGCGCCTGTAGTCCCAGCTACTCGGGAGGCTGAGGCAGGAGAATGGCGTGAACCCGGGAGGCGGAGCTTGCAGTGAGCGAGATCACGCCACTGCACTCCAGCCTGGGCGACAGACAGAGCGAGACTCCGTCTCAAAAAAAAAAAATTTTTTTTTAATGTCAAATGTAAAGAATAAAAGCACATCATGGTGATGTCAGACTATTTAGTGGTTAAGCATAGGGACTTTGGACTAGGGCAGCTTTGCGTGTGATTTCTTTTTGTTTTGTTTTCTTTTTTTTTTTTTTTAAAACAGTTGCTGTCGCCCAGGCTGGAGTGCAGCGGCATGATCTTGGCTCACTGCAACCTCCACCTCCCGGGTTCAAGCGATTCTCCTGCCTCAGCCTCCCAAGTAGCTGGGATTTCAGGCACGCATCATCACACCTGGCTAATTTCTGTATTTTTAGTAGAGATGGTGTTTCACCATGTTGGTCAGGCTGATCTCAAACTCCTGACCTCAAGTGATCCATTGGCCTTGGCCTCAGAGTGCTCGGATTATAGGTGTTAGCCACCGCGCCCAGCCTTTGTGTGTGATTTCTGCCTCTGCCATTAAATAGCTATGTGTCTTTTGTTAAGAGTTTCAGGAAACCTCAGTTTCTTAGTCCACAGAATGGGATAGCTATTTCATAGGATTATTGGTAAACTTCAGTATTTTAGCATGTTAAGCTCTTATCACTTATACTTAGTATATAGAGCTCTGTTCTGAAAATGTTTGCTCTTTTACATTCAGGTTATTCTTTGGAGCAGCCACACTCAACTTCATGTGACTGATTTTAAAATATTATTCCTCCTGTAATAAAAGTGTTACATGTTCATTTTAGATTATTTTGAATATATAGAAAACTAAAAAGAAAAACATAATTCCACACTTATAACGTGTGCTGTTGACATTGGTTACTATTGACATTTCTTCTGTCTTTTAAAAAACTGCGTGTAGATGTACATTATGTATGTGCATGTAAGTAACTTGTACCTTTAGAACAACTGCGGTTTTATGCATATTAATCCTCAGGTTGCATTGGGACTCTTGCATGTGAACTGACAATCATTGTGGGCTATCAACAGCGCATTGCTTCTAAAATCCACAGTGTTTCAGCATGGTCATTTTTTCTATATATCAGTGTTATGTAGATTAAAAAATTTTTTTTAATTTATTTTTTGAGACGGAGTCTTACTCTGTCACTCAGGCCGGAGTGCAGTGCTGTGATCTCTGCTCACTGCAGCCTCTGCCCTCTGGGTTCAAGTGATTCTCCTGCCTCAGCCTCCCAAGTAGTAGCTGGGATTACAGGCGCCTGCCACCTTGCCCGGCTAATTTTTGTGTTTTTAGTAGAGACGAGGTTTCACCATCTTGGCCAGGCTGGTCTTGAACTCCTGATCCAACCGCCTTGGCCTCCCAAAGTGCTGGGATTACAGGCATGAGCCACAGCGCCCAGCCTAAAAAATTTTGTAAATTGTATTATGTTTTTATTTTATTTTTAGAGACAGAGTCTAACTCTATTTTTCTGGCTGTAGTGCAGTGATGGAATCATAGCTCACTGCATCGCAAGTAGTTGAGAAGACAGGCGCCTGCCAGTATGCCCAGCTGTGTATTTAACTTGATGCAAAAGTAATTGTGATTTTTGCAGTTTTTTTTAATAGCAAAAATCACAATTACTTTTGCACCAACCTAGTATCATGTATTTTAAAAAAATGAGTAAGGCCGAGCATGGTGGCTCATGACTATAATCTCAGTACTTGAGGTGGCTGAGGTGGGATGATCACTTGTGGCCAGGAGTTCGAGACCAGCCTGGGCAACATAGCAATACACATCATGTGTCATCACAAGACACATGTAGAAGTTTTCTGTTTCTACAAAAAATAAATTAGCTGCGCACAGTGGAACACACTGATATTTCTAGCTACATAGGAGGCTGAGGTGGGAGGATCGCTTGAGCCGAGGAGTTCAAGGTTTCAGTGAACTATGACTGGGCACGCCAGTGCATTCCAGCCTGGGCGACAGAGAAAGACCCTGTCTCAAAAAATAAATAAGTAATAAACAAAGTAGTGGGACATAAATGGAAGTGGTTAATACTAGCGATTAAGATGTGTTGGTTTAAGTAGCTCAAAGTTGTAACAGAGATGGAACTCGATTAGATTTGTAGAATGACAAATCTTGTTGTAGTTCATGTAGTTTAAGCCAGTCAATAATATGCTCAGTTGTGAAGAGTGTGATCAGGACATAGAAATTTAGAGCTTTAGCCAAAACATCTTATTAGTTTTAAGAATGCAAATGAGATGAGAAGATGCTGGCTCTTCTAAATATCATTTTGCCGTCTTGGCTTGATTCTTTTGCTCATAATAAAATGTCAAGACTGGGAGTAACTTTGAAGGCCTTCTTATCAGCCCCCAGGTTGATATATTTTTGTTTTGTTTTGTTGAGATGGAGTTTTGCTCTTGTCACACAGGCTGGAGTGCAGTGGCATCATCCGGGCTCACTGCAACCTCCTCCCCCTGGGTTCTAGCAATTCTCCTGCCTCTCAGCCTCCTGAGTAGCTGGGATTACAGGCACGGGCCACCACACCTGGCTAATTTTTGTATTTTTAGTAAAGACGAGGTTTCACTATGTCGGCCAGGCTGGTCTTGAACTCCTGACCTCAGGTGATCCACCCACTTCAGCCTCCCAAAGTGCTGGGATTACAGGCATGAGCCACTGCACCTGACCCAGATTGACTTTTGAAACCCCTATAGAGTGTACTGTTCTAGCAATTATCTAAACTCTCAGAAACCTTTCCAGGGAGTTTTGGGAGTGAGAGGATTGGGATTAATTGGGAGAGAACAATTACAGCTATATATTTATTCTCTTCATGTGACTCGTTTAGCCTTCCTAAGTAAAATGCTGTCATTGTAGCCTTCGTTTCCTGAAAATGGTTGACTTGCCCCATAAAGGTATTCACAGTGATACAGTGATTCAACTAATGATAATAATAGCAGTTACACAACAGCATTAATGGAGTGTTTTAAGTTTAAAAAATTATTACACATTCTTTCAGTTGAAACTCAGAAATTAAATATGTAATCTCTCTTACAAATGTGGAAGCTTGCTCAACTTTGTATAGCTAGTGTGTAGTCAGGACTTGTTTCCAGACCTCTTGACTGTAAAGTCAGTGTACCTTTTCATTATGCCAGAGTGTTTCATTGCAGCCCACTGGATCCGTATGATGAGGGAGTGTTAGAAGAGGGTATAAACTTTAGTTTTGAATTTAAGTAGCACTTTTCTCTCCTAGGATTTGTGCTAGGATTCATTTTTGACCCACTCTGTTTTTTTCTAAACCTCTGCATTAAGCTGTCTTCTTTGTGTAACCTCCTTCCAGTGACCTCTTGTGCCTTTCTCCCAAATCAAGATGGTTTCTTTTTAAAAATAGTTTAAATTCATTCTTAAGATAAATGAAAGTAGAGTCTGAGGATATATTTAATCCCTTTTAATTTTACCTCTGCTCTCCTTTTCACCCATCCTTCATCACTATCCACAGTTGAACTAGGCATCTTATTCCTCTTCTATTATTTTTCTTAGCCCCTTTCCTCTCTAATTTTTTGGATTGTAGCTGACCTGTTCCTCTCTTTTCTGTTCTCTTTTTCTTCTATAGGAAATCACTCCTTTCCACTGCTTCTCTGTTGACTTGCTCTCAGGGATACTACCTAGCCTTTTCCAGTTCTAGCACAGGTATTTGTAGGCTACCACCTCCCTCTTGGCAATGCAGTAGCGTTTTTATTATACCGTGTGCTTTTTCTTGTTTTTCTCAAGTGGCAGTGGTAGGATTGAATTTAATTTTATAGCAACTTTAAGATTGCTTTAGTGGTAGTGTCTTCAAGGTTGATTTAACTATATAAACAGTGCATATTGAGAATAGAAAATTGGGACGCTTCAGGAAAATTAAAGAAAACAATTTTAATCCTACCACTCAGAGATAACCATGGTTAATATTTCTAGTCTATGTTCTTACAGTCTTTTCTATACGTGTAGCTTCTTTTTGTTTTTTTCAAAATTCCACAGAGATCAATATATGTATACTTGCAACATACAAATAATAGGGATGATGTTATCACTAGATGTATTTTCTGGAATTCTGTAACATTCTTCCATGAGGTAATTTAAAGTGGCTCCATGATTTTCTTTAATATAAAAGCCCATGATTTAAATTTGGGCCTCTAGGTTTTTTCCTCAGATTTTTGCTGTAAAAAATATTGCTTATGCCTATCATATTTGAATGTGAGCTGGTTTTATCAAGTCGAATTCTTGAAAATGGGTTTACAGAATCTAAGGGTATGAATATTTTGAAGACTTTTGTCTTTCAGAAATCTTGGGCCAATTTAATACTTCTAATACTTCATGAGAGTCCTCATTTTGCCAAATCCTAGTCAATAGAGCATACCCTTTTTAAAAAGAAAAGTTTGTGGGGAAAAAGAATTCCTTGGTTTAAAGTTAGCATTTCTTCGTTTACTATAGAGTGGAAAAATTTGCTCCGTGGGCCATTTTCATTTATTTTCTGAGCTGTTTGTTAGCGTCTTTTGTCTAATTTTGGAGATACTTACTCTTTTATTAGGGCCCTTTATGTGAAAGGTGTTGATTCACTAACATGGACAAATTTTTTTTCTGTTTTTTTTTTATGGTTTATTTTAATTTCTACAACATTTTAAAATCAGATAATTAAGTCTACCAACTCTGTTTTTCTTCCTTTGCCTTCTCCATGCTAAGAATAAATTTTTCCTCAGCTTTGTTATGGACCCGTTTTTACATCTGACTAGAATCTGTCTGAAGTTTTTGAATGATGAGAGGAAATGCTTGTATACAGTTGCCTACTTCTCACCCCCATCAAAAAATTTGCCTGCAAAGTTTTAATAATTATGTATTACTCAGTAAAAACTCAATTGTGAGAAATATAGGATATAGCCTTCTATTTATTATTTTTCTTTACATTTTTAGAGCAGAGATTTTTTTAAACCCCCATTAGTTATATAGAAAGAAATAGAGTTGTGTTTTCACTTAAAAAAACTATTTCAAAGGATTGGGATGCAGAAAAGTACAAAAAGAAAATAAGAACTATTCAGAGAAAAGTCTGTGTTAACTTTTTTTATCTGTACACTTTGGCAGATCACACTGTGTGTACAGTTTGGTATCCTGCTCTTTTCTCTCAATACCCTAACATTAACATTGCCCATGTCATTGTGATCTTTTGGTAATCATTTACAAATGGTGGCCACATTATTCACTGAATGAGTATACAGTATTTTCCATGGCTACTTTTTTCAGTTTTTGGATAGTTAGGTAGGTTTAGGAGAAATTGTTTTTGCTTATGCTCCAAATGTTCACATTTCAGGTATCTCTTCAGGATAGATTCCCTGAAGTGAAACTGCTTGGTCCAAGGGACTTTTTTATGAATAACTTTGTTGTGCATTAATTTTTTACTTCCTGTTCACATTATCACCATCAGGGGAAAGAGTGCTTTTTCTCATTGTTCTAGTCACGTTATCTCCATTTTGCATTTTTCTGCTAATTTGATAAAGAAGAAAACCCTTATTCTTGTTTTATTGCTGTTTCTCTAGTAATGAGGTCACATTGAAAAAGTAGGTTTAAAGAATGAGTCTGGCTGAGAATAATTTTTGATGCAGTCTCCTTCTATTATTTTTTTCTTTGTATTTGTTATTAATCTCCCTTTGTACCACTGTACAGGAGAACTGACTTTTTAATTGGTTTAGCTGATACTTACCAGTTTATTGTGTAAAAACTACAGTCCTATTCCTTAAAGGCTGGCTTGGAGAAGTATAAGTCAGTCTCAAAGAAGCTTTAAAACAGTTGGCAAGACAGGAGTTACCCATTAGAAGATAAATGACATACACTGGTTAGGAAAGTAGACTTGAGTCTTGTAAGTCCTGTAAGTTTATAGGGATACTTAAGAGTTTGTAGAAGGTGCAGAGTTTAACAGACTCTTAAAAGACAGGAAGATTTTAGAGTAAGAGGACATTTTTGACAGCTTTGTATTTGTATTTTTGTTCATTTCTTTCTTTTTAAGGATAGAATTATTTTACATACCGTAATGTGACTTGCTGTCTTCATTAACTGTTTCATAGGCATCTTTTTCTTTATTTTTTTTGGAGACAGAGTCTTGCTCTGTCTCACAGGCTGGAGTGCAGTGGTGGGATCTTGGCTCACTGCAACCTCTGCCTCCCGAGTTCAAGCAGTTCTCCTCCTTCAGCCTTCTGAGCAGCTGGGACTACAGGTGCCTGTCACCACAGCTGGCTAATTTTTGTATTTTTAGTAGAGACAGGGTTTCACTTTGTTGGCCAGGCTGGTCTCAAATTCCTGGGCTCAAGTGATCTGCCCCTCTTGGCCTCCCAAAGTGCTGGGATTACAGGCATGAGCCACCACACCCAGACTCTTCTTTTTTTAAAAGAGAGATGGGGGTCTCGCTATGTTGCCCAGACTCGTCTCAAGCTCCTGGCCTGAAGCAGTCCTCCTGCCTTGGCCTGCCAAAGTGCTGGGATTACAGGCATGAGCCACTGCACCTGGCCTTAATATAGGCTTCTTTTTTTTTTTTTTTTTTTTTTTTTTTTACAATATCTGTCATTAAAACTATATTATCAGTTTTAATGTCTCTATAATTTTCCGTTATGTAGATATATCAATTATGCATATATGTAATCACTCCTTTCATCATTTGGTTTCAGGTTTTTGCCATAGCAAATGATGCCACACCTGAACATTCTCACTGTCATCGTGAACTTGTACTAGTACTTCTCTAGTACTAGTTAGTACTAGCTAGGTTATTGCAAGTGGAATTGCTGGGTTGAGTATGTTTTCAAATATTTACTCTTCTAGAAAATTGTCTTCTATAAGACTACTTTCATTTGCATATAATTACTAGTTGATTATACTAGGATTATTGATTTTCCTTATTAATATTTTGTTTTTGTATTTTCTAATTTCAAATTATATTAGGCTTCAGCATTGCTGTAAAGGAATACCTGAGACTGGGTAATTTATAAAGAAAAGAGGTTTAATTGGCTTATGGTTCTGTGGGCTGTACAAAAAGTGTGGCGCTGGCATCTGCTCCTGGTGAGGGCCTCAGGGAGCTTAAAATCACGGCAGAAAGCAAAGCCAGCATACCACATGGCAAGAGTGGGAGCAAGGGGTGGGGAGGGGTGGCAGGCACACACTTGTAAACAACCAGATCTCAAGTGAACTCAGAGCAAGAATTCATTCACCCCAAGGGCATTGGCATTAAGCCATTCATGAGGGATCCATCCACCCCAGTGATTCAAACACCTCCCACCAGGCCCCATCTCCAACATTTCAACATGAGATTTGGATGGGACAAACATATAAACCATATTACTAATGTCTTTTAATTTTCTAATATTGCAAAGAAAATTGGGAAGAAACCATACTTATGTTTGGATTAGGATCTCTTCTCTTTTCTTTCTTCTTTTCTTTCCTTTCCGGTCCCCTCCCCTCCCCTCCCCTCTCCTCCCCTCTCTTCTTTTCTTGACAGTGTCTTGCTCTGTTGCCCAGGCTGAAGTGCAGTGGTGTGACCTTGACTCACTGCAACCTCTGTCTCTCAGGCTTAGGTGATCCTCCTGCGTCAGCCTCCTCTTGCCTCAGCCTCCCGAGTAGCTGGGACTGCAGGTGTGCACCACCATGCCTGCCTAATTTTGTATTTTTAGTAGACACAGGGTTCCACCACATTGGCCAGGCTGAGCTCAAGTGATCCTCCCCCTCAGCCTCCCGTAGTGCTAGGATTACAGGTGTGAGCCACCGTGTCTAGCCGGATTAGGATGTTTTCTAGTGAAATAATGAAGCCACACTCAAGAAGGACTCAGGACAAGCTGTCAGTGTACCAATCAACTTAACTTTCCTTTTCTTGATTTTTGAAAGAAGTATACCGCAAAAAAATAAATAAATAAAATGCCAAACTTAATTCCTATCTACTGATTTCAGAGACTAAAACTTGATAGTTTTTACTCTATGCTTAACTACTTAAAATACCTTGCAATTTCCTTCTTTAGTAATTTTGATCATGCCATTTTCCTTTTAAAATGCTTGCCTTCTGTATTCTAGACCTTATCTTACTGAAATTCTGCCAGTCTTTCAAGATCCATTCAAAAGTTTCCACATCAATGTAGTTTATACTCTTTTCCAGTCTTAGAAATCTTATACAGATCCCAAAGCACTGTAACATTTTGGAGATCCCCGGGAACTACAGACTCAGTATCTGTCTGGCTGCCTCCTCTCTGTTCATCTGTCCTTACGTTACTGCTTCTTGCTACCATGTCATGTCCATCCAGGCAGATCTCACCATCTCTTTGTACACCATGTTTATTTCTTTCCCTGTGCCTTAAGGCTTAACTTTTAGGCCTCTCATCTTCTGAAGCTAGATCAAGCCCTCTTTCATTTTGAATTATTAAAAAGATTATACCATTTTCATGGAGGTGGCAATAAATAATGTTCTTCATGGTTTTTGTTGTGCACGGCACCTCTCCTTAAAACAGTAGTCTTGTGGAATGGCTTCCCATGCGTTTTGATGGGTAGTTACTCTGTTCTAATACAGTTTTACTCTGATCCTGTTAGCTATTCCTTAACCTTTGGTGAAAGCTAGGGGAATCGACGTACTCCCTCTTTCTGAGCACAGTGATAAGCCTGGTGTGGTCACATGATCAAGATGAGAAAAGTTGGAAGATTTAGCTTTTTTCTTTCTGGTGACAAAGATGGGAAGATGTGAATCTGAAGTTGCCAACTACTGTGTATGTGCCTTATGGAGGAAGATGGACAGGCAGAGAAGAGCAAAGAGTATGTGTGTGCTAACGTTCTGGCAAGTTTAAATTCGTTAGTAGTTCTTTAAAGTTGTGTTGACTCTTAGCCTTTTCTAGGATTGATTATTCCACTGTTGTTCTGATTCTGGAGATAATGCATGTGTTATTTTAATAATGCCTCTTTTGGCATTTTAGAGTTCTGCCTTAATACAACATCAGTATAAGATTATATTCATTCATCTGTTGAACACCACGTTAGTAAGCACCGTGCTCTATAGTAGTTATAGAAATGAGGGTAGGGTAGGGTTTTTCTTTTCCTACCAGGGAAAGAACCCAGAAAGCAACCCAGCTCGGTAGGGGGAATGGGGATACAGGTTGTTACTAGAGTCAGATGAGAAACATTTCTAGAGATGACCTCATTGATCTGGGCTCTGAGGCTGAAGCAACAGTTGCAAAGCAGGTGTGGTATATGTCAACTATATTTGTCTTTGACATGTGGTCTCATTAATTCCTTTCACAGTCTGGGTTTTATTTCGAAGTTGCGTGTATTGTGTTAATTTGCTGGTAAGTGGTAGGTGTTCAACAATTACTAGTATGGGTTAGAAAAGGATATTTGTTTCCTTGGAATTTCTGGGCACAGAAATGTGACTTTCTTTTTTACTGAAATGATGAAAACATGATTGGAGTAAGGAAGGGTTGAAATAGGGCATAGTTAAAATGGGCTATGTAGCAAGGTGGGTTAGATAATACTACAGGAAAAAACATCTCCTAGATATTAGTGGTTATAATCTAGCCACTAAAAAGGTTGTCTGTCCAGGTCAGTGGTAAGCTCTGCTCCATGCCTGCACATTCAGATATTCAGATACCTTGCTGTGTTGTCAAGTAAGAGAATATGGTGAACTGTACTCTTGAATCTCCAAAACTTCCCCCAGCAGTGATTCACTTCTGTTCACATTCCCTTGGCTGAAGCAAGTCACATGGCAGTACGTGCTTCCAAGTGGTTGGACAAGTACCATCCTACCTTGCATCTAGAAAAAGGAAAAACAGAATATTCTTGAGATGTAGCTGTCATAGGATGTTTATACGTTATTTTGCATTCTTATTTGCATCTCTATGATAGTTTGTTTCCCTAAAGCCTACTTAGTGAAACTTAGCCACTGGTCCCGTGTGTTTTCTTCATTCGTCTGTTTAACCGGTGTGAGTGCCTTCCTTTTATATTCTTTAATTCTTATTTCTTTCCTGTCTCTTTTTTTGTCCTCTCATTTGTTCAGTCAGAAGCAAGTTCAAACTGCTTCTTGTTTGGGAGGAGGAGAATGTTATGGGGAGACATGATGTGATGCAAAAATAATTTAATGCCTCTTATGACTGAATTTGAGCCACTTTTTAAAGGTATTTATACTAGAATTGGTTGGGCGCAGTGTCTCATGCCTGTAATGTCAGTACTTTGGGAGGCTGAAGCAGGCAGATCGTTTGAGCCCAGGAGTTCAAGAGCAGCCTGGGCAAAATGGCGAAACCCTGTCTCTACTAAAAATACAGTAAATTAGCCAGGTGTGGTCGTAAGTGTCTGTAGTCCCAGCTACTTGGGAGGGTGAAGTGGGAGGATCACCTGAGCTCAGGAAGTTGAGGCTGCAGTAAGCCAAGATTACACCGCTGCACTCCAGCCTGGACTAGAGACCCTGTCTCAAAAAATAAATGAATGAATGAATGAAAGTAAGTATTCTAGAATCGGCTGGGTAATTTGTAACTTGCTCTTTTCAGCAATAGTAAATCTTACTGCTCTAATTAGGCAGCCTGGAGTTTTAGCTGTGGAGACCTGTGTGCCTGCTGCATTGGTAATGCTGAAACTAGTCTGTCCCATCAGGCCTTGGGATCAGGAGGCAAGATAATATGGTGCTGTATTCAACAATGGCATGGTTGCCTTGGTCTAAGGAGAAGCAGAGGCTACTTTTCTGTAGTTGGAAGTTAGAAACATTTGATTCTTAGTAGTACCCGTGTTAAATTTTTTGGGGGGGCCTACAAAGTAATAGTTTATATGTTTTCTATTAGTAATTTCCTTTGCACTATGCTTTATTTTAATCAAGTTTGGAATTGAGTCAAAGTCACATCATAAGCATACTGGAAAACCTATAAGAAATTGTCAGCTGCCATAGATTGTCTCATATCCCTCACTGAGGATTTGCTTTCATTCTTCTGATACTCCAAACCACTTTTAAAAAGCTTTCCCAGTCTTGGAATGCCTTCTTAAAAGTGTTCAGTGTCACTTAAAAATATATATACAAATGATTCTTATACTAACTGCAAGCTTTTTTATCACATTTGGAAGGCTGTTTTCTTGTAATACAGAGAGAAAAAGAAGGCAGAGGGCTCCTTTTTAGAAAATTAATAGTGGTGTTTTCCTCCCTTTTTCTCATATACTATCTCTAAAGTCTTCAGACATTTATTTTGGCCGGGCACAGTGGCTCATACCTGTAATCCCACAACTTGGGAAGCTGAGGCAGGAGGATCATTTGAGGTCAGAAGTTCGAGACCAGCCTGGCCAACATAGTGAAATCCCATCTTTACTAAAAATATAAAAATTAGCCAGGCATGGTGGCAGGCACCTGTAGTCCTAGCTACTCAGGTGGCTGAGGCAGGAGAATCTCTTGAACCCAGGAGGCAGAGGTTGCAGTGAGCTGAGATCATGCCACTACACTTCAGCCTGGGTGACAGAGTGAGTATCTGTCTCAAAAAAAAAAAACAAACAAACAAACAAAAAAAAACCTTCCCTGTCTGACCATAGCCTACACTTAAAAAAAAAAACAAAAAAAAAAACCCTCTATGTGTGTGTGTATATATATATACTTTGCTTATTTCAGTAGCTTTCAGGGTACAAGTAGTTTTTGGTTACATGAATGAATTGCATAGTGGTGAACATCCTTTCATCCATATTTTCTGATGTATCTCCATGTTCAGGGCAATTTATATCATTTGCCAGTTACTGTATGGGCTTTAAAATTTCCTGCCTCTGCCTTTGCCTGTATTCTGCTTTTGACTGGAAAGCTTTTTTTCCTCAGCTTTTCATCCTTCAGGGCCAGGTTTAAATGGTGTGGCCTATAAAGCTTATATTCTCCTGCTAAAAGTATTCGTTGGAAACATCTATGGAGAGTACCTGGTAGATTACTTTGTTTTATGAGACTCTGACCTCTTTGAGGACAGGGACTAGACTGTTACCTATATTTATGTGCCCTGTTGGGACTTGCATATATTTGTTGGTGGCAAACCTAACATCTTTTGAAATGAGTAGCTTAGTACAATGGTTCTCAACTCTATCAGAGGCAGTGCTCCCTGTCTATAATGTATATCATATAAATATTTTTATTATGCTCTTTTAATATCTTCAAATAAATGAAGAAATAAAATACCTGCCTACACACAGTTTAGAAATATTGATATAATGTCTTAGCATTTTACAAAGATAAACAAAAGGAAAATAGTTGATAACAAAAATAACATCTCAATAGGTAAATGCTTGGACACAGTGACACAAAATTATAGTGCATCTGTATTTGGAGTCACTGAATGTGACAGTTACAACAATGGACTTAAATGCCATAAGCAGCATTTTCATCATAGGCATTAAAAACGGTGCCTGACTCTTGGTAAAGCTGCCAAAAAAATAGTATAATCGCTTGTCGTTGCATTCTTGGAAAATTTAATATGTAAGAACTGTGCAAAACAAATCTGAGAAATTGCAAGCACGTTTTTCACCTATGTCACTGCCACACTGTCAGGGCTTTTCATAAGGTTTTCATATATTACCAAGACTGTTTGAAATACATGGGGCATGGGACAGTTGGGTCTTTTTGTTCTGTATGTTGCTCATCTTTACCTCTAATCCACACCTGCTAAATGGGAATAGCACTGCCGCTTCCCAGTGTATGTTTCCAGAATGCTTCCTAGGGGCAGTATTTTTGCTGTTTAGAAATACTGCTTTACTTTAAATTATAGAATCATTTGGGCTAGTGTTTCAGTGTAACTAAAGATAGGAACATTGATCAGATGAATCAAGCTTCTTTTTGTAATAGAAATAGAAAAACAGTGCGTTTTACAGGGAACATTAGTGAGTTACTTATTTAAAGTGGTTTAAAGTGAACTTTCCACCATTAATTATTGAAAATCAATGGCTCTTTTAAAACATGGATTTTCCAGCATTTGAAATAAAATATCTAATTTTTAGAAGACAAAACTATAATGTTATAATTGTGTATTTAAAGTAGAAAAGCATAAAAATGTGTCTGTATACACATATACACAAACAAATTTAGAGTTGTAATTAAACCCACAATCCATTTATATTTGGTAATATATGCATGTATATTATGTAATACATGCATATATTACCAAATATAAGTGGTAATGTGTGTGTATATTATATATATGCATATCATATAAGCTGTGAATATGTCTAGCATAAAAATTAAATTCAGGCAGTGTAATACCTATAATAGGAATTAACTAGCTACTTGTAACTAGCCACTTTCCTCATTTTTCCTAACATTGAGACAGCATTTTGCTTTCTTTCTTTCTTTTTTTTTTTTTTTTTTTTTTTTTGTAGTTGAGAGAGGATCTCACTCTATTGCCCAGGCTGGAGTGCAGTGGTGCAACCATAGCTCACTGCAGCTTTGACCTGCTAGGCTCGAGTGATCTTCCCCACCCCAGCTTCCCGAGTAGCTAGGAATACAGGTGTGTACCACTACACCCTGCTAATTTTTGTATTTTTTGTGGAGACAGTGTTTCACCATGTTGCCCAGGCTGGTCTGTTTGAACTCCTGAGCTCAAGCAATCCACCTGCTTTCAACCTTCCAAAGTGCTGGGATTACAGGCATGAGCCACCACACCTGGCCCAATATTGTGCTCTTGATATAAAGTTTAGGTCTCTTTTAGATGTCCTCTGGACTAGAGATGGTTTTTAATTCTGTGGACTACTGTAAAGGATTTGACTAAATAGCAGTACAAATGTAGGTGGAAGGGTACAGTCAATACTATGTGCCTAAAAGTTAACACTCAGAGGCATTTGAGGCTTCATAACCCAAATGATCTTGAAAGCACATAATGATCTTGAAAGCACATAACCCAGAGTTGATTATAGTCTGTTCTGTTGCAGTGTTGGTTTCTTTAATGTGAATTGGCCCATACACACTTGGTAAATAGAGAAATAATGTCAATATAACGTGGAAGTAGTGTTGGTTCATAAGCAGTTTTTCCCACAGTGCTAATGTATAAACTGAAAATGGGGAAAGACCTTTCAATTAAAGAGGAAGGTTTGGTAATATTTGAAGACATTACACCAAAAAAAAAAAAAAGTTGAAAATCTGGCAGAAATAATTTAGTGAAAGAAATAGCTATTCCAGTGGTTTCTAAAACCACCATACCTTGTACTGTCAAAAGCAGTCTCAACAAGTTCAAAACCATTTACTCCTTTGTTTCTAAAGGAAGAAGATAACAGGAAAGTCTACCCAAGAATAATTATATTTTTAATTTTTTGAAGCTTTTTAAAAAATGCCTTTAAAAAGTTACACTTAAAAGGAGAAAATACAAAAATAAGTCTCAAGTGGATTTATTGGTGCAAATTTTATTGGGAGATTTAATTTTTTATTAAAATTGATGTGATTTTGCTGGGATGCTCATTACAAAATAACATAGGTTTGTGTGCTCTGGGCCCATCTTATTTTTAACATATCAGCCCGGTTATTTTTAGTGGATAATTTTGCAGAGACATGAGTTTTTTTTTCAGGAATACCCATATGTTGTTATAGAAGCTCCTGAACACATGTGTGCACGTGTGCGCGTGCACACACACACACACACACACACACACACACTCTCTCTCTCTCTCTCTCTCTCTCTCTCTCTCTCTCTCTCTCTTTCACCCAAATCTTTGGGCTATAATTTACTAAATGACCTCATTCTAGTGCTATTTAAAAGAGTTTGTCATGCATTTTACTATACTGTTCTACAAATTTTATTTATAGTGGATATAAATTTTACTAGGTTTTAAAAAGATTATGCTTTTTAATAAAAACTAAAGTTGAAGGATTAAGGCTTGCTAAATTAGAGAGGTGGTAAAATGAGCTAAAAGGAGGCGTCCAAGGCTCCTTTACCTCTGAATACTGTGATGTTCTAATTGGCTATTCCAGATTGGACATCATTATTTTATGGAGATTTACTTTGCAGCATTTTTGAGCATTAATAATTTATAAGTGGACATAATAAAATAGAGCTCCATTTTGGGAGGCCCCATATTGTCACTTCATGGTACCATCTGGTTGTCTATTCCTTGTTAGCCAGGGTTGAAAACTATAGCGCATGGGCTGAATCTGGCTCACTGCCTGTTTTTGTAAATAAAATTTTGATTGAAGTATAGCCACCATGCTCGTTTGTTTGAGAATTTTCTGTACCTGTTTTTTTGACATACAGTATTGCCCAGGAAGCTGAAAATATTTACTCTCCTTTATGGAAAATGTATTAAGTCCCATGGGCTAAACAGATAGGCAGAAGGGACAGTTAAGTATCAATATTTTATATTTTTAAAATATATTTTTTAAACAGTCCTTAGAATATCACACTTTAAAATAATTTTAGGTAAGATCAGTGTGGGCATTGTTGATTTTTTTTTTTTCTTTCTTTCTTTTTTTTTTTTCGAGATGGAGTCTCGCCCTGTCACCCAGGCTGGAGTACAGTGACACGATCGCGGCTCACTGCAACCTCCGCCTCCTGGGTTCAAGCAATTCTTCTGCCTCAGCCTCCCAAGTAGCTGAGACTACAGGTGTGCGCCACCATGCCCGGCTCATTTTTGTAGTTTTTATTAGAGACGGGGTTTCACCATCTTGGCCAGGCTGGTCTTGAACTCCTGACCTCATGACACATCCGCCTCTGTCTCCCAAAGTGCTGGGATTACAGGCATGAGCCACCGTGCCCTGCTGGGCATTGCTGAATTTAAGCCAGTTTTGTGAGCCTTGGTTTTCTAAATGATTTGAATACTGTTTACTTTTTGTGGTATAATATAGAGAGTTTACATGCTAAGTTCTTAAGTTCATTGAAGGTATTAGTAAGGGCATGAGAAATAACACAGGAGTAGAATTAGGTGGATCTAACATAAGCTATATAAAAGTCAACAGAACAATTTATTTGAGTTAAAAAGAGGAGGGCTGCTGCCCCAGACCTCACCTTTAGTTTCATATGGGCCGGTTTCTGATGACAAATGGAATGAATCATAATTTTTAATTGTTTTGGGCATTTATTTTTCACAAAGTTGTCTAGCTTTGAATGTATGTAGTTTTCTTTCAGAATGAGTTGTTTAATTATCAAGGAATGCAACAAGCTATATTTTAAATTTTAAAATGAAATAAAGTAGAAAACGTGATTTAATTAAAACATCAGTCTGCAACGATCTTTAAGAAAATAAGAATGTAGAGGACCTGAATGACATAATTTATATTTCCTGTAGCTGTTAAATTCCACACCCCAAAAACAGAACGTTACACCTCTTTTTTAGAATAACTATGGAATGATTTGAAAAATAGTCTCATTTCTGAAGAAAAAAGAGTTGAACTCTGAGATCTGTTAGTAGAAATATAACAAAAACAAAAGCAACTCTTAGAAATTAAATCTCTAATAAACTCATTGGTTAAAGCAAAATTTTAGTCTGCAATGGGAGAATATCTAGGAAAAATTAAAATTAAATCACAATATATACAAGGCAGGAAAATCACATGATCCTGGGAGGCGGAGGTTGCAGTGAGCCGAGATAGTGTCGCTGCACTCCAGCCTGGGCGATAGAGCAAAACCCTGTCTGAAACACCAAAAAATAAAAAATAACAACAACAACAACAAAAACACAATGTATAAAAAATCTTACAAAGTTCAGCTTAGCTACAACTTTAGAAAATATGCTTCTTGAAGTATATGTGTCCTTTCATTACTAAAAGTGAAGACTAATAACACTTGAAAGGCTCACCTAGAGTTTTGTTTTTTTGTTATTTTTTTTTAAGAAATTCATCTATTCTAATAAGTCTTTAGAACATATTATTACTTTCAGATTAGAACCTTAAAAACAAAAATGATATGAGGGATCCAGGAACTATTTCCTTTCTTAAGAAGCTAATTTCTTACCTTCTTTTAAGACTCTTTTCATGAATTCTGGAAAGATGGAAGAAGAAGTGATACAGAAAAGAGAAACCTTAGGTCCTCTTTTGGAACAGATGGTTGTACTTGTATGATATCTTAAGAAATTTATGGCATCCTTACAGATTGAGTTAGAATTATTTTGTGAGATTTTCAGTGACTCATTTCTAAGTTCTTTTGAGATGGTGTTTGGAATAAAAGCCTTAAACTTTTTTTTAACAAGTAAATTTGGTATTAATGAAACTTTTTTCTAGATTTTCATTGGTATATGCTCTTATGTGGAAAGTGGATATCAGCTATGAATTACATAAATTGCATTTGTTACATTAATATCTCACCCGAATGGCAGCAGTTTTCTGGATATCAACATGTGTTTGTTTTTTATTGCTTATGTAAATCTCATGTAACCATTCCCCAAGGTCTAAAAAATAATCTAACTGAAAACAGTTTTTTCATGTTCCTCAAACTTGCTTTTAGAATAGTGCTGGCATAAGGATTTGATTTATTGTAAATATGATGCACCATATCAATCATGGAATTATTTGAATGTTTTTTGGAACTTTTGTGGTAAATTCCATATTTCTCCAGGACTTTTTTGTGTTCTTTCTGTTGACAAGTACTTTAAAGTTTTAGCAAGTATCACTATGTTGATTTCATGTAGGTTTATTTATTGTTTAGTGCTTGAAATGATTTTCTGTGTAAAATCAGTTTGAGAATTGGTTCGTCTGTCTCTGCATTTGCTGTGTTTACCTGAATTTTAAGTACAAATTGGAAATCGGTATCAGTGTGGGAATCATCAATTGTCTTTTCCGTAAACTTTTAAAGCCATTACAGTCACATTATGTATTAAAAGTGTGTTTAGATCTAAAGTCTAAATTTGCTTTTTGTTAAAATGTAGCATATTTGAATATCTGCACTAAAATTGCTGAAAAATGTGTTACTGCTTAAGCAACCTTAACAACGCTGTGCAATTATGACTACTGGTGATAATAAACTCTTCGGTATTGCGGGGCGGGGGTGGTTCTGAGAGGCAATTTCTTTTTGCCAGATTATTTAGTAGAATAATAATTAAAATTTATAAATATTTGGAAAAAGGGTAGGGTCAACAATGAATTGTGGGAAGCTTTAAGAAATATATAAAAATATTTCATTTTCAGTATTGTATTTGCATCTCAGTTTCCTGATAGATTTCTGTTTTGATTTTCTGCTGACAGGTCACATTTAGGGCAGGCAAAACATAAGGGATATAGCCCTCCTGAGAGTAGAAAATCTAATTCTAAGGCACCCAAAGTGCAGTCTAATACTACTTCTGAACTGTCAAGGGGACACCTTTCTAAAAGGTAAATCTTCATGTTGCTTATACATTTTCAAGGCAGAATTATTTGCATTCAAATCATTGCATAATGTTAAAACTTGAGGTTATTCCAAAACGTTTTGATACATATTTTCATTATTCTCTAAGTAACTTTTAGGATTGACAGTTTATCACCTTTGCAGTGATTAGTGCAGTATACCCTAGACAGTGAGTTTGTCAATGATAAAATGATATTTTTGTTTGGAGAGCCGTAAGATTCCCCCTTTGCTTAACAAACCATTATGGCCATTTTTTATTTCTTTTTATTTTTTAATCTTTTTTTTAGTTTTTATTGTCAGAGCCATAGTTTAGGTTTAAGTCAGTGATTCTTAAGATTTAATTGTTAAGAGACTTTGGAAAGCAATGTTAACTTTGAAGATTTGATAGTACTACAATATAAAAATCTCTAACCTTCATTTTGAAAGTGCGTATGTTAATGCTTATTTCTTCTAAGCTTTGACAAAGCAGTTGTGCTTGTGAATAGGGCATCAATATTCTGGCTTCCTCTGGTTCCGAACAATTAAGTGTTGTTTTTCTTGTAATCTTAATTCTTGTTTTGTGATTACGAGTGTTAGTGTCAGTAATCTTTGGGCTAAAGAACACCCTTATCTTTTAATCAGATATTTTAGTATCCAAAGTCACATCTGCTTTTGTTTTGTTCTTTTATTTCGTTTTACAGATTTGAACCTTCTGAAAACCTATGTTTAATACTGGACTTAGTAGGAACATATTCATACTTTATTTTTTGAAAGCATTATATATGACAGTTGTAATTATGACAGGCTGATATTAACTGTTTTCTTATCTAACCTCTTAGAAGCTGCAGTTCATCATCTGCTGTGATAGTTCCACAACCAGAGGATCCAGACAGAGCCAATACTTCAGAAAGACAAAAAACGGGGCAGGTGCCTAAGAAAGACAATTCTCGAGGAGTGAAGCGCAGTGCTAGTCCAGACTACAACAGGACCAATTCTCCTAGCTCTGCAAAAAAACCAAAAGCACTTCAGCATACTGAATCTCCCTCAGAAACAAATAAGCCACATAGTAAGTCAAAGAAGAGACATTTAGACCAGGAGCAACAACTGAAATCTGCACAATCACCATCAACAAGCAAGGCTCATACCAGGAAGAGTGGGGCCACTGGCGGTTCACGGAGTCAGAAAAGAAAAAGGACAGAGAGTTCTTGTGTAAAGAGTGGCTCCGGGTCTGAATCAACTGGTGCAGAAGAGAGATCTGCGAAACCTACCAAGCTGGCTTCAAAATCAGCCACCTCAGCCAAAGCTGGGTGTAGCACCATCACTGATTCTTCTTCTGCTGCCTCTACTTCCTCCTCGTCTTCTGCTGTAGCCTCGGCCTCCTCCACTGTACCACCAGGTGCCAGAGTGAAACAAGGAAAAGATCAGAACAAGGCCAGGCGTTCCCGTTCAGCGTCCAGTCCCAGCCCCAGAAGAAGTAGCAGGGAAAAGGAACAGAGTAAAACTGGTGGCTCTTCAAAATTTGATTGGGCTGCTCGTTTCAGCCCTAAAGTTAGCCTTCCTAAAACAAAACTGTCTCTTCCAGGGTCTTCTAAGTCAGAGACATCAAAACCTGGACCTTCTGGATTACAGGCCAAATTAGCAAGTAAGTTTACAAAAAGGTATTTTTCTTTAATTAAAGAAAGTTTCTCTTGGTTTGTCAAAAGCAATTATGCTTTAAAGTTAAGGGTTTTTTCCCCCCAGTCTTAGATAATCTTAGATGTATTACTGTCTGTGTAATTAAGTACATAACAGCATGTAGTAAGTGCTACTACATTTAGTTTTGTTGAGACAGGTAAGGAATACTACCTTCCTATTATTACGAAACCATCACATTTTAGTGTCTGTGTCTTTATTGGTCCTCGCGGCATCTCCTACTTCACTGATTTCCTAATATCAGGATGGGACATAAAGTTGGATTTTCTTCTATACCACATACAAAATTATCATTTAGTTAGGAGTTCTTTTTAGTTATGAGTTGCCATGATCAGAGATCAAATATATATATGTTTTTTTAGATGGAGTCTCACTCTGTCGCCTAGGCTGGAGTGCAGTGGCGCAGTCTCGGCTCACTGCAACCTCCGCCTCCTGGGCTTAAGCAATCCTCTTGCCTTGGCCTCCAGAGTAACTGGGATTACAAGTGTGCACACCATGCCTGGGTAATTTTTGTGTTTTTAGTAGAGATGGGGTTTCACTGTGTTGGCCACGTTGGTCTCAAACTTCTGACCTCAAGTGATCTGCTCACCTCGGCCTCCCAAAGTGTGGGGATTACAGGTGTGAGCTACCATGCCTGGCCAAATATATTTTTTTATATGAGATATTCTTGATGTGTAGATACAGTGAATTAAGTTATTACTATAAATATACCTCAATGTAAATTAAACTTTTTCATATGTAATATCTCACAGTCTTTTAAGGAGTTTTGTCTAAAGATGAATACTACTTATGTTTCACTACTCTTATATACACTACTCTGTGTCCTAAGTGAGTAAGAATATTGCTCTCTAAAAGTTTACAGTGGAGTAGAAAGAATTTGTGTTTTGAGAATACATTCAAGCAAAGAAACAGAAAGTAGATGGAAGAAACATAGCGTTATGTGCATTCCTTCATGAGTCAGTTTTGGAGATATCCAGGAACTCTTCTCCCTCTCTCTTTACCAAAAGACTTCTTCAGGGAACCAGCTGCTCATCTGGGGAATGCTAGTGTCTTTCTTTTCTTTCCTCCCTTCTTTTTTTTTTTTGAGACAGAGTCTCACTCTGTTGCCCAGGATGGAGTAGTGGTGTGAGTGGTACGATCTTGGCTCACTGCAACCTCCACCTCCTGGGTTCAAGCAATTCTCCTGTCTCAGCCTCTCCTGAGTAGCTGAGATTACAAGTGTGCGCCATCACACCCAGCTAATTTTTGTATTTTTAGTAGAGAGGGAGTTTCACCATGTTGGTCAGGCTGGTCTTGAACTGGGACAAGTGATCCACCTGTCCCAGCCTCCCAAAGTGTTGGGATTATAAGTGTGAGCCACTGTGCCCAGGCTTCTTTCCTTATTTCTATTTCAGAAACCTATAAAGGACAAATAGGATAATAAAGCACTTATCTCTACAATTTTTAAAAGCATTTTAATTTTATAATACCTAATTAGGAAGCTTGCTTTTAAGCATCTTTTCTTCTCTGATGGATTTTAGATCTACATTTGGGTAGGGCTATAATGTTTTCTTGGTTTAAAAAGATTGTATATAGTGTCTACTAGCATTCTTGTCAAAGTATAGCTCATATTGAATCAGCCTAACTTAAAATTGAATCAGAACTATTAGCTCTGTTTAATTTAACACTGCAGTCTAAAACTACTTTTGGTTGATTCACATATTACCTGAAATGACAATACTATTAATAGTAGGTACTATATAAAAAATTTTATGTTTAACCTGTATGATAGGTTATTGTGAAGTAACATATTTTACTTTTAGATTGAACTTTGTTCTGTTTTGGTATTTTAAATATGCAGAACATCTGTATAAAATGTTTTAAGTTTAAAGGATTAAGATAGGCTAGATCAGTATCTTGAAGTGAGAAGGAAAAAAAGGTCCAAGTTAAAAGGACAACCAACTATTTGTCCTTCCAATGCTTTATTGATAATTGGAGTTACATATGTCAGCTTTTATGCTGCCTTTCCTCCCTGTGTTTTGTGTCTGTCAGTCCTGCTATGTAATATTCACAGCCAGTGAGCCAGGTTGAGTTTACAGCAAGCTGCTTAGGATTCACTTCCCCTTCTGCCTTCCAGTCTGCCTCACTTGAAGAACTCATCTCTTATGTGTAGGAGGGTTCTAGGGCCAGGCAATAGCAGATTGTACTTGAGTGTCATGGCCTTGGTCCTTTGTAGAGATCAGCTTTCTTTTCTTTATATAGTCTGTTAACTTGATTTTTAAAAGAAAACCCAACTCTACCAGTGGCTAATCAGTGGGATTTTCTCCTTGGTGTTTCAATCAGGAAACACCAAGAGTTTTGGCAGTGTCATTTTGCTGCTGGTTTGATAAAACCAATCCAGATAATTCCATTAAGCCTGCTCAGCACATAGTCACAAACTAATTTAGTATTTTAAAACTCATTTCACCATTATTTCATTCACTTGCACAGTATCTGTGTTCTGTTGTCACTATTAAATCACTTTTCCGTTTTCACTGCCACTATCCCAGTTCTGATCTCTCATCGTAGCCTAAGCTGTTGAAACAAGAGAATGGAACCAGCGTTTGTGTAGCATAAAATAAGTACCAGGTATTTTACATATGCAGTTACATATTCTTTTAAAAAAAATGGTGCTTTAGGATACACTTTTTTTTTTTTTTTTCTGAGACAGAGTCTTGCTGTATTACCCAGGCTGGAGTGTGTGTAGTGGCGCAGTTGGCTCACCGCAACCTCTACCTCCCAGGTTCGGGCAATTCTCGTGCCTCAGCCTCCCAAGTAGCTGGGATTACAGGCGCATGCCACCATGCTTGGCTAATTTTTGTATTTAAGAGACAGGGTTTCGCCATATTGACCAGGCTGGTCTCGAACTCCCGACTTCAGGTGATCTGCCCGCCTCAGCCTTCCAAAGTGCTGGGATTACAGGCCTGAGCCACCATGCCCAGCCTAGGATAGTTATCAAGGAAATGTATTCCAAGGAGATGAAATAACTTCTCTGAGTAATATACCTCATACTTGGCAGAGTTAGGATTTGAAGATGGGGGTAGTAGGTGTGACCTTGAATGAAGCATTTTCTTTTCTCTTTTTTTTTTTTTTTTTTTTTAAACCCTTGTTAGTTTCTGTGTTTTACTGTTGTAACATAATTGGGCCATTTGGAGATACTAAGACTCTAGAGAAAATGAAATGTTATTTGGTCCTTCATTGATAGTATTGATTAAATTTAGAGATGAATACTATGTGGACCCAAGGATTCATACCATATCATTCACCATATATTTGCTGTTTTTCAAATAAATGAAAACATTTCAAAACAAAGTAGCATGTATTTACTGTGCTTTTAAGTGCCTGACAGTTCTGAATACCTTACATGAGTCATCTTATTTGTTCCTCATCGGTCTTGTATAGCAAGTTGTTGTTTTTTGTTTTTGTTTGTTTGTTTTAAGATGGAGTCTTCCTGTGTTGCGCAGGCTGGAATGCAGTGGCATGATCTCAGCTTACTGCAGTCTCTGCCTGCTGGGTTCAAGTGATTCTCCTATCTCAGCCTCCCAAGTAACTGGGATTATAGGCACGCGCCACCATGCCCGGCTAATTTTTTGTGATTTTAGTATAGAGATGGGGTTTCACCATGTTGGCCAGGCTGGTCTTGAATGCCTGACCTCAAGTGATCCATCCCCCGCGGCCTCCCAGAATGCTGGGATTACAGGCATAAGCTACTGTGCCTAGCCTTTGTGTGGCAAGTATTTTTATTCCCAGTTTACCGGTTAGGAAGCTTTGGATCATTAGTAAAGTTACCTGTCTAAGGTCACAGAACTAAGAAGTGACAAAGCCGAGTTAAAACCCAGGCCAGTTGATCTCAGAAATTGGCCTTGAGGACAGAATGATAGGGGTGAACAGATAGGGCAAGCTCAGTCTGGGTAGGTTTCTTGAAGTCAAAACAAGGCATTGTGCATTTTAGGCATGATTAAATGTGTCACTTCAGAAAATAGTTTACAATAGAATTAATTGGCAGGTAATGTTTCTTAAGGATATAGGGGCAAAATGTGGTATTTTATGATTGTCTCTGGGTTCAGGTAATGATATTTTGAGGAGTAGAGCCAAAAATGTTGGATTCAAATCTTAGTTCTGCCATTTTTTCAGTTGGTAACTGTGGGGAATGTTTGTAACTTGTTCTCCGTAAAATGGGCATAATAGCTATTTGAGGAATAAATGAAAACATTAGAAGACTTAGCATAGTGCTTAGTACACAGGAGGCATCACAAAATTTAGGGTGTACAACTGAAAGTGAATATCTTAAGGCAGAAAACATATTCAAAGGAGCATTTTGAGAATGGGGGATCAGTAAGTCCTGGCCATTGGTCAATTTTAAGGTAGCTATTAGATTTGGAACACCAGATTTAAAGTTTTTTTATTTCCTAAAAATCAAATACTACATGTTGTCATTTGTAAGTTGGAACTAAATAATGTATACACGTGGACATAGAGTGTGGAGTAATAAACATTGGAGACTGAGAAGGAGATGAAGGATGATAAATTACCTCATGGCTGTAATATACATTATTTGGATGATGGCTAATACCGAAAGCCCAGACTTTGCCACTAAGCAATATATCCATATAACAAAACTGCACTTGCACCCCTTAAATTTACACAAGAAAGTCAAAACTAGGAATATATATACAAATAAAATTGCATAATTTTATATGTAAACATGTAACCTATATAAATGGATACATCAACATAAATGAAAACAAAAATGTCAATATTAATACATGTACATTGCTTTAAAAAATATTATCTCCTCATAGTTTGGCGAGGTTGGGCAAATCATTCAGCTGTAGTTATGATACCAACCCTATTACTAATCTTATTTGCAAAATAATAAGATTCCTCCTTGTGAAGCATAAATGAAAGATTTTCAAAGTTGTTTTCACATATGAAGTGCCATAGAATGCAGCAACATATTGTAATGTACCATGTAATGTTGAATTGAGAGTTATGGTCATGTATGTATGTATGTATGTATGTATTTTATTTATTTATTTATTTTTGGAGTCAGAGTCTCATTCTTGTCGCCCAGTCTGGAGTGCAGTGGTGTGATCTCTGCTCACTGCATCCTCCCCCTCCTGGATTCAAGTGATTCTCGTGTCTCAGCCTCCCAAGTAGCTGGGATTCACAGGTGCCACCACACCTGGCTAATTTTTGTATTTTTAGTAGAGATGCGGTTTTGCCATGTTGGCCAGGCTGGTCTCGAACTCCTGACCTCAGGTGATCTGCCCGCCTCGCCCAGCCAGGTCATGTATTTAAAGGGCTTTTGTATGCATCAGGGTTTTTTGTTTTAACGTTAATTCAGAGGCCAGAATTAGATTCAGTGGGTGGATGAAAGTTGAGAGATGGGCTTCTGATTAATACAAATCTTAGTAGAATAAAAATCTAAAAATTATATTAAAAATAGAGTAGGCCATTGTGAGAAATTTCACATTGGGTAGGTTTTTTATTTTATTTTGGATATCCTTTGTTTTCTTCCAGTTTTTAAGAATTGAACCTATTTGAATGTGATGTGTTTCCTTAGGTAAAGACTTATTCTAAGACATAATTGGTCAGTAGGAGAGCTTTCATAGTAAAGGAAATGTTTTAAAAATTGTAGGAACAACAGTATTTTTAAGATGCTTTATGAAAAACCATTCTCCATGTTCAAGTATTATTCAAGGAGATTCTAGATAAGCAGGAATATATTGAAAGCTGTGGGAAGACTTGCAGTAACTTCTTAACCCAATAATTTGCAAATTAATTTGACCAGCTATTACTTGGGAACCAGTAGTGGTTCATGGAATACACTCAGGAAATGATATAATACATTTAGTGAGGAAGCTTAAACAGGAAGACCTTGTTATTGTGCTGCTTAGTCAATTGTTGATAGACCAATGAACAAGTTCCCGGCGAGGCACTAGGGCTGGCAGAAGATCTAGTGAAACCGCTACTTTAGTGATAGACTTCCTGAAGCATTGCTGCTTGCCAGCTGTATCTCATCAAAACAGCTCTGAGACAAAGGTCATTCTGTGTTACTTGGTAAAAGTCTCCTGAGTACCCCAGAAAGAAAATTGTTATGTAACAATTTTTAATGTACATTAGGAAGTTATAGCTGTCTCTTGTTTAGCCTAAGTAAGTAGACATTTTTGCAAATTTTATACAGCATAAATATAAAACCAGTAGGGTAATATAATGATATAGATGGCTTCAAAAATCTTTTTATATTTTAATATACTTTAAATAATTTTATAATAGTTTGGCTTCAAAATATATTTTGCTAATCTACCTTCTTATAAAAGCTAATTTAAAAAAAAATTTGCAATAATTTCAAAGTGAGTAGATGATGATGGTATAGAATTATAAGAAACAATTGGTGATCAAAATCTGAGTAATTATGGAACCTGTTTATAGAAAAACTTAAGTTATATTTCCAGGCAGATGTTCTATTGAAGATCTACTTTACTCTCTATTATTTAAAGTGGACATCATGTGCACGTTATTAGTAACATAGCAGTAGTTAACAGCTTACTTTTGTCTTGAGTTTCATATTCTCCTGGTGACTTTGCATGTAGCCTGTGGTTTTTATCAGACCTAGACAAGAACCAGGCAAAAGCCAAATTCTAGAAAAGAGATTCTGATTAGATTAGGAAGACTTAGTGCTTTGGGCCCCTAGCACGGAGGGAGGAAATAAGAATGAGTTAAGCAGGAGAGATGAATTTAAGTTAGATACATGGTTTTGTGTCCGGAATTGGTGGATTCTTGGTCTCACTGACTTCAAGAATGAAGCCGCGGACCCTCATGGTGAGTGTTACAGCTCTTAAGGTGGCGCGTCTGGAGTTTGTTCCTTCTGATGTTCGGATGTGTTTGGAGTTTCTTCCTTCTGGTGGGTTCATGGTCTCGCTGGCTCAGGAGTGAAGCTGCGCGGTGAGTGTTACAGTTCTTAAGGCAGCACGTCTGGAGTTGTTCCTTCCTCCCGGTGGGCTCATGGTCTTGCTGGCTTCAGGAGTGAAGCTGCAGATCTTCGCGGTGAGTGTTATAGCTCATAAAAGCAGTGTGGACCCAAAGAGTGAGCAGTAGCAAGATTTATTGCAAAGAGTGAAAGAACAAAGCTTCCAGTGTGGAAGGGGACCCGAGCGGGTTGCCACTGCTGGCTCGGGCAGCCTGCTTTTATTCTCTTATCTGGCCCCACCCACATCCTGCTGATTGGTAGAGCCGAGTGGTCTGTTTTGAGAGGGTGCTAATTGGTGCATTTACAATCCCTGAGCTAGACACTAAAGGTTCTCCATGTCCCCACCAGATTAGCTAGATACAGAGTGTTGACACAAAGGTTCTCCAAGGCTCCACCAGAGTAGCTAGAGAGTGTCGATTGGTGCATTCACAAACCCTGAGCTAGACACAGGGTGCGGATTGGTGTGTTTACAAACCTTGAGCTAGATACAGAGTGCCGATTTACAATCCCTGAGCTAGACATAAAGGTTCTCCACGTCCCCACCAGACTCAGGAGCCTAGCTGGCTTCACCCAGTGGATCCTGCACCGGGGCTGCACGTGGAGCTGCCTGCCGGTCCCGCGCCATGTGCTCGGACTCCTCAGCCCTTGGGTGATCGATGGTACTGGGTGCCCTGGAGCAGGGGGCGGCGCTCGTCGGGGAGGCTTGGGCTGCACAGGAGCCCACGGAGGTGGGGGAAGGCTCAGCCATGGTGGGCTGCTCTCCCGAGGCCTGCGCTGCGGGAAGGCAGCTAAGGCCCGGCGAGAAATCGAGTGCAGCGCCGGTGGTCTGGCACTGCTGGGGGACCCAGTACACTCTCCGCAGCCGCTGGCCCGGGTGCTGAGCCCCTCATTGCCTGGGGCCGGCAGGGCCGGCTGCTCCTCCGAGTGTGGGGCCCGCCAAGCCCACACCCACCCGGAACTCCAGCTGGCCCGCAAGCGCCGGGTGCAGCCCCCGTTCCCACTCGCGCCTCTCCCTCCACACCTCCCTGCAAGCTGAGGGAGTGGGCTCTGGCCTTGGCCAGCCCAGAAAGGGGCTCCCACATTGCAGCGGTGGGCTGAAGGGCTCCTCAGGTGCCGCCAAAGTTGGAGGCCAGGCAGAGGAGGCGCCGAGAGCGAGCGAGGGCTGTGAGGACTGCCACACGCTGTCACCTTTCAGTTTCACCAACTTGCATCTTGCAGGATCATCTCTACTTGCGTGAAAAAGGTAGATAATCTGTGAGCTCTGTGAAGAGTTGGGCAGGGAGCTTAAAAGGAAATGGGTTGAGTGTCAGTTTTCTATATTACAAGGCAGCTATTAAAGTAATTTAGCAACTTAAAAGTTTAGAAGTTCCAATATGTGACCGCTTTGAAAAATTACTAACAAATAATCCTAGTGTTTTTGAGGCTTTAAAAAAACTTTAAACAGAAGTGGCCAAATTTAAAAAAGAGATCATTTAATTGTAAATACAGCATTGACTTCTTTGTTAACAAGGCTTTGCTTTGTATTACATTGTTTGGAAATTATAAATGGCCATGTTATATATTGTTTTGTATGCAAGGTCAAAATAAGAATTAAATTAGCCAAATTATGTTTTACTCAATTTACATTAGTAATTGCCCTTTATATTCTTACGTGTATTCTGGAATGGTTTTGACACTTCTGATTCTGATATATGTTTGTTAAAAGTAATCCAGAAAGTACCAAAATATACAAAGAAGAAAAATACAAAATCACTTTTAATTTCATTCACCAAGGGCTACCTCTTTTTTTTTTTTTGGTGTGTATTATGCCAAAAATTTTCACTTTATATTTATCAACACTTATGTGCAGTGTTAAGTGAAAGAGTTATATAAGACCTTTTTTTTCTTCTTCTTCAAGAAGATAATCATAGCTTACTGCAGCCTTGATCTCAAAAGATTCAAACAGTGTTCCCACCTCAGCATCCCGGGTAGCTGGGACCACAGGCACATGCCACCATACCCAGCTAATTTTTTTAGAAAGATTTTTTTTTTGTAGAGATGAGGTCTCACTATGTTGCCTAGGTTCGTCTCAAACTCCTGGACTCAAGCGATCCTCCTATCTAGGCCTCCGAAAGTGCTTGGATTATAGGCATGAGCCACTATGCCTGGCCAGATCTATTATTTTTTTTTAAAGCAGTCTTTCTGCCACTTTGCCCTTTTCTGTGGCTGATTATTTTGAAGTTTCAGTGTCTAGATTATGTGCTTTTATATGTCCCTTTGTTGATTCTTCTCCCCCACCCCCAAGTGTTTGATCCCTGTTGTGTTCCCCTTAGGGAAAATGAAGATTTTGCATTCTAACCTTACCCCACCCCATTCACCTACCAAACACATACTGTTACATACTTCCTGTCTTCCCAGTGATGATCAGCACGCAGGGTTTATTGTATCGTGAACATCTAAATGTTATTTACACTGAGCCACGTAAAGGAACATTTCCTTTCTCACACATTTTTGCTTTTCCTGAATTTTAAATTCCTTTTTGTTGTTGTTTTCCTTACTTTCCCATGAACTTACTCAAACTCCACATTCCTTACTAATTGTCACAATCTTTTCTCAAGCTGTCTGCATGCATTTGTTTCATCTTGAAGAAATGAGGCCTCTGGATGGTTGTTCATTATGCCTGGTTATACGGCTTCAGCCTTGGGATTTTCTTCAGTCTTCTTAGTTTCCCTTTTCTAGATTTCATGTCATCTTGGTTTCTTGTTTTGGTGGAATATTTCTTCTTGACTCTAAGGAAAAGTATGAGATTTTAATAATTTACAATTTATTTTTTCAAAATTTAGATGTCTGAAAATGTTATACCACCCTGATATTTATTTGCCAGATTGGTGAATATAGAGTTCTGGGTTGGGAATTACTTTCCTTCAGAATTTTCAAGAATTATATAGTGTATTCTGTCTTTCAATACTGGCACCATTCCTAGTTCTGATTTATTCCTTGATAGGGTGACCAACTGGTTTTGCTTTCTCTGGATCTGGGGCATTCTGAAGACTCAGGACTTACAGCTCTAAAACCAGCATAGTCCTAGGCAAACTGGGACTGTTGGTCACCGTGTACTTGTTTGTTTTCTCTTTCTTGATTTTCTATTGAGTGCTTGTCCTCTTAAATGGTCTTGATCTTACTGTTTGACATTGCTTTCCTTTTTCGTTCTGTTTCTGGTAGATTTCTACATCTTCCAACTTTTCTCTTGAAATGCTTTTTTTCCCCCATGTTTGCCATGTTTTATTTCCAAGAGGTGATTTTGTTTTCATTTTCTTGTTTATAGAATCATGCGTTTGGTTTATGGTTGCATTTCTTTTTTGATGACATTAATGGTGAGTTTTCTTTGCCTGTGTAATCTCAAGTATTTGTGTGTGTGGGGGGGGCGGGGGGGGCCTGCATTTTGGATTGGTTTTGTCTTTCATGTTAGGAACTTTCCTCATATTCTGGTAATTCTGGTAATTCCTGGTTGTCTCCTCATACTCAAGTGTAATTCAAGACCAAAAGTCTAATTTATAAGCTCTGAGTACATAAGGGAGGTTTGACCGAGATTCATTGTTTAGTGATCTGGTTGGGTCATTTTGTTGTAAACTTCCTCTTATCATTATTTTTAGATCTTTTTTTCTTTAGCTGGTAAAATTCCACAGAGAAGATTGTTTCAAACTTCTGCCTCAAGGTGAAGCCCTAAGTGCCTGAGTTCTGGGGGCCAAGTGGGAGAAGAGGCCACAGATGGAGGCAGGATAATGTATATTGTCAGACAGTATGTCTGTACTCGATTCCCTTCTCTCCCTCTTATTTTTGGTGTAGTGAACCTATTTGTACTGTGTACTTTAGTCAGGAATTTCTATATTCTATACTTCCTAAAGAATAAAGGTCTTGTTTTTTGCTGGAACCAGGAGAGGAATGGTTACCCAGCTGTACAAGTGTGGGAGAGGATCTGAGGATCTGATGCCTTGTAAACAGCCTATCAGCCAATCTTCAGTTTTAATCCCAACACTGCCCTAGAGGTATCTGGCATCATCAGATCCTGAGCCTTTTTGGGTTTCTCTGGTGTCAGTTTGATTGGTAGTTAATCTCAGCTTTCTACTTTCAGCTTTCTGGACTTCCCAGTGCATTTAGCCCCGGCATTTCTGGTTTTCATCTCCTAAAATTGTATTGTAACAATAGTGTCTTCCATTCTTCTCATCCTTGTAGATTTATGTCTCAGATTGTTTTAATGCTGTATTAGTGGCATTTCATGTGGAGACAGAAGTGAGTGCATGTGTGTTAAGTCTTCTGTCTTTACCCAGAAGGGAGACACTTCGCTAGGCATATGCAAAAGTATGATCTCGCTGTACATGACAGTGGGCATTACTTTTTGAGTGCCTGTTATGTGGCCAGGCTCTGAAATAGACATTTGATGTCCGTTAAATTTCATCTTCAGAATGACAGAGCAAGGTAATAGTTGTGGAGAAACAAAAGTGCATTATTTGTCTAAACACTTTGTAATAGAGTGGTTTCCTTTCAAATAACTATAAATTACATCATTCGTAATGGCTAGATATGGATGTACCCTAATTAAGTATAGCTTTGTAATTTACACCACTCTTTCCTTGTTAAGTCACTGGTTATATTCTTTTTAGATATTGACATATATTTTGAAACTGCACTTAGAAATACATGAATTCCCACCAGCTGTGTAAAAGTGCCAACATGTTCAAATCCTTATTAAATAATAACTGTTTTCTTGCAACTTTAATTACCATACTGTTTTATTTAACTATTCCCTGTTATTGGGCATCTAGCTCCTTTCTAGTTTCTCCTCATTATAAATACTGCTTAGATGAATACCTTTGGACATTTCCAATATTTGTAATTCATATTGACAAATCAGTGCATGAAATGCTGTGCATTGACTAGGAAATAAAAATTTGCTTTAAAAATTGCATTTGGGATTTAGCTCATTATCTGCAAAATCTGTCTTATTATTACTGAGTTATTTTAAAATAAAAGTCTGTGATTCCTTTTTATAACCTCATAGATTACTTTTCATTTTTTTAAATTTATTTTTACCAAAGTAACCATTAATATAGTTACACGGGCATACCTTGGAGATGTTAATGCACTCAGTTCCCAGCCACCACAAGAAAATTAAAATCACAGTAAAGTGAGTTCCATGAATTTTTTTGTTTCCCAGTGCACATAAAAGTTGTACTTACACTATACTGTAATCTAGTAAGCATGCAATAAATAGCATTGTGTCTAAAAAAACAATGTACATGGCTTAGTTAAAAATATTTTATTGCTAAAAATTGCTAATGATCATCTGAGCCTTAGCAAGTCATAATCTTTTTGCTGGTGGATGATCTTGCCTCAGTGTTGATAGATGTTGACTGATCAGGGTGGTGGTTGCTGAAGGTTGGTGTGATTGTGGAAGTTTCAAAACGATAAAGTTTGCAGCGTTGATTGACTTTTGCTTCCACGAAAGATTTCAATATAGCATGCGATGCTGTTTGATAGCATTTTATCTATAGTAGAACTTCTTTGAGAATTGGAGTCAATTTTTTTCCAACCCTGCTGCTGCTGCTTTATCACTAAGTTTATGTATATTTTAAATCCTTTCTTGTCATTTCAGTGATGTCTACAGCATCTTTCCATGAATAAATTCCATCTCAAGACAAAAACTACCTGCCCCCCCCACCTTTTTTTTTTTTTTTTTGAAAAAAAGAGAGGCTCTCGATCTGTCACCCAGGCTGGAACGCAGTGGTGTGATCATAGCTCACTGCTCAAGTAATCCTCCTTCCTCAGCTTTCTGAGCATCTGGGACTACAGGCTTGTGTCACCGCACCCAGCTAATTTTTTTTTTTCTTCGTAATTTTTTGTAGAAACTATGTTGCCCAGGCTGGTCTCAAACTCCTGGCCTCCAGCAATCCTCCTGCCTCTGCATTCTGAACTGCTGGGCTTACAGATGTGAGCCACTACACCTGGCCAGGCGTTTGTGTTTTAAAGATCATCATAGTCATCCCCTGATATGCCTATAAATGTAAATGACTTGTAGCAATTTTTTTGATATCTACCCTTAAGATATTAATTTGTATACTGTATTCTTTTAAAATATAAAAGAGGCTTTATTTCTTTTGTTTTGGAGAGTTTTAACTAGTTTTTGAAATTTGGATGAATTCTTACGTGGTTTTTTTTCCCCCTCAAAGTCTGGGTCAGTAACCATTTTCTGCAAATGGCCATATAGTAAATATTTTAGGCCTTGCTGACCACATACAATCTTTGCCACATATTCTTCTTCATTTATTATGACTTTCTGGAATGTATAAACCATTCATAGCTTGAGAGGCTCAGGTTGCCAGTCAAATTTGTTCCACAGGCTGCCGTTTGTCAACACCTGCTCTAGACTAAAAATTCTAATAATGACTTACGGTCTGAATTTTGGGATTAATGGTGGATATTCAACCAAAATTAAATGGAAATACAAATCAGTTCACATGATGGGTGGTAAAGCCAAGAGAATGCCTAGCTTCAGGCTTGGCTGGATCCAGAGGTCAAATGAAGATAGCACTTGCAATCTCACATCTTGTGACCTCCCTCAGACTCTCCCTTTACAATAAAAGAGGATAATATCTACTCATTTATATATCAACATTTAAGGAAGTCCCTGATTTCCTTGGGTTATATACCTGTCCTTGAATGAATCAGTATGGTGGAGGAGAAAAAAGGGTGATGATGGTGAGGATTGGTGTTTGACCCTCTTGTGTAATAGTAGAAATGTGTTGGAGAAGACATTTCCAATGGTACCACGTGGAGAAGAGGTAGGAGATAGCTCTCCAGAGAACTTTAAAAATAAATAAGCAGTGCACTCAGAAAAAGGGTTTCTGTACATTAAAAATAGGTGTGTGTACTTGATCATCTAAAGTCACTTGAAAATGCATGTGTAAGTTGGAAGATAACAGTAATTATTTGAGTGGAATAATTACTTATGGAATGAAGATCTTAAATCCACTTCCCTCACCTCTTCGTCCCTGCCCGATTTTTATAGAGTCTTATCAAATACATTGACATTGATGTTTGCTTTGACTTCTTGTGTAACAGAAGGAATCTTGAAGAAGCTGGAAAGTTTACTTATTTCATTGCTAGAATACTTTATCATGGTGGGGGAGACTATATTTTGATTGTGGGACTGTGTAATAGGTCTGATGTGTATCTCAGATTACCATATGAAAGATTAACATGCCTTTAACATAGATCATGTAAGAATGGAAGATAGCATAAAAACAGGACAGCGAAGATTTATTATTCAGTTGTCTATTTCTAGTTTTTAATTAACATAACATAACTAAGAGTAAAAGCCATTCCAGTATTGGTAGTGACCTACCTTTGGTGACTCCTTTTAAGTAGGCAGACATTTCTCCTTGAGCTCATTTCTCCTGCAAAATGATGAGATTGGAATCATTAAATAATAGTCTAATGTAATGAGAAGTACATTTTAAAATTTATAAAATTTCAAGTAGACAAGGAAAGTAAATCATGTAAGCAGGAAGTACCCCAAAGCATCTTAACTATTCTTACATAAGAGTAAGTAAAATATCTAAGGTCATTGTCACTCCTCAATCTGATTCTCTTACAATGTTGTTTTAAAAATTCAAAGCTTGCAACTGGATACATACAGTTTTAATTATATCACATTTCGAAAGCCAAACCTTGCAAATTGCCGCTGTTTTGAAAGACTGAAACCTTGAACTTTGAATAAATCAGTTTTTTTTTTTAATTAGGAATACATGTTCTTTTTTTTCTTTATTTTCCTCCCTTTCTTCTCCCCTCCCTTCCTTTTCTTCCTTTTCTTTTCGCAAGGTCTTGCTCTGTCATCCAGGCTGGAGTGCAGTAGTGTAATCTATGGCCTTGGACTCCTGGGCTTAAGGGATCCTCCCGCGTCAGCTTCCTAAGTAGCTGGGACTATAGACATGCATCACCATGCCCAGCTAATTTATTTTTATTTATTTATTTTTTGTGGAGACACAGGGTCTTACAGTGTTGTTGATGCTGGTCTCAAACTCCTGGGCTCACCCATTCCTCCAGCCTCAGCCTCCCAAATTGCTGGGATTTCAGGCATGAGCCACTATATCCAGCCTGTGTTTTTTGTTTGTTGTTTTGGTTTGGTTTTCTTGTGAGGACAAGATCTGCGTTGCCCAGGCTGGTCTCAGACTCTCAGGACTCAAATGATCCTCAGGCCTTGGCCTCCCAAAGTGCTGGGATTACAGGCATGAGCCACCATGCTCAGCCTGTTTTTGTTTGTTTGTTTGTTTTATAGATACGTCTGTATTGGAGAACAGAACAATTAGGATTTTTAGGCAGACCATACTAACTGCCAGTTTCATCTTTATCCAGAGGTTTAAAGATTATAGTAACAAGGGCATATATACTTATACCAATATAATAAGGTCAAGAATTTTGAGGAAAAGAGTACATCTACATTTATACCTAACTTCATGACACAAAACCTTTGGGGTAAGAGTATATTAATCTAACCAGTGACATTCTGGTTGAGTGGCATCATAAAGGTAAATGATAAATGTAGTTTTGCTGCATTACAGAGCCTGGGAAAGGGGGGTGGGGAGAGAGGGAGGGAGAGAGAGAAGGAGGGAGGGAGGGAAGGAGTGGGGGAGAGAGAGAGAGAAAGAGAGAATAAGAGAGAATTACCTACAAGGGATCAGGAAGGATCTTTTTAGAGTAATGGAAATGTTTGTGTCTTAATGGTGATGCTGGTTATATGGGTAAATACATTTGTCAAACTCTGAACCACTCACAATAAGTATATTATTATCACATTTAAGTTATAGTTGAAGACAGTGTAAAAGAAACAGTGAAGTCTGTTTTAGGACATGAATAGTGAAAGAGTAAAATAAAGTTTGATTAAAAAATATGTCATCACTTCAAATCAGCAGTGTAGCCCACAGTACATTAATTTGAATAATTTATTTTTAATGTCACTAAATAGATGCAAAAGTGTGTGCTACTGTCTATTACTGTATCATGGTATGTATAAAGATATTTTAGTATTCATGAATGAAGTACTGTGTAATACTAATGACAAGAATACAGGGTTTTTTTTAAGTGCTTTGTTATAAGCAAAAACACTGTTTTTTGGTGTGTTTTAATATAATGTAAATTTGCATTTTTTTCTCTCTAAACTGTACATTCGTAAGTCTACTTTAACTTAGTCACACAAATCCAATAGAAAAGCAAGTGTAAAATTGAATACTTTCTGAAATACTATTTTAAAATAATTTATGAATTTTTAAAATATTAAATGTGATGCTAATTAGCCAAATGTATTACCAAGCTAGCTCCCTAGATCTATTGCCATGCCCTGTCTCTTAGGTGACCAGATTGTGTGCCCTGACAAAGACAGCATAGGATATTAGGCATATGATTATATCAGGTAATTCTGGCAGTATGCTATGTAGAAAATCAACCTAAAAATAAGATTGAAATTTAAGAAACTCTTAAGCCAATCATCTTTTCCCAATTAAAGTTTCATTCTTTGATTCTTTTATGTCAGCTTCACCTGTTTAGATAATCTTTCACGAAAGTTATTTTGAAAAAGGCCCAAAAGATATAGTTTAGATGTCTAAAAAGTAATGCCTGTCTAAACATAGATTTTTATCTTTATAGCTTCTGTTTCATGTTTGCAGATTCTTGAATAAGTTGATTTTTCACTTAGCAACTCTCCTTTTAAGTCTGCTGTAAAGACCATCCCAAGTTGAATGAACTGAAGTTTTAATTTGAGTCTAAAAGATCAAGAAAATGTCTAGAATCCTTTTTACTGTTTCTCTCCCAGTTCTTTTACTGCTGCTTTTCCACAAAGGAGTAAAGAATTGTTTTTCCCCTTTAAAGCAATGAAATCAGCAAAATTAAAACTTCCTGAAAAGAAGTAAGTGACCAGGACCAATTGTATAATTAATTAGTCTCTGAAAAAGTTAACAGCTGTTTAAGATGATGCTGAGTTCTCATGGAAATATGATTGGTAACTTTGGAGACCTTTCACTGTTGGAGGTCTTTGTTTAGATTGAGTATACTGCCTAGTATGTCATTTGTGGTAACACTGTGAGGGTTGGGCAAGGGTGGATGCTGTCTTGGCTTTCTTATTGTTCATAAAATAGTAATAAACTTTACTTAATTGATACACCATTTTCGAGCCTATTGACCTGTAAAGGCATTAGTTAGCTTCCAGAATAACATGTAAACTGTGCTTAATTGAGTCTCCCCCCTAATTATCCAGTATTTTATAAATCAGTCTTCCTAATAACCTTCAGTCCAAGTGCATGTACCTTTCTGATGGGTGGTATAACTCATTTTATTCTCTCATACCTTATTGATGAGCCTTATATAAACTAACTGAAATGGGACAATATAAGAACAGTGTAACAAAGTTGATAAACTTAATGACGTTTAGTAAATTCTTGAAATAAATGGTATATACAAAAAAACTCGCCTTTGTTAGTGGAGAAGAGGAGCAGGAGAGAAAAGAACTTTGAAAGAGGAGAGATAGGCAGGACTTTGGGGATAGCTTGGGTCAAGGTTGGGCCCAAGTGAGAAGACCGATCCTGAACTGGAGTGCCAAGTACCATTAGCTTTTTCATTATGAATAGGCTGTGGAAATAAAGCTAGTAATACTGCTGGAGAGGTTATAAAAATATTCTGTGAAGTTTTGAACATGATGACCTGAAGAATTTTATAATTTTTAATTAGTGATAATTTCTCATTATAAAATTACACTTTTCCATTTTCTGTGGATAGGTTTAAGAAAATCTACGAAGAAACGCAGTGAGTCTCCACCTGCTGAGCTCCCCAGTTTGAGGCGGAGCACACGCCAAAAGACCACGGGCTCCTGTGCTAGTACCAGGTAATTTGTTTTTTTTTTTTTATAGTGAGTTCATTTTTATTCTGTTGCTCAATTTCAACTTTCATCAAAATACTTAACTCCATAGGTTGTTTTTTGTTTTGTTTGTTTTGTTTTGTTTTTTGACGGAGTCTTGCTCTTGTCACCCAGGCTGGAGTGCAGTGGCGCGATCTTGGCTCACTGCAACCTGCGCCTCCCGGGTTCAGGTGGTTCTCCTGCCTTAGCCTCCCTAGTAGCTGGGATTACAGGTGCCTGCCACCCCACCCAGCTAATTTTTTTATTTTTAGTAGAGATGCGGTTTCACCATGTTGGCCAGGCTGGTCTCCAACTCCCAACCTCAAGTGATCCACCCTCCTCAGCCTCTCACAGTGCTGGGATTACAGGCGTGAGCCACCGTGCCCGATGATTTTTAAAAAATTATTTAAATTTTTTTTTACTTGAGTAAAGACATATTCTAACATAACTGGTATTATCTTTGTGAATTTCTCCGCAATATTTATTTACATGTTTCTACTAAGTTCTAATCATTCTATTTCTTGACGATACTTTTATCTTCTACTTTTCCTTTGTTGTTAACGCTATTTTCACAATACTGTTGACAGTAGCAGGACCTTTGACTGTTTACAGAGTTCTCGTCTGCCAAATATACTTCTAATGAGCATCTTTATGCAGATTTGGGTTGTTTTTAAAAGGTAGTTAAATTTCCCAATAGTGTGATTAATGAATCAAAAAGGATGCCTGTTTTAATGGCTGTACTGTTGCCCAGTTGGTTTCTAAAAGTGTTAGAACTAGTTGCTAAGTTTAATGAATGGAGGGGGAAATGTACTTAATTTTTATAACACCTTTCGCTCAAGAAAAGGTGTAGTTATTATGTGTGTTCTCTCCCATCTCCAATTCTAGATTCTAGTTGCTGTAGATCTCACTTTCAAAACAACTATCTTTGATGTGATACAGTTAATATTTCATATACTTTTATTAACTGATTGAGAATCTTAGCCTAAAGGTAAAAATCTCCTGCAACTTCCTCTCGGCTTTTCAGGCTTGGTCGGTTAGTCAGGTGCCATTCCGCTGCTAATTATTCAGTAGCTATATATGAGTTCTCCGTCTTTGTGTAAGTCATGCCACTTTTTTCTTTTTTTTTTTTTTGAGATGGAGTCTCACTCTGTCGCCCAGGCTGGAGTGCAATGGCACAATCTCGGCTCACTGCAAACTCTGCCTCCCGGGTTCACGCCATTCTCCTGCCTCGGCCTCCCGAGTAGCTGGGACTATAGGCGCCCGCCACCATGCCCAGCTAATTTTTTTTGTATTTTTAGTAGAGATGGGTTTTCACCATGTTAACCGGGATGGTCTCGGTCTCCTGACCTCGTGATCCACCTGCCTCGGCCTCCCAAAGTGCTGGGATTACAAGCGTGAGCCACCGTGCCCGGCCAGTCATGCCACTTTTAATGAGGAGGACACGTTCTGAGATATGTGTCATTAGGTGATTTTGCCATGCAAACATCATGGAGAACACTTAAAACAAACCTAGATAGTATAGCTTACTACACATCTAGGCCGTGTGGTAGCCTGTTGCTCCTAGCCACAAACCTGTAAAACACGTTACCTTACAGAATACTGTAGACAGTTGTAACACCATGGCAAGCATTTATGCATCTAAACATATCTAAACATAGAAAAGGTACAGTAAAAATAGGGTATTAATAATCTTGCAGGACCACGGTCATATACGTGGTTCGTCCTTGACAGAAACAACATTATGCAGCACATGACTGTAGCTTGTTCCCTCTAGTAAATGCATCAACACTAGTAATGCAGGGGGGAATGATTTTAGCTTACGTTTTCCCACTCAGGTTAGCAGAAAGGTCTTTCCACTTCTTTTGGTTCTTATCTCTACTCTTGGCGGTGTTACAATAGCGACATAAGTAAACAGTACAACTTGGTGCCTATAAGTCATAAGAAATATAGCTTTGCCACCTTAAATCTTTTCAACCTGTTTTTAAATTTTTTAGATTGTTTAAAATATCTGGATTTAGTACACCTGTTTGCTTTTGAGGTTGCATAGCAACTTTTCTGAGGATTTCTGAAGAAACTTCTTAGTTTTCCAGAGTTTTTGTCCTATTTTGGGCCAAATTTTGAATCTTAATTACTCAAGGTTTAGTCTGAGATGCAAACTGGATTTATTGTGTCTGAAAATTAATTTTAAGCCATATGCGAAGTCAGGTAATCTAGTGTTGTAATTGTCTTGCTTGCCCTGCTGTTCTCTGCAACCGTCTCTCCTTCTACTCAACGATAATTAGCACGTGCGAAATTACCCACTGAGGCATGATCATGCTGTGCGCAGGCCGTCTAATCTAGCCACCTGCTTGAAGTGCTCTTCATGGCAAATCTTTTCTGAATTAGTTGAGATTCTGCTTATATACAGTGCCTTGGTCACCTACTAAGGGTGTCCTTGTTTCTCTTTAGAGTAGCACTCCTTGAGGGCAGCAGCCCTATGTATCCAAAGTGGTCAGCCCAGTGTGTTGGTGGAGATTAGATCTTAAATGAGTGAATTTGAATCCCACTAATTTGTACCTTTGTAAAATGGGTTGGGAATGAGCTGTTTCCTTGTGAAGGAAAGATTAGTTAAGCAAATTTCTGTGTAGGGAAGCTTTTTCTGTAATGAGAATAAACTCTTCCAGTGCTCTCAGGTAAGCCAGAGCCTTCCTTTGTAGGTCAGTTGTGCCTGCTTCTCTCACTTTACTGTAGTGTGACTTTAGTCTAAAACATGTCTTTAGTAACAGGTTTCTGCCTTTCTTGAGATAATTTGGGGAGCTTTTGTTTAAATGCTATCAAGTTTGAATAATTTTGGGGGAAGTATTTTTGCTTCTCCCTGGTTTGCTTACTGATTTCGCTGTTGAAGGAGAAAAAAAGGTTTATTATCAATAAAATGTAATTTTCTATAGGAGAAATAAGTGGTCATTCTTTTTCCATAATTTATTCTGTGTCTCTGTCCTAGATGAATATCTTTCCCAAATGTTATCTGTATTTATTAATAATATTAAATCCATAATTTAAAGAATGGAGTTATTCATTATTAGGATAGTTATTTTTATATGATTTAGGTAATCTGGAACACGGGCTGGGAAATTTTTTTCCATCTCCTCCTCCTCCCTTCCTCGCATTCTCAATGTTAATCTGCAGTTCTTTTGTATAATTTTTTTGTTGTTGCTGCCGCCCAAGATGGAGTGCAGTGGCATGATCTCGGCTCACTGCAACCTCCGCCTCCCGGGTTCGAGCAATTTTTTGTCTTGGCCTCCCAAGTAGCTGGGATTACAGGCGCATGCCACCACACCTGGCTAATTTTTGTATTTTTAGTAGAGACAGGGTTTCATCATGTTGGTCAGGCTGGTCTTGAACTCCTGAGCTCAGGTGATCCACCTGCCTCAGCCTCCCAAAGTGCTGGGGTTACAGGCATGAGCTACCGTACCCAGCCAGCATTAATATATTAATCCACTATTTACCCTGGAAGTGATGCTCTATTTTAAACGAATTGAATTTTCTCTGCAGAAAGAGTCACTTTTCTTTTTAGTTGGAAGTGTTTTAAAAATCGTTTCTGTTTCTGAGGATGACAACAGCTCACAGTAACAAAAGCTTGTATTGTAAATGCAATATAACTTGGAAGAATTTTAAATATACAAAGTCTTGGTTGTTATACATGGTGATTTTGTGCACTTACTTTTATTTAAAAAGAGGACGAAGAAGAAACTGGCTTTGTGCTCCATGAATTTGAGCTTTGTGTTGTGTATACATTGCTCCTGGTTCACTGGTAATGCTGCCCATGATGACATTTTTCTGTTGTAGTCGGCGAGGCTCTGGCCTGGGCAAAAGAGGAGCAGCTGAAGCTCGTCGACAGGAGAAAATGGCAGACCCTGAAAGCAACCAGGAGGCAGTAAATTCTTCAGCTGCTCGGACAGATGAAGCTCCCCAAGGAGCTGCAGGTAGATTGGTACTTCTTAGCTTTAAAATGCGTTTCTGTCTTTTACAGATTTGATGGGCAGAGGGAGGGAAGTATGCTAGGTGTTACTATCGTATAAACTTCTTGTTCTGTTTTGTTTTACTTTACCAGTTTGATATTTTGATTAGTTGGATTTGGTTGCCATTTTAAAATTCTCATCCAAATTTGCTCTAATTACATTCAAAAGGCTTTTAGGAAGAAGCAAACTCTGTTTAAGCTTTTTATATATTGACTAGTGTGTATAATTGCCCATTGATTGAAAGAATTTAAATTCATAGTAAAAATGTAAGGATATAGTTTAAATTGCTTCACACATATATAAATTTTAATTTAGAATTTTTGTAAGCCCTAAAATACAAGTATTCAGTTTGAACCTTAGCTGTAAGAATAGTATTTATATTGTTATGGGCTTCTCATTTTTATTCTTGATATATTAGAAGCACAAAATTAAGGCTTTTCTCTCAGCTTTAAATAATGTACCCATTACCTGTACCAAAACAAGGCTAATACTTCAACTATTAATTCTGGCTGATGGATATCAAAATGTAGTTTCTGTTGACATTTCTCAATGACATGAACAACTGATAAAAAAATGTTAAAATCAATCACTATAGGCTTATATGTATGAGTCCCTTAAATCAGATGATACACACAGGTTTAGATACAGGCATATACTTCCTTTTGAATAAAGATATTTCAGATACTATTGTTTACTATTAGGATACGTTGTCATTTTCTTTAATGTCTGTGGTTGATCATATGTCATAGTTTGCCAGGAAGGTTGTGGTTTACCCGCTATTGATGTCTTCTTGTTTTTTCTAGCTTAGGATTTTTTTCTTTTAAGCACTACACTTTCTTAGTTTTATATGATAAATTATATGGTGGGAGAGGAGTTTTTTCCCATATTTGTTTTCCTAGAATAGTTTTTTGAAGGTTTAAATGGTAGATATTTGGAAAGTCCATTTAATTGCAACTCATTAAAACTGGTTGTGACTCACAGTCTGTCCCAGTGCTGTACGCTCCTTCCCAGTCTTCTAATGTTTATTTGAAGCCTGAATGTGGAAATGGGGCAATTCCCAAATGGGTAACAGAAAAGGAGCTGCAGGCTATTAATGTAGACTCACTACAGTAATTATTATAACTAATATACAGTGTACACTACATTGCAGTCCAGCCATAGTATTAAGCACTTTACATATATTCTTATTTAATATTCCAAACAACCTGCTGAGGTATGAGTGTTATTATTACCATTTTTTAAGTGAGGAAAAACGGAGACAAACATTGCTTATGCTTGCTCAGGGTTACAAGCTGTGATGTGTGACTTCCCAAAGCCAGGCATATTTGTAACAGCATTGTTGTCTAATGCAGTTACAAGAGTTTATATAATTTATACGAATATATAATTGAAGGCTGGAATGGGAACGGGGTTCAAAATTTTGTTCCCCTATTTATTTACCTAAGAGGATAAAAGCATACAGGAATCAGGCTCATCCGACTGCCTTTCTAAACAGTTCCAGGCATTACACTGTCATTTATGTTTCAAATTACAGTGTGGTACAGGTGTTTCCCAAGCTGTGTATTGTAGCTGGTGATAAAAAATACATGTGGCATGTGCACTTGTATTAGAAAACTGACTTCATTACATTTTGGAGGATAGATCTCTTATGAATTATAGGAATTTCTCTGCTGACTCATGAAAGTATTTATGGGGAAATAAGCTAATTATTTAGCAGCTTTACGTTAAGTTCTTCATGATAATGTGCTTTAGTTTCTGCATGTGTAAAATGGGAATGTAGAAGAAAATACCTAAATTAGTATGGTGTATAGGTTTGTGGACTTAGAGCTCTTTTTGACAAGTAAACGTTTTCGGATAGTACTTGTATAGTCGATATAAGACTCCATTGGAAACATTTATTTGGAAATAATGTTGTTATTATTTTAAAAAGCCCAACCACATTAGCTCTTCATGTAAGAAATGCTAGCCTTTGAAGTTGAAAGTGTAGTGTTTGCCACGCTTTCCCACGAGTCAGAGGCAGACTCCTGTGCATTCTTTTTTTTTTTCTTCTTTGAGGAAAAGTTTCTCTCTGTTGCCCAGGTTGGAGTGCTGTGTTGCAATCTCAGCTCACTGCAGCCTCTGCCTCCTGGGTTCAAGTGATTCTCTTGCCTCAGCCTCCTAAGTAGTTGGGACTACAAGTGCCTGACACCACAGCCGGCTAATTTTTGTATTTTTAGTACAGAAGGGGTTTCACCATGTTGGCCGGGCTGCTGTCCAACTCCTGACCTCAAGTGATCTGCCCACCTTGGCCTCCCAAAGTGCTGGGATTACAGGCGTGAGCCTCTGCACCTGGTCTGCTATGCATTCGTAGATTTGGACATAATCAGAACTGTACAGACCTTTATAGTGTTGATAAAGTCTTGCAAATGCTAGTGGTACTAAAGTAAGGAATGAACTATTTTTCTTTATGCTTGTAAAATAATGTCAGCTTCATTTTGCATTGGGTAGCTTTATAGTTTCGGAAGAAATGATCAGGGTTAGATCACATAAAGAAAGTGGTCCAATTTTGTTAACTTTGCATCAATTGGTTAAAGTATAAAAATTTGTCACTCCATGTAGAATGTTTGCATTCTGATTTAGACAACATCTCTCCAGTATTTTCACTTGTGTGTATTGGAAACTGTCTTACACAGTACTGTGAAGATAGGCTAAGACTAAACGGGAAATATCTGTTGAAAATCTGGCATTGGATTTTATCTACTGATAGTCACATTTTTATATTTGACTCTGGGAACAAATCTGGCCTATGCCTAAGGAGGTTTGAAGCCTTGACGAAAGAACTGTAGCTGACTGCTGTTGATTAATTACATTTTCGTATCTGCATGACCTTACAGAACAGCTATCTCTATACTACTACTTAAATTAGCCAGAGGCTTGGCTGGTTTAAGTCTTCTAATTTTGTAAAACATACAAAACTAGTAGTTTTTTTGTTTTTTTTTTGTTTTGTTTTGGTAAAACCAAACTAATTTTGTAAAACATATACAAAAATAGTTTTTATATATGTTTTACAAAATTAGATAACTCATAACTCATATCTAAACTCCCACTTTAGATAACCTAAACTACTTCATAAAAGGGAACAAAAGCTTAATACTTGCTATCAGAGGTATGGCAAAAGAATCCTTTTCTTCACAATTAGTTTCCAATTTCTGTCAAAACCAGCACCCTACCCTCTACTGATAATCAGACTTCTGGCAGTAGCTCACACCTGTAACTCCAACATTCAGAGGCCGAGGCAGGTGGATCACTTGAGTTCAGGAGTCTGAGATCAGCCTGGGCAACATGGTGAAACCCTGTCTCTACAAAAAAATACAAAACTTAGCCAGACTTGGTGGCATGTACCTGTGGTACCAGCTACTCAGGAGGCGGAGGCAGGAGGATCGCTTGAGCCCTGGAGGCGGAAGTTGCAGTGAGCTGTAAATTGCACCATTGCACTTCAGCTTGGGCAAGAGAGCAAGACCCTGTCTCAAAAAAATAAAAATAAAAAAGATTCTGTGGCTCCCCAAAGGTTGGGACCCTGCTATAATAGAACCTTAGCATCTCTTTTAATTATGTTCTTCTATAGGTTTTATGTTTTGATTAATTGATGTCTTTGTGGCAGTGCAGTTTGAGATATTCATTATGAAAGTCGTTAGAATAAAATATTTAAGAAGTAATGTTAGGTAGAAACCTTTAATGGTTGTAGGTCTGGAGAACATTTTAAAGTAAAATCAAGTAGATTCTCTGATAAATAAACTTAAAAACCCAGCAGTACTCTAACAGGTTAGATTTCTGTGTGTTTGTTTTTTAATGTATGGGCTCCAGAGTGTGTTTTAAAAAATACCCACTATTTCATTTGTTAAAACTCGGTATTTGCTTCCTACATAGATGGAATAGTCTTAAGATAAGTTTAAGAGCCATTTCAGTTATTATTGTACCTAGTAACAGTATTCGTTAACAGCATTTCTGTATAATGTGAAGAAGCAACTGTATTTGAATTAAAAATCACTGCTAAAGAATATATTTGAGTCATACAGTTTCTAAGGGTACAACCTGTGAAGTCAGACTTCCTGAGTTCAGATCTCTCAGCCATAACTAGCTATCTGACCTTGGCCAAGTATGCTCAAAGTCACAAAACCTTAGTTTCCTTATGTGCATGATGATTATAATACCTTTTGTACAGTTATGAGGAAACTTAGACAATGCCTGTGTTGTATGGTAAGCGTTTTCATAAATGCTGCCTACCTGTAAGTAGCATTATAGTGTGTAGTTATTGGTTAATTTCCTTTTTCTTTACCAGAAGTGTGGGTTTTGCCCAGCCTTTATACAACTTCAGTATTTCTGGTTAATCTGTCTCTCTATGGCTCTAAACTTTTCAGAGTGGTGGGGGAGTTACCAACACTTTTGTAAAAGGCCAGATAGTAAATGTTTTATGCTTTATGTAGTCTCTGTTGCAAGTACTCAATTCTGTAATTATAGCGTGAAAGCGGCCACAGACTTGTAAATGAATGAGTACAGCTATGTTCTAATAAAATTTTTATTTACAAAACCATGTGGTGGACTGGATTTGGCCTTTGGGCCATATTTTGCTGACCCTGTTTTAAACCATAAGCTTTTCTAAGAATTTTTTTTTTAATCCCAATAATGAAGTTACATAGAAAATACTTAATGGTGTGTGAAGAGAATGGTAATATGAAAATACAGTCAGTGGCTGGTATTTTGGCATCTTTTTCTTCAGACAAGCTCTTTAAACTCGCATATGTTATTCACACATGCCTCTTTAACAATTATGACAAAAATATTCTTCCTGGCTTGCATTCTGTCACAATCTGTGCAGTATATAGGGCTTAAGGTATTGTGGAAGAGCTTATGTAGATCAATCATCTGTGTTAAAAAAAAAAAAAAACCCAAAAAACAAACAAAAAAAACCTTTGACCTCAGCAGACACATAGAGGCACAATTAACTGCTAGTTTTGCAGGAATATGGTTTTACTTCCTGTTCAGATTTATAATAGACTCTACCTCCATTAGCTTAGACTGTTTTTTTGTCATTGTTGGTCAGGTTAGTATTTCGATTAATAGTATCCTGAGTCTTAACTCTTCATTTCACACTAGTTTTGACACTTTAGTTGCCCTGTCTTTCATACTTCTTGTTTTTGTTTTGAGACAGAGTCTGGCCCTGCCGCTCAGGCTGGAGTGCAGTGGCACGATCACGGCACACTGCAGCCTCTACCTCCTGGGCCCAAGCAGTGCTCTCGACTCAGGCATGCCCAACTCAGTAGCTGGGACTACAAGTCTCACTATATTGCCCGGGTTGGTCTTGAACCCCTGAGCTTAAATGATCCTTCTGCCATGGTCCGCAAAGTGTTGGTATTACAGGAGTGAGCCACCATGCCCAACCTCCTTCATGCTTCATAGCAGTCATCTGTTAGTTGTAATATCTTTTTGCACTCTTGAAGTTAATGAAAACAGATAAATGATTGTATCAAGACTGTAGTCCGGAAATAAAGCAGACTTAGAAGGCAGACGTCTACATACAACATTTCCCCCAAATGTCTATTTTGCCTTTTTATTATTTTTGTTACTAATTGGCCATCTGTTAAATAATCACAATTGTTACAGCAGTATGTTCTTTATTGACTTTCAGAAGAGGGATTCAGGACATCTTAATTAAAGAACAGTTTCAACGGCACAAGAAATTTGTCAAAAGCCACATATAAATGAAAAACAAGCATAAAAATACAACCTTTTTAATACTAAAATAGTTGAGCTCTCCTTTCATTCCTAAAAGCTACAGGATAAAGTCTAGAAGAACAGCTGAGTGTACAGTAGCAAGACAAGTTTAATTGCCTTTATTCAATTGTAGTCCGCAAAACTTTGGTTTTTCTAAGGTAAGCCAGACATAATGTGTTTAAGTGCTCCTCCTAACCCTCATCTTTCCCCTCCACCCCAAGCCTCTAGTTCTGTTGCAGGGGCTGTTGGCATGACCACCTCTGGGGAGAGTGAATCAGATGATTCCGAGATGGGACGTTTGCAAGGTAAAAACAGTTATTGAGCCTATAAGAAACCATTACCATGAGCTACCTGTTAATACCATTCTTTATTGAAATTAATTTAGTTAAATTCATTTGACCATAATCTAGCAGTGCCTGCACCTCCAAGAAAAAAAAATTTTTAGTAGCAATTTCATGATTTGGAATTGGAAGATGAGCTGTCCGCCTCTTCGTGTTTACTGTTTCACTAGATGAAGCCTTACATATTTATTTTTGTTTAAAATTTTTAAATTGTGGTTGCATGTGTAGCTGGTTTCAGTAATAAATAAGTTAAAAATCTTGAAAAATGGGTACCTTAATATATTTTTGTCTGGTATCCAGTAGCATTATGAATGCATTTAACCCACTTAGGCCTAGTGTTCCATTATTGGAACACTAAGAATGTGGGAGTTATTTATATCCTACTGCTCAAGGCCATCACCAAGGTCGGACTTTTCACTCATGCAAAAATTCAAAAAATTGCAACCTGCAGCATAAATGGGTTTTAATAAGGCGTTTGGCCATGGTTTTTTGTCTTCTTGATCATGTTTCAAAATGAATGTATAGTGTATACACAAATTGTAGGGTTTTTTTAATGTTACAAATGCTTTTACAAAAGCAGCCTAATACTATGTATGGATGGGTATGTATTTTTATCTCATTTGATTTATAACAGATCTCAGTGTGAGGCTTACAATAAATGTATTATTTATAAATCATTTTTTATTGCTTTTAAATTCCTGAGGGAACATACAAGTATCTCTAGGACTCGGACTCTCAGGAACACATAGTTTTTGTTTGTTTGATTGTTTTGAGACCGAATCTCACTCTGTTGCCCAGGCTGGAGTGCAATGGCACGATCTCAGCTCACTGCAAACTCCACCTCCCGTGTTCAAATGATTCTCCTGCTTCATCCTCCTGAGTAGCTAGAATTACAGGTGCCTGCCACTGCACCTGGCTAATTTTTGTATTTTTAGTAGAGGCGGGCTTTCATCATGTTGGCCAGGCTGGTCTTGAGCTCCTGACCTCAGGTGATCCTCCCGTCTCGGCCTCCCAAAGTGCTGGGATTACAGGTGTGAGCCACTATGCCTGGCCTGTTTTGTTTTGTTTTCACTTTTTGGAACTAATAAAAATCATACTGTTTTCATATGGTTTTATAGGTTCTGATGACCAATATCTGATTGGGAAATAATGTCATACAGAAAACAGAGCAAGGGTGCTTAACATATTAGCTCTTCAAAATATCAAAATATTTACCTTAGATTTTTCTTGAAATATTTACACATTCCTGCTGGCACTGATTTAATATATTAGGGTGGTCTTGAAAGTTTGTAGCTTCTCTTAAAAGTCCAGAAAGCAAAGTAACATTGACTGAATCAGTTAAGCGAGATGAATCAGTTACTTGAAATTTTTAGATACATCAGTTGCATGAAGTCATCTTAGTTGTTCACTCTGCCCTTCTTTTTTCTTTAGCTTTGTTAGAGGCAAGGGGTCTTCCCCCTCACCTATTTGGTCCTCTTGGTCCTCGGATGTCACAGCTTTTCCATAGAACAATTGGAAGTGGAGCTAGTAAGTAAAAATGTTCCTTCCCTGAAATCCCTCAATAATTAGCCAACTGCTATTGTTACTTGTAACCTATTGATGTAAGTATTAAGAAGTTTTTCATCAACTTTAACCCATTTTTAAAAATAAGGCTGTGTACAATCACACCTTAAATACAGCTTTCATTGCTGAATTATCCAGATTTTGTAGCGAGATTGATTCTGTTTGAACAAAATAAGAATAAAGAATCTCAAACAATTACATTGATAATTATGGCACCTGATGGCATGTTTTGCATAGATTTGAATCTTGAGTTTGTCATAATGATGTATTTGTCAAGGTGAGAGGATAAAATATTAAACAGTTTGCTAGCTGAATTTTTTATAACTTTAAATATTTGGACATAAGGATGTTGGTTTTCATGTGTACTTTTTATATATATATATTTTTTTTGAGATGGAGTCTTGCTCTGTCGTCCAGGCGGGAGTGCAGTGGCGTGATCTCAGCTTACTGCAACCTCTGCCTCTCGGGTCCAGTCCTCCCACCTCAGCCTCCTGAGTAGCTGGGATTACAGGTGTGTGCCATCAAGCCCGGCTAATTTTTGTATTTTTAGTAGAGATGGGGTTTCACTATGTTGGATGGCTGATCTCGATCTCCTGACCTCAGGTGATCCGCCCACCTTGGCCTCCCAAAGTGCTGGGATTACAGGCATGAGCCACTGTGCCCGGCCTGTTTCCTTGAATTGGATCAAAATATGATCTATACATTACAATCAGGTAATGTTTCTTACCTGATTTTTGTTTGTTTGTTTGTTTTTAAGAGAAATTTGATTTTATTTATCACTGGGGAGAAGCCTGGAAAGGAAAAAAAAAAAAAACAAATCACTGTTGCAGGGGGTCCCTAAGGGTATTGATTTTAAAGTATCTGAAACCTGTATTTACCATCAACCTTTACACATGAACTTAATATAAACCGTAGACTAGCACTAGAGTCAAAAACAATGCCACACCTCTTTGTGCCCATGACCCAGCTTCAACAGTGCCTACTTCATATTTAATCTTTATTTCTAGCCTCATTCTAATCCTTCTTCCCATATTAGTTTGAAATGAATCCCAGGCATTATATACAGTCATGTGCTGCATGATGATGTTTCATTCAACAACAGTTCACACACACTACATTAGTCCCACAAGATTATAATGGAGCTGAAAAATGCTCATCATCTAGCTAATATACAGTACAGATTTTTAAACCATACTTTTATCATTTAGAGCCAGGGGAGTCCAGTCTTTTTGCTTCCCTGGGCCACATTGGAAGAAGAAGAATTGTCTTGGGCCACACATAAAATACGGTAACCCTAACTATAATAACACTAATGATAGCTGTTGAGCTTAAAAAAAAATCTTACAATATTTTAAGAAACTTTACGAATTTTTGTTGGGCTGCATTCAAAGCCATCCTGGGCCATGCATTGAACAAGCTTGATTTAGAATGTATTCCTTCTATATACTAAAGAAGAACATTAACTGTAACCCTCAGTAGTAGGTATTCCAGAAGAAGGCATTGTTGTCATAGGAGATGACAGCTTCATGCCTGTCATCACCCCTGAAGACCTTCCAGTGGGACATAAGATGTGGAGGTAGAACGTAATGATACCGATGATCTTCATCCCGTGCAGGCCTAGGTTAATGTTCGTGTTTGTGTCTGAGTGTTTTAAAAGACAGTTTAATAACCAAAAAAATAATAATAATAATAATTTTCAAAATAGGAAAAAGCTTATACTCTATGGATATAAAGAAAGAAAATGTTTTTGTACAGCTGTTCATTGTGTTTGTGTTTTAAGCTAGTTAATACTACAAAATAGTTAACAAAAGTTTATGAAGTAAAAAAGTTACAGGAAACTAAAGTTAATTTCTTTTTTCTTTTTCTTTTTTTTTTTTGAGACGGAGTTTTGCTCTGTCTCCCAGGCTGGAGTGCAGTGGCGCAGTCTCAGCTCACTGCAACCTACTCCTCCCAGGTTCAAGCGATTCTCCTGCTTCAGCCTCCCCAGTAGCTGGGACTACAGGCACGTGCCACCACGTCTGGCTAATTTTTTGTATTTTTAGTAGAGACAGGGTTTCACTGTGTTAGCTAGGATGTTCTCGATCTCCTGACCTTGTGATCTGCCTGCCTCAGCCTCCCAAAGTGCTAGGATTACAGGCATGAGCCACCATGCCTGGCCAGTTAATTTCTTTAAGAAAGATATTTCTTAAAAATTTAGTATACATAAATATACAGTTTACAAAATTGATAGTAATATATAGTCTAGGCTTTCACACTCACTCACCATTCACTCACTCACCCAGAGAAACTTCCATTCCTGGTAAACTCCATTCATGGTAAGTGCCCTATACAGACGTACCATTTTTTAATCTTTTATATCATATTTTTACTCTACTTCTTCTATTTGTAGATATATTAACATATACAAATACGCATTACAACTGCCTATAGTATTCAGTAAAGTAACATGCTGTACAGGTTTCTAGCCTAGGAGCAATGGGCTAAACTAGACAGCCTAGGTGTGTAGTAGGCTGTACCATCTTGGTTTAGGTATACTCTATGATGTTTACATGACAAAATAGGTCAAGAAAGCATTTCTCAGAACATATCCCATTTGTTAAGTGACACCTAATTTTAATCTATAAAATTTCATCATGTAGTTCAAGATAATGCTCCTCAAAACACACAGTCACTTTATCACACTTAAAAAATAAAACAGTAATTTCTTAATAATAGATACCCAATAGATGTCAAAGTTTCATTATCTCAATATCATAATTTATTTCTTGCAAACTGGTTGTTGGATCTAGAGACCTCTTCAGATTGAGTTTCGAGCCTTTATCTTCTTTTCTTGGTAAAGAAAGCCTATTGAAAAGTCATAGTGTGTTCTTAGGAAGTACATAGTGTCTGTATTTTAACAAGCTGTTGAAACTAAGTACCTATGTAATAGGGGTTACAAAATGGTAGTATTTTAGAACTAATAATCACTTTTCATTTATGAGAAGTAAAGAAAGTATTAATAATTTAGTAGAAATATATAAAGGATATCTTCTTCTCACCTTCTATTTGATTGCCTAGGACAATAGTTGATACAGGAAAAATTATTTTTCACTCTTTACTGGTTAATAAAAGGAGTAATTTTTATGTCCTCCAAAGGTGCCATTGTTATATTTTTGTTTTGCTTTTTAACATGTTTGTTTTTAAGTATAATTGTAAGCAGTGGGTTGAGATGTGTATTAAACATTTCAGTGATTTTCACTGATACTTGAATTGTCCCAGCATTGGATGATGGGATCTTTTTGAGTTTGGCTTCTGAATCTTTTGGCCATAACCTTAGTAATTTTTGATAGCCTCTTATTTTCTGGTATGACAAGATGTGCCAAACTCAGTTGACTTATTTTTTTCTCCCTGCTATGATTTGGCTATGTACCCACCCAAATCTCATCTTGAATTGCAATCCCCATAATCCCCACTGGGAGGGACACAGTGGGAGGTAATTGAATCATGGGGGTGTTTTCCCCCATGCTGTTCTCCTGATAGTGAGTTCTCACTAGATCCGATGGTTTTATAAGCATTTGGCATTTCCCCTGTTGGCACTCATTCTTTTTTCTGCTGCCCTGTGAGGAAGTGCCTTCCACTGATGGTAAGTTTCCTGAGGCCTCCCCAGCCATGCCAAACTGTGAGTCAATTCAACCTGTTTTCTTTATAAATTATCCAGTCTTGGATATTTCTTCATAGAAGTGTGAGAATGGACTAATACACTCCCCATACCTGAAATTGTTCATTTCCCCATAGATCCTTGGTTTATTTTGTATTTGGAGACCACAGTCTGGCATATTCATTTCTACTGGGTTGACCATTATTTCTAGACTTTTAAAAGTTGATGCTGATACCACCAATTCATATTTAGGTCTACAGGGTTTTTATTTAACTTCATTGATGTTATGTCTCCTTTCTCCAATGGTGAGTGTCCTAATTCCCAATAATTATAATATAGTGACTCATTTGCTTTATCCCACAGTACGAGATTTCAAGTTGCTGCTGAAAGTATTATTATTAAAAAAGTTAAAAAGTGTTTTTACAGTTCTTTCTGTTCCTGGGATATTTTTTACTTTGTGTTAAAATTAATGTGTTTTAAAGTCATTTGAAATCCATCTCTTTGTTTATGCCACCAAGTTGGATTGTTTCATTTACTTCATTTTGCTTCTGATTTTTAGGGACTGCTTTTTAAAATTTATGTTTTGCTTTTATAATTATGTAATATTTACATAGTTCTAAAAGTCAAATCTACAAACAACATATATTTAGAAAAATCTTATCTTCTTTTGCTTTCCATTTTCCCTGCTTCTTCCTCTCACATAAATAATCTTTTAAATTTTATGCCTTGTCCTTCTGTTATTTACTTTAAAAAATCCATAAATATCTATATTGTCCATGGGAATGCCTTTCTCAGTTAAGAGTAGCAAACTTTATACACTTTACTTTGCTTTTGACACTATATTTTGGTGTTCACTCTTCGTGTTCACTCTTCATAGCTGCCACATGCATGTTGCATGTTCAACTGATAGGCCTTTGTAAAGCTGCCACGTTACTCCATTGTGTGGGTATACATAGTTTATTTATATAGTCCCCTGTTGGACATTTGAGTTTTCAGTTTTTTTTTCTATTGGCAAGGCTTCAGTGAAATGTAGCTTTCGTATTTTTTCAAGCATTATCTTTTGGATAGATTTCTAGAAGCAGGTTTGCTGCTTAAATGGGTGTAAATGCATACGATGTTTTTGTAGGTGTTGCAAACTCCCCCCCATTTGGAGTTGCACCATTTTGCGTTTCCACCAGTCATGTGTGAATGACAGTAGTATGGTATCAAGCTTTTGAATTTTTACCAAAATTCATTGTTTCTCTAATATTAACTTTTTTTAGTTATATGTATCTTCGTATATTTCTTTTAGTGGTACCCTAGAGAGTATAATGCAAATTCATTGGTTTATTATAGCATACCTTAAATTAATACTTTATCATATCTCAAACAGTACAAGAACCTTACAACAGTTTATTAACACTTTTTACCTCCTGCCCTCCTTTATGTTTGTTGTATTTAATTTGTTTTACCTATATATACGTGTTATAAACTTGATAGGACGTTACTTAGAATATCTGTTTTCTTTTATGTTTGCCAACATGCTTAACCTTTGCAGTGCTCTTAGTTTCTTCTTGCAGTTTCTTTTTTCTTTAAAGGATTGTTTCCTTCTAGCCTAAAGAACTTTTTTTTTTAACATAGTGTCAGACTATTAATAATGATTTCTTTCTGTGTTTGAGAAATCCTTGATGTGTCTTTATTAATTTATGAATGAATTAATGAGATGCCATCTCGCCATGTTGCGCAGGCTAGTCGCAGACCCTTGGCCTCAAGTGATCCTCCCGCTTCAGTTTCTAAGTTGCTGGGGTTACAGGCATGTGCTTTATTTGCACTTATTTTTTGTTGTTGTTGTTGTTTTTTTTTTTTGAGACAGAGTCTCCTCTGTTGCCCAGGTTGGAGTGCAGTGGCGCGATCTCAGCTCACTGCAAGCTCCGCCTCCCGGGTTCACGCCATTCTTCTGCGTCAACCTCCCGAGTAGCTGGGACTACAGGTGCCTGCCACCACACCTGGCTAATTTTTTTTTTATTTTTGGTAGAGATAGGGTTTCACCGTGTTAGCCAGGATGGTCTCGATTTCCTGACCTCCTGATCCACCCCACCTCGGCCTCTCAAAATGCTGGGACTACAGGCGTGAGCCACCATGCCTGGCCAAGCCTAGGAAGCAGAGGTTGCAGTTAGCCGAGATCGGGCTACTGCAATCCAGCATGGGACCCTGTCTCAAAAAAAATGTAAAAACCACTTATTTTTTAATAGCTTGACTATATAGGGTTTAAGTGATGTTTCCTTGACCCTTAATGTGCTTGCCCTTCACTGAACTTTTGAATATGTGAGTTGATATCTTCAGTTTTAGAAAATTCTTGGTCATTATTTCTTCTAGTATTGTTTCTCTTATCTCATCATCAGATTTTCTCCTTCCTTTCCTTTTGGAGAGTATCAGGATCATACACATTTAAACTTTACACTGCATCCAGCATGTCTCTCTGGCTCTGTTTTATTTTTGGTTTTGTTTTCAGAATTTTTTCTCTTTGCCTAGTTGGAAAACTTCCTATTGATCAGTTTTTAAATTCACTAGTTCTTTTTTCTGCTGTCTTCAATCTTTTGTTAAACCCGTCAATGAGTTCTTAATTTCAGATACGTTTTTCAGTTCTGAATAGTTTTTTGATTCTCTTTATAGATGCCAATCATCTGTTGAAAATGTGTATATTCTTAATCAATTTTGTCCATCTTTGCTTGTATTTTTAATACTTTATAAAACATTTGTCTTTTCATTCTAGAAGTATTGGTCTGCTTTTATTGTCTTTTTTTCCCCCACTTAATTCTCAGTCCCATATTCCTGCCTCTTTATAAGTCTAGTAATTGTTTGGTTATGTGACAGACGTTTTGTATAAAAGAACTAAAGTGGCCCAAAATGATATTTTCTGCTAGTGCTAGCTTTCTTTTTTCTCTACCAAAAATAAAGGGTCCAGAGCTGATCACTCTAACTTTAATCAGGACTTGAGCTTGTTTTAACCAGAGTTGTAATTTTGGTATGACTAATTTCACCTCTGGTAATTTTGGTATGACTCATTTCACCTCTTGCTAGTCACTGTTTTCTTTGTTGTGGCCCTCCTAGAATTTTGATTGACAACTTTGCAAATCTATGTCTCCTCAGATTTGAATAGTTGAGCAGTCTCAAAATGTGGCAAGTATCTTGGGAGTTCAGATTTGAATAGTTGAGCAGTCTCAAAATGTGGCAGATTATCTTGGGAGTTCAGGTACCAGCTGTGTGTCTTTGACGCCTACTCTCTCTGTTGAGATGTTGGCTTCTGAGCACCATGAGACTGCAGAAGATTTTCTTCTATCTTATCAAAACTTCTTACTCTCCCCTCTATCAGTTTTTTGTTTGTTTGTTTGTTTGTTTTGAGACGGAGTCTCGCTCTTGTCGCTCATGCTGGAGTGCAGCGACGTGAACTTGGTTCACTGCAACCTCTGCCTCCCGAGTTCAAGTGATTCTTGTGCTTCAGCCTCCCACGTATCTGGGACTGCAGGTGCACACCACCGCGCCCGGCTAATTTTTGTATTTTTAGTAGAAACAGCGTTTCACCATGCTGGCCAGGCTGTTCTCAAACTCCTGACCTCAGGTGATCCGCCCATCTTGGCCTCCCAAAGTGCTGGGATTACAGGTGTGAGCCAGGGTATCTGGCCCCTCTATCAGTTTTCACAGTTCCAGAACTCGGTACCTGTCTGTGGGCCAGTTGATTTCAACACATTAGCTTCTTGTGACTCCCTAAAGCACTATAGGCTTCTGTTTCCATTCCTATCAGAAATTAGCAAACTACTGCCCAAGGGCCAAATCCACGCTCCTGCTTGTTTTTATACTACCTGTGTACTCTTAAGAATGGGTTTTATATTTTACGTGGCTGAAAACATTTTAAAAGAGAATATTTTGTGATGTGAAAATTAAATGCAGATCAAATTTCAGTGTCCATAATGTTTTATTGGTATACAGTCATGTTCATTTGTTTGTATTAGTCTTACTTTCTATGGATACTTTCCAGCTACAGTGCTAGAGTTGAGTAGTTGCAGTAGAGACCATATGCCTGTAAAGCCCAAAATAATTGCTATCTCTCCCTTGAAAGAGAACGTTTTCCTGCCAAACCCTGATCTGTGATAACAGTTCTCAAAGTGTGATCTGTGGACTCTTGGTTTCTGAGAGAGACCCTTAAATGAGTTCTATAAGGTCAAAACTAATAATAGTTACCAAGATTTTTCCTTTTCTACTTCATTGATGTTTGAACTGATGGTGCAAAAGCTGTAATGGGTAAAACTGGTGGGATCTTAAGCATCAAAGCAGTGGCACTAAACGGTACTAGCAATCATTGTGTTTTTCACTGCCACATACTCCTAATAAATATAATTCAGTTTTTATCTAAGATGCCCTTACTGAACCAAAGTTAATTTAATTAGGTCTTTACTCCCAAGACATGTCTTTTTAATACTCTTTGGAACAAAATAAGGCCAATCTTTTCTATATACAGTTGACTCTTGAACAATATGAGTTTGAACTGTGCTGGGTCCACTTATTCATGGATTTTAAAAATAAATACAGTTAGCTTTCTGTATCCATGAGTTCTACATTAGCAACCAAATTCAGATTGGAAATACAGTGTTTGGGCCAGGCGCGGTGGCTCATGTCTGTAATCCCAGCACTTTGGGAGGCCGAGGTGGGCAGATCACCTGAGGTCAGGAGTTCACTACCAGCCTGGCCAACATGGTGAAACCCATCTCTACTAAAAATACAGAAAAATTAGCCACGTGTGTTGGCTTGTGCCTGTAATCCCAGCTACTTGGGAGGCTGAGGCAGGAGAATCGCTGGAACCCAGAAGGCAGAGGTTGCAGTGAGCTGAGACCGCACCACTTGTTTTGGAAAATAAGGTCTTTTAAAATCAAAATTATTTATATTAATATATAATGAGTTAACTGGCAAATATTTAAAATTTTTGTATTTCAATTAACATATTTTAAAATTATCAATAAATATAACCCACATAAACAAAAGTGCTTTGTGGTACCTCAGTAGTTTTTAAGAGTATAAAATGATTCTAAATTCAAAATCCACTGCTCTAGGAGTTGGTTTCTCCTCATAAATCAGAGGATAAATCAGGTTTTGGTTATGGTTTTGGCTTTTTGTTGTCATCTTCAGTTTAGTGTAAGTTATTTTTAGGAACATCCCAGATGTTTTATTGGTATTGATGATAATTTTGATTATGCTGTATAAGATCCATGTCCTTAAGAGTTGCCAACCCCAATGGTTATAAGACCTCCATCTAGTTGCATACATGTTGGTTCTTTCTTTTAGGGGGTTGTGCTCTTAGGCCATACTTGATATGAACTGTTTAATCCTTTTAAAGTCATGTTAGAATCAGTGGAGGATTCATTTGTTTTCACTATTTTTCTATCATTTTGTTTTTCCTTCCACATTATGTCAACACAGAAGTGATAAACCTGCTGTCACTAAAATTGGTATTATTTAGTTTAAAATTGTTAAATTGTATTTCCCTGAACTTTTCTTCTGGTGTATTTTTGGATGGATTTTTAATTATGGTAAAGGTAGGTAGGCAGCGATAGCTATGGAATGCAGTAGCCACAATCTTAAACCATAAAACAACTTCCATTGATTGCTATGTGCCCCTGTGAGAGGTGTACGCCCCCAGGAATATCACTGAAGCTCAGTTGAAATTATTAGGTTCAGTTTTTTGAGAATTTCACATTCATTGACAGTTTCCAGACATATATCCCATTTCTACACATTTCAGTACTCAATGATATAGGACTGGAAAAGTCCAATTTGCGAAGAATAACTTGAAAAGGTGTAAGAAGTGAAGGAGCTTTAAAAGTAACATCATATAAGATTGGTTAAGTGTTAATTTAATTAATTGTGGTTTCAAGTAGGAAAGTGTCCATGAAAAATGAAACACATTCATAGACTTTATTTTTTAAAATTAATTAATTAATTTTGAGATGAAGTCTCAGTCTGTGGCCCAGTCTGGAGTGCAGTGACATGATCTCGGCTCACTGCAACCTCTGCCTCTCAGGTTCAAGCAGTTCTCCTGCCTCAGCCTCCTGCGTATCTGGGACTACAGGTGCACACCACTGCGCTCGGCTAATTTTTGTATTTTTAGTGGAGATGCGGTTTCGCCATGTTGGCCAGGTTGGTCTCAAACTCCTGACCTCAAGTGATCCACTTGCCTTGGCCTCCCAAAGTGCTTGGATTACAGGCATGAGCCACTGCACCCAGCCTCTCTAGACTTTATTTTGGAGTGTATTGTTTAGCTTAATGACAACGTACTTCTCTGTGGTTGTTGAGTATTCACATTTTTCAATTGTTGGAGTAGTGGAATTAAGTCTTAAAAGTAGGAACATTCTAATAGCCATCATCTGTGCAGGAAATGAAAGAGGATGCAAGGGTTTATAATTGTGTGTGTGTGTGTGTGTGTGTGTGTGTGTGTGTGTGTGTGTGTGGTTTTTATTTTTACAGAATATTCTTTCCATTCTCTTTTTTGTTAGATACGTTGTTGTGTTTTTTATTTCCTTGCCCTTTCATTGTTAATTGGATTCTATTTATTCTGGAACAGATATTTAGAGGTGTATAACATTTCCTTTGAAGTATGGGCATCATTGTTTAACAGGTTTTTATTATTGTAGCAAGCCTTTGCTCACAATTGATATTTCCTTAAAACAGATAATGTTAAAGCTATCAGTTCATACTGGTCTTAGGGATATTATTTTTTGTTTTTGCTGTAAAACCAGTCAAGTTTTCAATTAAGAAGACAGAAGTATATAACTGTGAAAGCATGTTAAGGCAGAGTAGATCCAACTAATTTAATTCTTCCTTCAATGTATTAGCAGTGAGCCTTAACCCTGGTATAGACCTAGTCTTTCATTAGGATGCAAAGAAGATAAGCAACCAATTACATTTCGAGTCACACCTTATACCTAGTAATAATTTTCTTAAATGTTTAAAGATAATAATTATTTTTTTCTCTAAAGGTTCTAAGGCCCAGCAGCTACTACAAGGATTGCAAGCCAGTGATGAAAGTCAACAGCTTCAGGCAGTTATTGAGATGTGTCAGTTACTGGTCATGGGAAATGAGGAGACACTGGGAGGGTTTCCTGTCAAGAGTGTTGTTCCAGCTTTGGTAAGCATAATGTTTTTCCCTCGTTTTTACCTCATTTGTCCTCTGAAATCTGCCGATTTTGTACTGAATGTATGATTATTGTCATTATTAATTTTTAAAACATGATAGAGTTAAGAGAGGAGTATATGACTTGGTGCTTGTATTTCATGCTTACAGATACTGTGAGCAATTGCTAATGAGTTAGCAAATTTTCTAAATCATTTTTTTGATGAATAGTCACCCACTTCTTGATACTTAAATGACTGGTTTTAAGTTGTTCACCTCATCAGTAACCTTGACTCCTGCCATGTAAAATGCACATGCTTTTTCTTTTAGCCTGGTGATCCACGGAGCAATAGGCCAGGGAAGCTCACTCTGGGTTGTGTCGGGGGGCCAGAAAGGTTTCATATTTAGTACGTGTCTACATGGGAATACTACTCAAGCCATATGGTATATATGTGGATCCTTTCAGTTTAAAAGCTTTTATGTTGGCCAGTGGCAATGTCTGACGCCTGTAATCCCAATACTTTGGGAGACCGAGGTAGGTGGATCTTCTGAGGTCAGGAGTTGGAGACCAGGCTGGCCAACATGGTGAAACCCCATCTCTACTAAAAATACAAAAATTAGCCGGGCATGGTTGCAGGTGCCTGTAGATCTCAGCTACTCAGGAGGCTGAGGCAGGACAGTCACTTGAACCTGGAAGGCAGAGAATCGCTCTAATCTCTTGCAGTGAGCCAAGATCGCGCCACTGCACTCCAGCCTGGGCAACAGGAGCAAAACTCTTGTCTCAGAAAAAGAAATAAAAGACTTTAAAAAATCTTTTTAATGCCTTTTCAACACAGTTGTGAGTTGATATTTTGATATGATAGATTTATTAACAGCTTGATTCCTTAAACTTTTAAATATGAAAACAATAGGAAGAAAAATTGCCATTATCAAATGTAGGCACCTTAGCACAATACAGCATTTAAATAGTGGATTGATAATTTTCTTTGTCCAAAATTAAAGAAATTAGGTATAATTTAAGATTAAAATTTGAGTCTAAATCAAACACTACCAAAAGACAAACATAAACATTTACATTTGTGGTATGTTTTATTTTGGAAATTACAGTTAAATGCCATGTAAATCTTTTTTGTATATCCAGTAAAGCTGACAGAAAATGAAGTTATGATTTATACATCATATTGTCCCATTTGATGAGATTATCAAATTATGGAGATAGCTTGAGTTTTGGTGAGAGAGCTGAGTAAAGAAAAGCCTGTGAAATACAAGGTGACAATCCTTATTCTGCTTGTTCTTATTTGGATGGCTCAGCTCTGGCAGAGTTTGATAAAGGATAGAACAATTTCTTCACCTGCCACCCAGATGCAGATAATAAAAGCCAGTTATCAAATTTTATCATTTCCATTCTAGTCAAAGTTGTACATGTTGCTTTCTGAGTGTTTCATAATAGCAATATTATTAACCTTTCAACTTTCAGATTTTGCCTGTGTTAATGTCCATTCTCAGTTTGCTGATTTGTTCAATAGCTGGCTTCTGTGACCTGAATCAAACTTTCATTTGTTTTATTGTTATTGTTGTTTGTTCACTAAGAACTAGCAACAAATAACTAGGCTTACCTTATACTATCTACAGTTAAAATTTAGTTTTTATTAGTTAAATAAAGAAGCCATTAAGTCTAGGCAGAAATGTTGACACATAATTCACTTTACTTAATGTGCTGGTTGTTAATTAGATTTAAGTACCTAATTGACTTGCACAAGTATGCTCTCGCTATTAATAATGGCTGTTATTAATGAGTTCTTCAGATATATCTTTTATCACAGTTGAATATTATTTATATCTCTTCATCACAATACAGTCATGTGACATAAATAGCCATTTTTGGTGAAAGGGTATCTGTTTATATCAGTCATTCCCAAACACAGTATAACAAGGTTATTTAATAATTGGGGAACTTAGTACTTTTTCTTTTAACATGACAGCCCCTTTCAAATTAGACTAAGTGTTTTAAGTGACTGACATTAAGTGATTTGATAGTTTTTTTTTTTTTTTTAAGTCCTGAAATGGAGTGTGTGTATGTGTTATGCTGTTTGTGTGTGTGCTTTTAAACAAAAATAGTCCTTAGGACTTCTGGTATGTAGGTATACTTTACCCAGCACAATTCACAGCTGAGAAGACATTCATATTGAGTGAGTATGGTGTTAGAATATCTGATGTTTGTTGTTGTCATTATAAATTTAATTGAAGGGTACTTAACAAGCTTCAATTCAGTGCATTTAAAAATTTCCATTGAACCAGAAGACAGTGAATGACTGTCTTATCCCCAAGGAGGAAATTTCTTTGGTGACTCAGCTGCTTCGAGAGGACAGAGTGTGTATCCTCAGCAGTTTTGCATTCCTTCATTAGAAAAACATACCTGAAATCTGCTTAAGATCTTTTCCACAAGAAAAACTAAAATGAAATCAGATATTTAAACTTATTCATGCATATATGGAGTAATTATATTAATTTGGCTTTAATTAGTGCATAATTAGTTTCTGATGTGATCTATCTTATGTTTAAATTCTATATTACTGTACATTTTAAAGCTGAGTCAAATGGTGCTTATCTGTTTTAGAGAAGCTTGTTCACAAGAGTTTAAGTTATGGTCCTGAATCTGTGCTGACATTTGTTAACAAATGTCAGTGCATTGCTGATCCTGTTTATTTATGTATCTAGTATTTATTAGCACTAGTAAGTCCTCAGGGATATATTAATAGGCTTCTGAAAGGGGTTAGAGCTACCAAAAGGATAGGTTGTAAGTAACAAGAAGGCTTTGTTTGTGACCTGTATCACGAGGTGATGGTTATCTAGCAGCATACTCAAGTCGGAGTCACCGTGTGTGATGAACCATCCTGAGTGTAATCATTTCTGTGAACGCCTACTAGGTTTTATCTTAAAGTTATTTTTGTGTGGTAAAAGTTAGGAATAATACTTCCATTTCAGTTGAAGTTCAAATAGAAGAGGAAGAAATACCTCTAGGATTTTCCCAAGGAATATAGCTTCTAATATTTTGTTATCTTTTTAACAGATTACGTTACTTCAGATGGAGCACAATTTTGATATTGTAAGTATATATTGTATTTTTTTAATGGTGTATATTTAAGTTTTGAGTTTTTACTCATTAAAATCTCTTCTTTTCTAGATGAACCATGCTTGTCGAGCCTTAACATACATGATGGAAGCACTTCCTCGATCTTCTGCTGTTGTAGTAGATGCTATTCCTGTCTTTTTAGAAAAGGTGATCCTACTTTTACCCCGTTTGTTCAAAAGCAGGCATAGGGAGTCAAGTTTCAAACTCTTGAATTTTAGCTTTCATTTTCTAAATAAAGTATATTTTTTAGCCCGAGAAATGTTTTATGTCCAGCAGATCAATAGTTTGAAGGTGAAGATAAATCATTGATAGAATCAGCCTAGTTTTGTAATTTTTAGTAATAATTAGCACATTAATATAATAACTTTCAGAGAAGAACTTTAAAGTACTTGATTAAAAATAATCTAATTTCTAGAAAACATGCCAGTGAGGTTGATAGCTATTTATACCCTCATTATGTAGCTGAGAAAGTTGAATCAGTGGGGAATAGAAATTTTCATATGGTTTCTAGTAAATTGTGTTTTTGGTCTGTCTTACGGACCTTTTTGTTTGTTTAACGCACAACAAAATTTGCTTTATCTGATAAACTTGCAGTATGGTGTAAAGTTAAAATCTGATTTTAAAATTTTGTTGTGTAAAACAACTCATCTATTTTAAATCTGAAGATTTAAAAGTTATGTAATTGGGTTTGGTTTATTATGTAAAACATATTTTTCAGTATCTTAGAACTGCAAACTGGTTAGAAGGAAACTGTTTTGGCTATACTTTGTAGCTTAAGCTGCTAAGTGACTTGCATCCTATGGTGGGTTACATGTTAGAGATAGTATACATGGATGTAAATTAGAGAAAATATGTAGAAGATAAGTTATTGGGAAAGAACTTAAATGATAACCTTATGGTAACTATATATATGTTCCCAGCTGCAAGTTATTCAGTGTATTGATGTGGCAGAGCAGGCCTTGACTGCCTTGGAGATGTTGTCACGGAGACATAGTAAAGCCATTCTACAGGCGGTAAGTGTTGTTACTGAAGGGGACTACATTTCACTTTATGTAGAATTTTTAAAATCCACATTTGTACAGGCTACTTGATTGCAGTTTTTGTAAGATACAAATGTTGTTTCCAGAGTAATGTGCTAGACTTTTTATGAGTTAAATTATTTTTTATTGCTGATAAAGGATTTTTCTTTACCTTAACAGTTTTCTATATTTTAGGGTGGTTTGGCAGACTGCTTGCTGTACCTAGAATTCTTCAGCATAAATGCCCAAAGAAATGCATTAGCAATTGCAGCTAATTGCTGCCAGAGTATCACGCCAGATGAATTTCATTTTGTGGCAGATTCACTCCCATTGCTAACCCAAAGGCTAACACATCAGGTAAAATATGCATCTATTTTATGTGCCATAAAGTGTTTTATTACTAATTTTTTTAATTTTATATTTTATTTTATTTTATTTTTTTGAGATGGGAGTCTCGCTCTGTTACCCAGGCTAGAGTGCAGTGGTGTGATCTCAGCTCACTGCCACCTCCGCCTCCTGGGTTCAAGCGATTCTCCTGCCTCAGCTTCCCGAGTAGCTGGGATTACAGGCGTGTGCCACCACACCCAGCTCATTTTTGTATTTTTAGTAGAGATGGGGTTTTGCTATGTTGGCCAGGCTGGTCTTGAACTCCTGACCTCAGGTGATCCACCCACCTCAGCCCCCCATAGTGCTGGGATTACAGGCGTGAGCTACCGCGCCCAGCCACTTTTTTAAATGACAATTTCAATTAGTATTTTAAATCTTTAACTGCATATATAATCGAAAATGTTCTGATATTTTTTATTTTTATCCAGTTATGTGCCATATTAGGTTATTTTATAAAATTTTGGTAGATTTATTCAAATGAATAGTAATTCATATGTTTGATGACTTTAACAATTTTGACTTTTAAGGGATGGCTTTGTTATTTCAGCAAACATTGAGTGTTTACTCTGTGATATGATCAGAAGTTCCTTCTGAAAAGATTACTCTTTCTTGAGAGGCATTGGAGGAGGCAGATGGGAGCAGGAGAATATGGGTTAAGACCAGAAGAGAGACTAGACTATGTCCCAAACAGAAATGAAAAATGTAGTTTGTGGCTATCTGGGGTTGGAGAAGAGCAAAAGTGATTATCTAGGTGGCAGAATCAATGGACCTGATGATAACAGTGTGAAAAGCAGGGTTTATGGGCCGGGGATGGTGAGGACAAATTGTGAGTACAGCTTCAAGGCTATGGAGAAATTGAATTTTTTTTTAGCTACAGAGAAATATTTTAAAGCGTTGTTTGTTATTGCTAAAGATATTTCTAGAAACCTGGCTTTAAAATTGCCATTACAAAGTGTGGCTAACCCAGGGAAAATAGGTTCATAAAAATATTTTTAAACAATTTAGGAATTTTTTTTTGTTCTGTTTTGTTTTTGTTTTTGAGACTGAGTCTTACTCTGTTGCCCAGGCTGAAGTGCAGTGGCGTGATCTCACTGCAGCCTCTGCCTCCCTGGTTCAAGCGATTCTTCTGCCTCAGCCTCCTGAATAGCTGGGATTACAGTTGCGTGCCACCACGCCCAGCTAATTTTTGTGTTTTTAGTAGAGACAGGGTTTCGCCATGTTGGCCAGGCTGGTCTCAAACTCCTGCACTCAAGTGATCCACCTGTCTCAGCCTCCCAAAGTGCTGGGATTACAGGCCTAAGCCATGGCACCCGACCAAATAAGGGATTTATGTAAGATAAAATAGTAGTGATCATTGAATCACTCTAGAGCCTTTTGCTTCTAAAATGATCAAGACAAAGTAGTACTATTCATTTTTTAAAAATCTGTTTATGTGTTTATTTTTAAAAAACATAGTTGGCTGGGGGCACAGTGACTCGCACCTGTAATCCCAGCACTTTGGGAGGCCAAGGCAGGTGGATCACCTGAGGTCAAGAGTTAGAGACCAGCCTGACCAACATGCTGAAACCCCATCTGTACTAAAAATAAAAAATTAGCCGGGTGTGGTGGTCCATCCCAGCTACTCAGGAGGCTGAGGCAGGAGGATCGCTTGATCTCGGGAGGCAGAGGTTTGCAGTGAGCTGAGATCGTGCCATTGCACTCCAGCCTGGGTAACAAGAGCGAAACTCTGTCTCAAAAATAATAATAATAAATAAATAAAAACATAGTTGAGATAATCTTTTCTGTAGTCTAAAAGCGTGTTCTCTGTTATGTGATAATCAGTTCCATATGATATTCTTTAGAAATAAGATAAAAGAATTAGAGAACTTAAATAGTCACAATTTGTAGCACTCTTTCTTGATTTATGTAGTGTCAGTGAAGGTTTAGGCTATAGGCTTTTATAATATCTGAATTATTCTCATTTTTGTAGAAACAAGTCTAATTTTTACATATGAAAATTCCACTTTCAAGTTAGGAAAAATCAAGATCTATCAAAACATTAGCCAGTAAAACATTCTTTCCCTTCTTTTTATGACACTTATTTCAAATGTTTTGTCAGTGATGCCACTCTGTTTTTATGACAAATATGGCAAATTGTTTTCATAGTGTAACTTTTTCATAGTGAATTATTTGTTTTTATAGTGAATATTGCAAGTCTATGCCCTATTTTTAACATTGTCAAGAAACCTCTGGTTCTCGCAACTTTCCTTTTTCTAACTTTTTAGTGTGCACCCACTTAAACATTTCTACTTGTAATGGTTTTAAAGGAAAGTAGGATATTTATATATTTCTTTAGTATAACATTTGTTTAGGTATTGAGATTGTGTAAGCATAATAGTTCTTCCTTTTCTGTGTATTTGCTTTTATCTAGTAGGGGCCTTTATACAAGAGAGAGGTTGGTTTGTTTCCTGTTTGTTTTGAAATTGTGATGTTACTGACTGTACCTTGCTTAGGCCCATTTGCATTTTCAAAGCTGTCATTTACTAATTGAGCTTGCCTTGAAGAATCTGGGGTTAGGAGGAAGATAAAGTAGTGATACATGACAGTGAAAATGCTTTATGCTAATAAATTTTATTTTCCTTTATTAAAAAAATAGGATAAAAAGTCAGTAGAAAGCACTTGCCTTTGTTTTGCACGCCTAGTGGACAACTTCCAGCATGAGGAGGTAAGTGTTTAGTCTTTGGTAGTATTTTTATGAGGTTGTTGAATTGCTGAATCTTGATGTAATAATTCCTTTATTCTTGTGTTTGTGAAGAATTTACTCCAGCAGGTTGCTTCCAAAGATCTGCTTACAAATGTTCAACAGCTGTTGGTAGTGACTCCACCCATTTTAAGTTCTGGGATGTTTATAATGGTGGTTCGCATGTTTTCTCTGATGTGTTCCAACTGTCCAACTTTAGCTGTTCAACTTATGAAACAAAGTAAGTGCAAATTTACTGTTCTACTTTAAGCAGGAAAAGTTGGTTCTTCATTAATATGTAAAGTCAACATAAGCCGAGCAAATGGAAGAGATTACTAATATTATAGGCATTGGATAGTAAAGAAAAGTGTTAATATGTAATAAATTTGTGTTGGGACAGTATGTTAATGTTTCTAACATACTCCTTTTAAAGTATAAATTAAATGTTTGCCCTTGGTGTTTCTGGGGCTAACAATACAAAGTCATTAATATCTATGCCATGTTAGTCATGTAACCATCCTTGATTAGGAGAATTCTGAGTTTTATGTTAACCAATAACCAGCTGTCTTCAGCTTATATAGGTTGCTTTTTCTGCCCATGTTAGATTTTCTAGCAATTTTTCTGATTCCAGAATGCTGTCTTCCCTCAAAAAGTAGGAATGTATTTATACTGATGAATGTCTCTGATGTTTGCTAATTTGGTATTTCTAAACCTTTTCAAATTTAGACCTTTCAAATTAAACCTTTCAAATTTAGAAAGGTATTTCTAAACCTTTACACAGTGTGTGGGAAATAAAATTTTATTGCAATGCTCTTGCAGTTGACCATTCCTCTCTCAATCCTTAGACTTAAGTTGATGTCAGAGAATGGTGGGGCATCAGACAACATCTATACGTTATAATTTTTTTCTTCTTTTTAACTTTTTGCAGAGACAAGGTCTCACTGTATTGCCTAGGCTGTTCTTGAAGTCCTGGCCTCAGGCCTTCCTCCCGCCTTGGCCTCCCATAGTACTAGGATTATAGGCATGAGCCATCACACCTGGCTGTTATGATTAGTTCTAGTAGAGTATTGATCACTTTTGTATAGAATACCTTTAATTGTTTGTAATTTCATAGCCATAATTCTAATCTCTATGGATGTTACCTTGGGAGTCAGTGATGATATTAACTGATAAAATGGTCTTTGGTCCCACTCTGTCTGAGTGGTCTCGTACTGTCTGAGACAGTATATTTAGCAGTATAGTATTTTCATTTTAGGGGAACTCAGTTTTATATTTAGTTGCTTTTCTTGTGAATTAACACATTGGCACAGAACTTTGTAGAAAAATAATGTTGAGGTGGCTACTTGGAAAGATTCTCCGTAAAGCATTGAGTCTTTTCCAAACTTGGTATTCCAGACAACCCTATTTTGAGTGGTCCTGAAGAAAGTGCTCTTTCCCTAAATAAGATTGGGAAAGGTTCAACTCTTTCTTGAGTATCCGCAATTCATTTTACTTACTAAAGTCTCTAGGAGTTCTTTGAACCTTGCTTATCCCAACATTTCCTGAATCATGTAAGAGAGATTATTTCTTGTTAATGTATGTTTTGTTACAGCACATCCCTAAATACTAGTTTGGGAAATTGCTGCCTGCCTTTTGTTTTAACATTTTTTTTCTTTTAGTATATGTTCACCTCTTTTGCATGCTCCAGGCAGTTTACCACATGTTTATCATATGGAGGTCACCATAGTTGTTTACTGTAATAACCCTATAAAAGGAAATGTAGGCCTCTTCTATCTGTCTCTATTTTGTTGTCATCCCTTGACTTCTAAAAAAAATAAAATCCTTATAATGCAGCATACCATGTATTCAAACTTCTCTATAAAGTTGCAAAACTGTAATTAAAAAAAAAATCTTAATCACTAATTGTGAAATTCTGTGTGGCAGGCAGTTCACTATCCACATCTCTGCCCAAATCATTAATGAATATTTTTCTTGATAACAGAACTTACTGATTATTGGCAAAACATTCTAATAAAATGTTTATGTATATTTTGCATATGTATAATATTTACAGGAACACACACACAATCAGCAAAGACCCAGCTGTGTCTTTAGGTTTCAGCTTTCCTTAGGTTTAGACTGACTAAACGGTAGAGACTGAGAGTTCCCTCCACTCACAGTGTCAGCACATCTGCGTGGTTATCACGCAGAGTCCTCCAGAAAATGATGTCTTCTGGGAATGGAAACTTACAGTAGAGAATGCCTGCCTGATCCTTGTATCAAGTTTGCATGTAATCAGTGTTGCTTAGGTAGTGATTTTCCTGATCACAATACAATAAGATTCAGTTACATTTAATTGTTAACGTTTTATACTATGGGCCACATATTTTCAGTATATTTGAATTGAAGACAAGTACATAAATATATTTGATTTGTGGTATGTTGAATGCATTTTTGTGCAAAGTACGATGCTTCTCAAGGAAAGAAATAAAGGGTTCCTGAAGTCTCAGGGGTGAGAAGGAATTGTGATTAGGCACCCAGCTAGGTTTGGACTAAAGAACGAAGTCTCCAGAAAGAGATTGTTAAAATCTACACAAATTTTTTTTAGGCCTTTATTACAGCACTTTTGCATTTTTTACATTAATTTCTGCATTATGTTGCTTTGTAAGAAAATGATTCTGATTATTTTCCCCCCTTGGGCAATGTTTGCCTTTGAATGAGGTAGTATAACTAGTTTAATAGCCTTTTGTTTTTTGTTGTTGGTTTTTACAGACATTGCAGAAACGCTTCACTTTCTCCTGTGTGGTGCCTCCAATGGAAGTTGTCAGGAACAGATTGATCTTGTTCCACGAAGCCCTCAAGAGTTGTATGAACTGACATCTCTGATTTGGTAAAGATTGGGCTAAATATCACTTTGGGAGGCCAAGGCGGGTGAATCACGAGGTCAGGAGTTCGAGACCAGCCTGGCCAACATGATGAAAACCCGTCTCTACTAAAAATACAAAAAATTACCTGGGCGTAGTGGCGGGCGCCTGTAATCCCAGCTGCTTGGGAGGCCAAGACAGGAGAAATTGCTTGAACCTGGGAGGCGGAGGTTGCAGTGAGCTGAGATCGTGCCACTGCCATCCAGCCTGGGCGACAGAGTGAGACTCTGTCTCCAAAAAAAAAATTGGTCTAAATACAACTTTTGGTTTGTGTGAGATTATTTTTCTTTAGAGACCTAACGTTTACTAATATTTCATAAAGTTACTAAAATTATTGTACTTTTTGTTTTCAGTGAACTTATGCCATGTTTACCAAAAGAAGGCATTTTTGCAGTTGATACCATGTTGAAGAAGGGAAATGCACAGAACACAGATGGTGCGATATGGCAGTGGCGTGATGATCGGGGCCTCTGGCATCCATATAACAGGATTGACAGCCGGATCATTGAGGTAGTAGTTTCATCGTACCGTTTAAATGTGTCTATTTTGTTGGAGAGTGGGTGTAGGGATGGAATGGGGAGGTGGATATGTGGATTTGAATGTGCTTGATTTTGAATTAACTCAAGATTCTCTCATTTTGTCTCCTGAGAACAAGGTCCTCATTTCTGTTCAGGTCAGAAAACTTCATGTTCTAGTCCTGCTTCTGCTGCTAACTACCTGATTGACTTGGAGCAAGTAATTTAAGTTTGTTGTTCCATAGTTTCCTCATTTCTGAAAGGAAACATTGGAAGACTTAGGCCGTAGGTTTCTAAAATTTATCTATCTTCTATCAGAAAGCAATGTCCCATGAGCAAAGATTTACATACAAATAGTTTCCTCTCAATATTTTTCCAGAGCAGAAACGTGGAAACAAATGAAATAGCCAGTTCTGGGTAAATAGTTAAGTAAATTGTGATACACGTAGGCTTGTATGTTATCCAGATATTATTGGGACAAATTTTAATGATATAAAATCAAATATGAATGAAAAACACTATACAATATTAAGTGAATCTTTTTGGAATTCAGCAAAATAAGTGAACATATGAATAATACAAAGGGGAGGAATGTACCAAAATGTTGACAGTGATTTTCTGTGACAGTTTTATGTGATTTTTATTTTTACTTCCTTATATATTGTTTGCACTGAAATATTTTTAAAACTAAATGAGCATAATATTTGCTCTAGCTTAGGAGGTGTTGATCACTGTGTTATTTGTGATGCCATGCATAATTTACTATTTTCAATACATGAGACACCTGTAAGAATTTATCTATTTTCTAATTTCAATCTTTGATGTTTGAATTCTTTTTAGAACATCACACATTTTGAATAGACAGTCTTCTTTAAAGGTGCCTTCTAGTTCGTTTCTAAAAATGAATTTTAGAAAAAATTTTAAACCAATGACTTACCTCATAAAATCAAGAGTTTTAAAAATAAATCCAGTTTCAGAGCAAGCTTTTATGAGAAAATTGACTTTGACTGGTCTTCTGTGCAGCATTATATATAAGCAGTGTATAAGCAGGCCAATCCTGCTAATAGTGGTCCTGGTCTCTAACTCTAAGTCGTCTTCTTTTTAGCATTTTCCTGATCATTGCACCTTCACTATTAGCTTACTCTCTCATATGTGCTGAGAGTCTTGTCTTCCATTCAGCCTAGGAGTTCCATAGATTGGATTCTGTAATGAGAATATTTTGTCACTTCTGTAGTCTGTTTAAAGTCAAACTGTGCTAATTGAACTGTGTCAATTTAAATATGTTCTGTATACCACACACAACCTTGGCGATTAATCTGTTTCAGTTGTGTCCCTTTCAGTCTTAAAGTTATCTTTGTTTAATGAGGACAATTTTATAGGATCATTTTGTTTAAGGGAGGATTTTGGTAGGTCGCTAAGAATTCATCATGTAAATAATATTTTTAATCTAAGAATACTAAGATATATGGATAACTGATTTTTTATAAGCAATGTCTTAAAAGCATTCTCAATACAAATGGTGTCTTCTTTGTGTCAGTGATGCTACACAGGTGGATCTTTCATCAAGATTTTACCTGCATTTATGTCTAAGGGTCCCTGATAAGGCTTGAGGCATGTAACCTATGTCTAATTAAAAATGATTTGTTGAATGAATGAGTTTTGTCATATCTACACTATTATTCCATCTTCTGTTAACTTCACCATCTAAAACCTGTTGAAATAAATATGTAAGATAGCATATTTGGAGGGTCCCCACTGTGTCTTAAGGTAATAGATTTCTCAATGTTTATATTCAAAGTTTCTCTCTCTTTGCTCTCAGGCAGCCCATCAGGTCGGTGAGGATGAGATAAGCTTGTCCACTCTGGGACGAGTTTATACTATTGATTTTAATTCTATGCAGCAAATCAATGAGGACACGGGAACAGCACGTGCCATTCAGAGAAAACCTAACCCGTTAGCCAATAGTAACACTAGTAAGTACATTCTGAGTTAAAATAGCACTATACTATTGTGCAATATTTTGTGTTTGCATAATAAATAATAATTGGCTTATTAAGTATCTTTTTAAGCTTAAGACAATTGCATAACAATAATTTGGTTTTCGATTTTTTAAATCATGTCCATTAATGGATGAGTGAGCCAGTATTAACTGGTATCTTTTCCACAATTTGTCTGCTTACCTGATGTCCTGAGATTCGAGTCAGAATTTGCTCATACAGATTTTTATCTGATCCTGTCATTACTATTATACCTTTAGATCCATTGACTAGTTCTTTCCAACCTTGTATTTTATACCTTCCTGCCAAAATTATCTGAACTAATTAAGGACAGATAATTGTGATTAAAAAAACAAAACAAAACAAAACCAGGTTTCTGACATTTATCTGTCCCCTCAGGGATTTAGTTCATTGCTTTTTCAGCCCTAGTTTAGAGAACAGTGGTCTGCAAATATTTTTGTTGTTGTTGTTGTTGTTGTTGTTTTGAAAAGGGCCAGGTAGTGCTGGGCATGGTGTCTCACGCCTGTAATCCCAGCACTTTGGGAGGCTGAGGCAGGCAGATCACGAGGTCAGGAGATGGAGACCATCCTGGCTAACACGGTGAAACCCTATCTCTACTAAAAATACAAAAAACTAGCCGAGCGTGGTGGTGGGCGCCTGTAGTCCCAGCTACTCAGGAGGCTGAGGCAGAGGAATGGCGTGAACCCGGGAAGCGGAGCTTGCAGTGAGCTGAGATCCTGCCACCACACTCCAGCCTGGGTGACAGAGTGAGACTCTGTCTGAATAAATAAATAAATTAATTAAATAAAATAAAGGGCCAGATAGTAAATAATATAAGTGTTGCAGGTTATATATAGTCTATACTCACCACCATTGCCATTGTAGCCCTCAATTAGCCATATACAATATGTGAACAAATGTACATGGCTGCGTTCTAATAAAATTATATTTACAAAAACCGGTGGTGGACTGGATTCGGCTTACAGACCGTACTTTGTCAACCCCTTGTATATAACTTACTGCTTATCAGTTATCTTTTCCTTACACTTTATGTCACTAAGCAAAGTGGTAGAATTACCTTCTTTATCCATTTTACAAAGCTTTTAGTGAAATATGGTGCATTTCTAGAACTCAGTTTCTTACCACTGGTTTGGTTGGTTAGGATTGGATTTCCCTATTGTTTCATTGAATGTATATCAGTAAAATAAAGAGGTACAGTGCGGTGATGAATTGTTACTTTCAGCTGGCCCCAATGGGTCACTAGTTTTCTAGACAGCTGAATTTTGTCTGTCTTAATGTTGCCTTTAGCATCTTTGTAAATCCTAGTTGATCATATCATAGAAGTTCATGTGTTCTATAATGAAAAAGTTTTCATAGCATTTCAAGAATTACACTGGCTTGAGTATTTTATATTGTTTATTGTGTTTCTGAAGTCTGTCACTTCAGGATTGCACATATATTTTTTTTTAATGTAATAGGTGGATATTCAGAGTCAAAGAAGGATGATGCTCGAGCACAGCTTATGAAAGAGGATCCGGAACTGGCTAAGTCTTTTATTAAGACATTATTTGGTGTTCTTTATGAAGTGTATAGTTCCTCAGCAGGACCTGCGGTCAGACATAAGTGCCTTAGAGCAATTCTTAGGATAATTTATTTTGCGGATGCTGAACTTCTGAAGGATGTTCTGAAAAATCATGCTGTTTCAAGGTGTGTTAATGAAAATAGTAGAAACATTTTACAAATACAAATCTCTGCAAGTAATTTCAGAAACCTCTAAAGTAATAATAGAAAAAATATGCACAAAAATTTGTTAGGAGTATCTTGAGCTCTTTTTTGTCTATTTATATTCACATAATAGCTTTTATAAAATATAAAACTTGAGCATTTAAGAAAAATGTTTATGTTAATAGAATGGTTTCACAATGAAAATGCTTTGCTCTCAATTTAAAGTAGTATGGCCAAAAATAATCATCAAATTCAGGCAGAGTTTTATATACAAATGCTTTCTTTTTTTAGTCACATTGCTTCCATGCTGTCAAGCCAAGACCTGAAGATAGTAGTGGGAGCACTTCAGATGGCAGAAATTTTAATGCAGAAGTTACCTGATATTTTTAGTGTTTACTTCAGAAGAGAAGGTAATGTCATATAAATTAATAGTCATTTAGTCTAGATAGTACTTCAACAGAAATAAAGTTTTAATCTGTCGAGCAAAAACTGATAGCTTTTCAATTTAAAAATGACATTTAAAGCTCTGTTAGCTTATAGCTCTGTGTACGTAGAATGTGTCTTTTAGGCTGGGCGTGGTGGCTCACGCCTGTAACCCCAGCACTTTGGGAGGCCAAGGCAGGTGGATCACTTGAGGTCAGGAGTTGGAGACCAGCCTGGCCAACATGGTGAAACCCAGTCTTTAAGAAAAATACAAAAATTAGCGGGGTGTGGTGGTGCACACCTGGGCTGATGTCAAACTCCTTGCCTCAAGCAATCCTACTGCCTCAGCGTGGGATTACAGTTTGTCTTTTAATAAGAGTCTGATAGAATGATAGAAGCCGTGGACTCTTCCCCAGAAAAATGTGAACGTGTGCTCATTCACTCACGTTAAATATATCCACATATTTGCATATAGTTTATACTAGCTGATAATCAGACATGCATATTGGTATACAATTTGATAGTTCTTAGTCACACTCCTTCATACATACTCTCCTATGATTCCGGGACAGATAGGAACCCCTGCCTCACAAGTTAATGTTTAGCTCTCTTTACACACCTTAAAGGATGTGATAGTTCCCACCCTTCAATAGCTGGTTTTTTTTTTGGTGGCAGTGTTAATGTGATCTTGTCTTTTTGTAGCGCTTGAAGTTAACTGATTCTTGGTCTTTTCCATCCCTTCTGGCTGTCACACCACAGGGTGTGCACTGTATTTCTGTAGTTGATTATTGTTTTTATAATGAGTATTTTGAACTCTGAATAGGACTTTGTGACCCTATTAAGTTTTATATAATCTGGTTTTGAAGATTAGAAGACATTCAATATCAGTATTTTTCTTTAACCTTTAGTTTTTATATTTTTTTCTGATTGAAGTCAAGTTGAAAACTCTGGCTCCTAATTTCTTTTACCTATTTGCCAGTTATGTTTTAGTCTTTTTGTGTATTATGTCAGTGTTGGTATTTAGGGATTTTGTAATGGTGGGGAGAAGGTTCTACTCCTGATTAAAACTGACTCCCTTTCATCTCTGTTATTATAAAGGTGTAATGCATCAAGTAAAACACTTAGCAGAATCAGAGTCTTTGTTGACAAGTCCACCAAAGGCATGTACGAATGGATCGGGATCCATGGGATCCACAACTTCAGTCAGCAGTGGGACAGCCACAGCTGCCACTCATGCTGCAGCTGACTTGGGATCACCCAGCTTGCAGCACAGCAGGGATGATTCTTTAGATCTCAGCCCTCAAGGGTAAGTAAGAATTGTGTTGTGATTTTTATTTCTTTGCTGTTAGCGCTGCTTTGGTACCTAAGAATCATATAGGGAGTAAAATGGTAACATATTAGCATATATATATTATATTTTTCCTTTTGTATTTTGTTAATGAGAATGGGAAGAAAACATTTATTGGAAACCTACTGTATTGGGCTGTGTTTAGGAACTGTAAGAGATTAGTTTTATTCCCACTGACATACAAGGAAACTAAAGTTCAGAGACATTTGTGACTTGCACGGTGTTACACACTTATGTTACTTGTAGGCTCTAACATTGTGGGATTTGAATTCTGGTTTCTGATTTCATAATCTTGTGACTATTTTTTGTGCTGCTGCATACATACGACCTCAGAGACATCCAGATATTAATACAGTTAAAAATACTGAAAATTAGAAGTCTTAGAATAAAGGCCAAAAAATACTGATTCCCCATTTATCTTTAATTGGCAACTGGGAGTTAAATACTTTGCTTTTAATAAGGGAAAATGAGAGTTCTTAAATTCTCTACTCCCATTTATTTATCAGCTTTTAATCTTTGTTATACCATGCTACTAAGAATGTTTCCAAAACTTCCATTGGTTTCCATTTTGTTGTGTTAGAAACAAATCACACTCTAAAAGTGTTTTTATTTCCTTGCTATTAGAAGCTTAATATTACTAGATGAGTGGTACCTGATGAACCAAATTCAGTTCTGAAATTCAGTATGTATTCACTTCAGTACTCTTTCTGGCTCCTTTTAAACTGAAAAGTAGATCATGCTAAAATATAGTAATAATAAGTGGGGTCCAAAAATTTAATCTTATAATCTGCAGGGTAGCATTGTCTTGTGCAGGCAGCCAACTCAGGTAGGAGAGGGGATGAGGGGAATTTGGTGCCACCTGGTGGCAGTTTTCTAGTCCAGCTTAAATATGAATTTTGGCAGTTTCAAGACTTCTGGCAGACTGAACTTCTGGCACAGTGGGTATTATTTTAGGAAACTGCTGAGTTTAACTGGCACCCATGTTGTTTGACCAGTCTGAGGAGATTGGGCTTGGAGAGTTCTGGGGACTCTTCCACATCCCTGATTCTGCAGTTGCTTTTGTCTGCCATTTTCCTTTCCAGCCTTGCTCTCTCCTTTACTTCCTTCCCAGCCCCATTCCTACCCACTAGCTGCTGCAGTAACATAAGTTATTGCAGGGTTTTACTGTAATGTAGGCATGGTGCCTGAGACATCATAGATACTCAGTAAATTACAGAGAGTGATACAGTTCAGACAATTGCAGTATTTCTTTCCCTTTAAAAATGTTTTCCTTTCTCCCTTTTTTCTTTTTCTTTTTTTCAAAAAGAGACACAGCATGGGGTCTTGCTCTGTTTCTCAGGCTAACCTCGAACTCCCGGGCTCAAGTGACCCTCCCTACCTTGGCCTCCGAAGTAGCTGGGACTACAGGCATGTGCTAGCATGCCCAGCTCAAATGCAGTATTTCTGAGCCATTTTAATTTAAGGAGTTGGAATTGATTATAGAGTCTAACAGTTGATTATGCCAAAGAAAGAGAAAATAACTTTTTTCTTAAAATATTTTTACATGGTTTTAAATAGTTTTAAGTGGTTCCATATTACAGCATGGTTGCAAATGAAAAATTCATGTTAATTTTTTTTAAATGAAAATTGTTTAATTACATTTTTCATCCTTTGAAAGTTCATTTTTCCTGATTGTCAAGCACATTTGAGCACATTATTAAGTATATTCCATAGAAATGTCAGGTGTTGGAAATTTTCCAATTTTTTTTCAGATTTTTCCAGTTTTATTTGGGCCACAGACCAACTAAACCACAACATTTTTCAGCCTTTTCATCTTATTTAGTTTTGTTATTCTAAAAATTTATTGCTGTTACAAACTATTTCTACTGTCGTTAGAACAGGCTACAGGTGTTTAATTTTGCAAATGATTCTAATTCAGAATAAATTACTCATACTACTCACTAGATTTGTATATAGGTTTAAAAAAACCAACTAAAATGTTCATAAATGCATTTATTTAGTATGTTATTGCCATTGTCACACTATGAAATTACTTTGGGTAGTATGTTAGAGGCAGATGAGTATTTTGACAACATGAACACTAAGGGTCATGTATATTTTACTCACGGCCATTTTGGTTATGGAAAAAGTGTGTTATGTGGATTTAACATTCTTTTTCAGGTTGGTGATTACCCGTTTATTTTTATTTTGCTCCTTTGTGTTGCATATTTGCTTTATGTACTTATATACTACTATTTAAAGTGGAACACATAGAAAATTGATCAGTCATCTTATCTGGCTTTATGTTTCATAGTTCAGTATAGTTAAACAGCTAGTTATTTTCTGAATAATCATTTGCTGTGTCTGCACACCTCTAGAACATGACTGGCACAGAATTGGCATTAAATAATCACTAAACAAGAACATACCTTGTTATGACAGTATTTTTTTTTTTTTTGAGATGGAGTCTCACTATCTCCCAGGCTGGAGTGCAGTGGCGCTATCTCGGCTCACTGCAAGCTCCGCCTCCCGGGTTCACGCCATTCTCCTGCCTCAGCCTCCTCAGTAGCTGAGACTACAGGCGCCCGCCACCACGCCCGGCTAATTTTTGTATTTTTAGTAGAGATGGGGTTTCACCATGTTAGCCAGGATGGTCTTGATCTCCTGACCTCGTGATCTGCCCGCCTCGGCCTCCCAAAGTGCTGGGATTACAGGCGTGAGCCACCGCGCCCGGCCTGACAGTATTTTATTACTCCCTGTTTCTGCCATTTTAGTTTGCTTTTTCAGTGAGTGAAGATATAAAACAGTGGTAATTGCTAAACTTATCTCATATTTTCCCATGGACAGTCGATTAAGTGATGTTCTAAAGAGAAAACGACTGCCAAAACGAGGGCCAAGAAGGCCAAAGTACTCACCTCCAAGAGATGATGACAAAGTAGACAATCAAGGTAACCCCTTTGATGAAACTATGGGGAGGTAAAGGGGAGGGTGGTAGCAGGTGCAGAAATGTACTTTATTAAAACTGCCAGTAGCTCTTGAAGTATGCCTAAGTTTCCTGAGGACTAAGTGTTCTTAGTTCTTTCAGTTAATTAATCTGTTAAGACTGTGAATCTTAAAAATCAGTTGTTTTTCATCACTTAAACTAAAATGACTTAACTGTAGTTCTTTTTTCTTTTCATAGCTAAAAGCCCCACCACTACTCAGTCACCTAAATCTTCTTTCCTGGCAAGCTTGAATCCAAAAACATGGGGAAGGTTAAGTACACAGTCCAACAGCAACAACATTGAGCCAGCACGGACTGCGGGAGGTAGTGGCCTTGCCAGGGCTGCCTCAAAGGATACCATCTCCAATAATAGGTGAAGTGGGGGGAGTTTTATGTTTCTTCTATTCCCATATCAGAAAAACTTAAACATTATTTCAGCCAGTACGTTTATTGTGTGGAGACGATACATAGACACAGCACTTTAATTTGTTCTTAAAAGCATAGTTCAAGAATTAGGTAGTTTCTCAGTTTATGAACCCTGCATCTGGCTTTGTCCTAAGTTCCAGTCATGTGCTTTGAAACTCCTTCCAGCATACCTAGCTGAAAGTCTTATACGTTCAAAACCACATTGTATTCCTTGGGGAACCTCTTCCTCAGTTTTGTTCCAGACAAGGAAAAGCTGACATTTTCTGTCCACATTCTTCACATCTTTTATGATAAAATTTCTCTACCCATTACAATGGAACTTCAGGATTTTAGGGGAGAGCCTTTTTTTTTTTTTTTAAGTCCTTGGGACTTGTTTTATTTTTGGGTTCTGCATGTAGCATACCAACATGATTACTTCCCTCTGCAGATAAGAAATTTTAAAAGACCAAATGTCATTGAGAAAATAAACATGCTCTCTTTGGTTTTGTTGGTTGTTTTTCTTAATTTCAGTGTATAAAAATAATTAAGTGAATGGATTTCTGAAGCCATCAGCATTTGTAATTTAAGCAGCCGGGTCTTATTTGCCATAGCTTATTACATCCTTAATAGGCGCATGTTTCTGGTCTGTAAATCTTTACTTCAGCTCTCCAGGAAACACAAGTTAAGGATAATGCAGATATGTATGTACTTTAGGAAGTAAAGGGAACACTTAGGAAAGTGTTATATTGCAGGGTTCCAAAAAATTATTACACTTTGTTTACAATTCATGTAATGACCTGCAGTGTATTTTAAGTTTTTAAACAGTTCTCCAGGTGGTACATCGTAGCCCATTTTCAAAGTGAAAGTTAATTTGGTTATGGAATCTGGAGTTTTTAAACTGTAAGCATAGACCAGGATGAATTTTAAATGTAGCAGCTATTTGCCTTGATCAGAAGTTATATCCTTTCTACATACACTGGGACTTTAATATCTCCTTTTTGTTTCTTGTAGAGAAAAAATTAAAGGTTGGATTAAGGAGCAGGCACATAAATTTGTAGAACGTTATTTCAGTTCTGAGAATATGGATGGAAGCAACCCTGCATTGAATGTCCTTCAGAGACTTTGTGCTGCAACCGAACAACTCAACCTCCAGGTGCTGTGTCCAGTGCATTTTGCTGGTCTTTTTCAGTCTCTTCCCAGCATCTCCTGCTACTCTTTTCCTTCATGACTCTCTAGCTTCCTATGGATTTAGCTATCCTACATCGACTTTTACCTTATATACACCCTTGGTGCTGGCATTTCTTTTACTTATCCCTTGACTATCAGGATTCATCAGTCTGTATTAAATGTACTAGAAACCTCATCTTTGACTTTCTTTCCTTCACATCTCATCATTCTTGACAAATGAAGAAACTTCAGAAATGTCCTCACAAGCACATCTGTTTTCTAAGTCATCCTCAACTATAGGTATAGATGATAGGCCTTCCTTAGCCCCTCTCTTCACATGGGGTCTCAGAGTGGCAGGAGAGGCTAGAGGTTTACTAATAAGTGTTTTACGTTTCATCTGGTTCTCAGTTTTTGTTCTTATTTTTATTTTTATTTATTTATTTATTTTGATGTTTTTGATGTACCTTGAGCAGTTTTGGTAGTATGTTTTCCAAGAAATTGTTCATTTTGCTGAGACCTTAAATGTATTAATTTAAAGCCACACCTTGTATTCTTGATTCATCTTTCCATTCTGGTGTTATAGCCCCTTATTCTTCAGTTTTCTGTTCTCATCTTTTAAAATACTCTTTTTTAAAGAAAACTACATTGGTTGAATATGAAGATTTTCTTCTTATGTTATTATGGATTCCTGGTTTTCCTCATGAAATATTTAGTGTGTGTGTGTGTGTGTTTAAAATCATAATTTCCAAGGATTTACTAAGACTGTACCACTCCCCTGCCCTCTTTTTTAAGGGCGTTGAGAATATATTCATTTCCTTTTGAGGATATGTGAGTTGTGTATTTTTTAAGTGCTGCTTAAATCAATATAGAAATACTTTTCCTAACTCTTTCAGGTGGATGGTGGAGCTGAGTGCCTTGTAGAAATCCGTAGCATAGTCTCAGAGTCAGATGTTTCATCATTTGAAATCCAACATAGTGGATTTGTGAAGCAGCTGTTGCTTTATTTGACATCTAAAAGTGAAAAGGATGCTGTGAGCAGAGAGATCAGATTAAAGCGATTTCTTCATGTATTTTTTTCTTCTCCAGTAAGTTATCTAATAATGCCTGTGTATCTTTTAAGAATCAGTGCTCACTAATGCATATATTTTCATCTCAGTAATAATTTCCAGCAGGTCTTGGTCAAGACATTGAGGGAAAACTTCTAGGTTTTCACATAGTTGGAATCCTTCAACTTCTGTATATCAAAGTAAATAGTAAAACAATGAAATGGGGATTTAACAAAGCCCATGTCACTATTTCTATGATTGAAGTATCTTGAGTCTTTTTTGCTTGCAGGATGAGCCATTAATAGTAGTCTCTCACCTGTGAATGTATTTTACTTGCAATATTTGTTTTTAAATGTATTGAAGTTTGTATTAGTTCCTTTTAGTGAAACAGACATCTATAATAAGATAGAGGAGTTATATTTTCTTGTTTTGTACATAAAATACAGTTGTAACAGTTCCAATCAAGGGCGCTTAATGACCATTTATGTCACCGTTTATAATGTGGATTACAAAGCCACAGAGTGGCTCCCCTTCCTTCACTCTTAAGTGGGCCAGAGCAAGAGGGTAATCCTTGGATGCTGTTGACAGCATTCTCCTTGTTTTACAGTGGCTTAAAGAGAAGGCATCACTTGGAAACGTTCCCTATTATCTGTGTAATAGGGCTTAGCATAGCTCTCCTATGTATTAACACTATTTCACCATGCGCTTGCAGTCCTCAGAGGCATTTGAGCATTGCTTGTATTTTAACTTGTGAGTCAACCTAAAGCAAAGTTAGTATTTATTGGAGATTCATTAGAAGCGTGACAGTATTATGTATAGTTTTACAGCATACTTAAGATTATGTGCAATCTCTTTTCTGAAACCCCTGGAGTTTGGTCGGTTTCAAAGGTCCTACAGTGTGTAGTACATTAAAATTCCCAGCAGTTTCTGAATAGCACTGTATATTATATGCATTAAATATTTTTATAGCATAACATGAATATTCTTACTAAAATCAGATAAATAAAGACTGTAAATAGCCTTATGTCTGTTTGGATCAGATTTTGCCACCAAGTGACTTGTGTTTTCAGAGCCTTTGGATGTAGAGATTGTGAATACAGGATTGTGGGCTGTACAAAACAGTTGTCTTTATTGAAATAATTGACGTGGTAACATCGTTCAAACCAAATCTGCCATAAAAGATAAAGATGAATAGACAAATTATTCTCTTTTATAAAGCTGCTTATTAAATCTTCTCTTTGAGGAGACTTTTGTTTTGAAAAGGCTTTGTTTAACCTGTTTGTTTATTTATAACTTTAGCTTCCTGGAGAAGAGCCCATTGGAAGAGTGGAACCAGTGGGTAATGCACCTTTGTTGGCATTAGTTCACAAGATGAACAACTGCCTCAGCCAGATGGAACAATTTCCAGTCAAAGTACATGATTTCCCTAGTGGAAATGGGACAGGAGGCAGGTAAGGACCATTGCCTGGCTATACCCTTGCCACTGGAATTTGGTACTTAATTTCACTGAAGTAAGATGGCAAGAGGTCTGGTAAAGTCTTGATTGGCCCAGAAAACATTCAGCTGTAATGATGAAAGAAATTAAGCACTCTAAAGAATGAATCAAATGCTTTCTTATCTTTAAAATTATACCATATGCCTTAAACAGGATGCTTTATAAATATATAATCCAGTGATTGTATTTGTAACTTGTAATAGGCTTAGTTTTCCTTAAATTGATACACTTCAGCATACAAAACTTCCTTAAGAACTTTATGTTTAACTTCAGTAGGGATAAAAAATTTTTTGTGGCTGTGAGTAATGTTTACATTTTGAGCGATATGATTTATATGTAATATTAGTGGCTATAACTTTGTATTTTGATGGGGTCAAATGTTTGAAGTTTTACTAGTTTAATAAATATATATATTTTTAATGTAGTTTTAAGGACTCTTGAGGTGCTACAGGAAAGAATTGTTCTATGTTGTGGAATGTTACAAGTTTCATGGAATATTTTGACCGGAGGCCTAGAAAATAGGAAATTTGTTTGGTTTTTATTTATTTATTTATTTATTTATTTATTTTGGGACAGAGTCTTACTTTGTTGCCCAAGCCAAATTACACTAGTGTGAACATGGCTCACTGCAGCCTTGACCTCCTGGCTGAAGAGATCTTTCTGCCTCAGCCTGCCACGTAGCTGGGGCCACAGGCATGTGCCACCATGTTCCATTAATTTTTTTATTTTTTGTAGAGACGGGGTCTCACTTTGTTGCCCAGGCTGGTCTCAAACTCTTGGGCCCAAGTGATCCTCCTGCCTTGGCCTCCCAAAGTGCTGGGATTTCTGAGCCACCACACTCAGCCTAGTTTGGTTTTTAAATCCACATTTTGACGTTTTAAAAACATTTAAAAAACTTTGTTTGAATTAAAAACCATATGCATTTTTGAGTGATAAAGCAATCACATCATGGACTAGGGTTTCTTTTCTGCTTTGAAATTTAATGTAGTGTGTGGTATTCAGTTTTGATCGTTATGATTTCCTGGAGGAGTTCATGAAATAAGGGGGCATTTTGACCTGTGCTTGAGAAAATCATGAAGCTTTTTGTGTCCAAATTTATATAAAATATGTTTGCATATGTATATATTCATAAAATGGAATATTCTCCACATCCCTATTTGTGTGCTTTATGTGCAGGAGGGTCCAATCTTTTGGCTTCCCTGGGCTATATTGGAAGATGAATTGTCTTGGGCCACATAAAATACACCAACACTAATGTTAGTTGATGAGCTTAAAAAAAAAAAACACTCATTGTATTTTAAGAAAGTTTACGAATTTATGTTGGCCTATATACAAAGCCATCTGGGCTGCATGTGGCCTGTGGGCCGCAGGTTGGACAAGCTTGCTTTGTGGAATCATACAGATAATCACAGTTTAAGTTTGTATCTGACTCCTGCCAGAGCTTTTCTGAAATGAGCAATTAAACATCATGACCAGGTTTCAACTGCAGTAGCTATTAAACCGCTTCGTTCAAAACTATTATAGCAAGGTAAATTTTAAAGGTTAGTTTTTAATGTAATATTGTAGCTGAAATCTTTGAAATAAAGAGTTTTTTTTTTCTTTTTAAAAAATATAATTCAATAGGAATGGGCAAAATATTGCAGAAGTGAGTGTGCTTAAATAGTTCAGGAATTTTTGTTCCAGAAAAATAATTAAATATTCATGGGTGAAGTATTTCTGCTCCCATGGATTTATGATGGGACAGAGATCAAATATTGACTTAAGGTTTTCATATGCATGCATACACATCCGTCTTTTATTTCTTACGTATAAAAATTTTTTCTAAATAACTTGAATTATTGGCTTTACCATTCACAGAACTGGTAAGTAAATGCTTAGTACTAGTGTGTCTTATGAAAATGCAGTTTGTATTAACTTGCCTTTATTTGAATTAATGTATATTAAATGTGAAAATAATAGACTAACTTTTTTTTCACAAATTATCTTGAGCTTTTCTCTCAACAGAGGATCACAGGCTTTAAAATTTTTCAACACACATCAATTAAAATGCCAGTTACAAAGGCATCCAGACTGTGCAAATGTGAAGCAGTGGAAGGGTGGACCTGTCAAGATTGACCCTCTGGCTTTGGTACAAGCCATCGAGAGATACCTTGTAGTTAGAGGTACTTTCCATATATTTGTTTCGTGTGTTATATATGTATATTTGGGAGAAATTTACATTAAGAGTTACATACATTATTTCTCTGTTTAATGTTGTTTCTGTTAAAAAATAGATGGCAGGAACTTATATTCCTGTCTTTTATTTTCTACTTAGTATATAGTCATACATTGAACTTACTAGGGGTTGACTGCTTCCTTGAATGTTGAGTTAATTTATCTTGGTGAAATGTAGTAGAAATGACATTTTGTGTTTGGCAATTTTCTTAGACCTTTCTGCTTCATAGATCAGAGTGTAATATATACAGGTTGAACATCCCTAACCTGAAAATCTAAAATGCAAAACGCTCCAGAATCTGAAACTTTGATTGTTGCCGTGAACATCGCAAGTGGAAGACTCCACACCTGACAACTTTGCTTTCTGATGGTTCAATGTACATACACTTTGTTTCATGCACAAAATTATTGAAAATACTGTATATCATTACCTTCACGCCATGTATATGAGATATAAATGAATTGCATATTTAGATTTGTATCCCATCCCCAAGGTATCTCATTATGTACATGCAAATATTCCAAATCTGAAAAAATTTGAAATCTAAAACACTTCTGGGCTCAAGCATTTCAGATAAGGGATACTCAACCTATATGTGTTTTCTAAGAATATGTTTAACCAGTGTGTATACAGGATTTTTTTTTTTTTACACCTAAAATCGCTAAGAGTTTAAAAGTCTACTTGGGTCTTCAGGGTATGGAAGAGTAAGAGAAGATGATGAAGACAGCGATGACGATGGATCAGATGAGGAAATAGATGAGTCTCTGGTAAGGTACTATATTCCCACCATGTATAATGTACTATATAAAGTTCAGGGCCTTTGGCTTAAATGGCTTTTGCTTTGCTTTATTCAGGCTGCTCAGTTCCTAAATTCAGGAAATGTAAGACACAGGCTGCAGTTTTATATTGGAGAACATTTGCTGCCGTATAACATGACTGTGTATCAGGCAGTACGGCAGTTTAGTATACAGGCTGAAGATGAAAGAGAATCCACAGATGATGAGAGCAATCCTCTAGGCAGAGCTGGTATTTGGACAAAGACTCATACAATATGGCAAGTCTGAAAATTCTTTCTTTTGTTTTTTCATAAACTTTGAAACTGTTCTTGTGTTTTAGAATTCACATTAACTTAATGGCTGGCTTTCATAAGGATAGGGGGCCCTAAATCACACATTTTAGTTCTGAAAGACGATTTCAAATATTTGATAAGGTGCATATGTATATGTAGCCTCCTCATTCATTCTACCGGAAAATGTATATCCATGGACAGTAATCATGGTTTACATCTGCTTTTCTAGATTTATTTCAGGTCTTTAATTAAGACAAAAATGTTGCCATAAGATATTAGGTAATCTGAAGTTGGGCATCTCTGAGTCCTTAAGAGGGATTTGGATGCAGCTTCCTGCATTGTCTGTGAGTGTCTGCTACATATGCTTGAAGAGAGCCATTCTTCCCAGAACCACCCTTGGAGTTTCTGAGGCAGCCCCTCCTGGGAAGGTGGTCTCTAGGTGATCTCTTCTAAGAAGTTCTCCAGATTCACACTAGGGAGAGAGAGGAGAATAGATCTCAGAACAGTCTTCTGGTAACTGTGGTGTCTGTGGCTTAGATTTTGGCTTTGTATCAGTTTCAAAATCTACATTTGGTTTATATACTGTCTTGTCATTTTAGGTATAAACCTGTGAGAGAGGATGAAGAAAGTAATAAAGATTGTGTTGGTGGTAAAAGAGGAAGAGCCCAAACAGCTCCAACGAAAACTTCCCCTAGAAATGCAAAAAAGCATGATGAGTTATGGCACGGTAAGATGGTAGATAAAGGGGAAAATGGATTGCCAACTGGGCAATCTTCCCATTTTCATGATTTTCAAAGAGTGATTTGGATTTAGTAGTAAAATTTTTGAATATAGTTGAGAAATAAATGACATTACAAACAGTTTGATCACATTTAATCCTCAACTTTAATATCTAGAAAATGAAAAATTAAGTACCTACAAAATTAAATTGGGAAGGAAAATTGGGAAAAAAACTTATTCCCAGTTCATATAAGAGTTCAGGTTTTTATGAAGGTTGAAACAAATTTCATTGGTAGAACATGTTCACTAAACAAGAGACTGAAGGTAGTGATAATTGGCCAATTGGCCCCTAATTTTTTATTTGTCACCCATGACAGTAGTACAATTATAGTAATTATAAAAAGTGATGCCAGGTAATGTAATGACCATCGAATATAACCGTCACTTTCTAATAGACTTATTTTCCTCTGTAATACTTCCTTCCTGTCTATAGTTTTCCTCTCTTCCCCCACGTCTTCCCTTTAAAAATACGATACTAACAGTGCCTTAGAGTTAGACAATATTATTGTTCCATGGAGGACACCCCCCCCTCCCCCTGCTCCCTGCCCCCTGCCGCCACCACAGTAATTTTCACACTGGTTTCCCTGGTCCACAGAAAAGGGCCCTGTAGCACTTTTTTTTCACAAAACTAAGTTTGTTCGATATAAAAGGCTCTTAGTTTTGAGATTGTTATGTTTTTGGTGTTAAACATGCTGTTTTCTATTATGAAATGATGGTGGTATGATTTTTTATTATTTTGCTTGCTATAAGTAAATGGCAACTGTTTCAATCCCTCAGATTTATTTTTTTGATGCCTTTACTTAATGCAGTCTAATAACAAAGGATTTGCAGACCCTTACTTGAAAACCCTCACAATCTGTTCAGTCCTAAGCCTTGCATTAAATAACCAAGTCTCTTTTACCAGATTTTTAATTTTGAGGTATTCATCTAGTTATAAACTGGATATGAAAGATCTGGGAAATTTCTGTAACAGTGAACTTAAATTTAAACAGTTTGTTTTTATTCCTCCAGCCATTTTACTGTTTGCCATTGTTTCTGGTATAAAGGAGAAATGTGGAGGAGTCAGCTTTCCTGCATTATAATGTTTATTTGTGTATGGGAGGGAAAAGTGAAATTTTTATAAGCCAAGGCACTTTATATATAAGATAAAATGGGAAGATTGTCAAACTTATCAATACCCTACTAATAAGATTCCAAGCGTTGACTATAACAACTTCTGTTACTCTTTTAGCGATGATAGGACCTTGGCTGCACTGGCTTAGCCTTTCTAACTTTGATCAAAACTTACTTTGATCTTTTGTCCTTTAGATGGAGTGTGCCCATCAGTATCAAATCCTTTAGAAGTTTACCTCATTCCCACACCACCTGAAAATATAACATTTGAAGACCCGTCATTAGATGTGATCCTTCTTTTAAGAGTTTTACATGCTATCAGTCGATACTGGTATTACTTGTATGATGTGAGTAATGTTGCCTATTTATGAAGTTTTCATGGTCTGTGATTGATAAATTTCCTATTGCACTAGAAATGGAAACAGTGATTCAGCTAAATGCAGGGCTCCTAGCCCAGTAAAGTACAATGTACTCATCAGTGGAAACTTCTCCCCCACTTTTTTTTCTCCTGGCCCACAGTCTTAGATTAATTCTCTTGGCAGATTTGTAAAATTCTCTCTAGGAATAAATTTATGAAATTAAGCTACAATATGAAACTTGAACATGGATTTATTATAGTTAAAATTCTTTAGGTACATGTAACCAGAAGTTTATATATCAAGTAAAAGTTGGGTGAAAGTTGCATGCTGCCTTTGATATTTATATAGCATAGAGAAGAGTAAAGGAATTGGCCCTGCATGAAACATTAGCTGCAACATCACTGAATGACTGAGCCAGCAGCAGTGGCTGGGCGGGGTGCGCAGCAGTGGCAAGGGGTATGTGTGAGGGCTTAACAGTGTATTGTGGGAATTGTTGTTTTAGTTGGGACACAGTAATGAGAGGCTGTGTGTTGTATGTTGGAAACCAACACGTGAATTCAGGGTACTTTGCATGGACTTGGGGATAATGGAAGAGATTGTGAATATAATCCTAATATTTTACTACATGTAGACTTTTTTTTTTTTAAACATTTTACAGAATGCAATGTGCAAGGAAATTATTCCAACTAGTGAATTTATTAACAGTAAGTTAACAGCAAAAGCAAATAGGCAACTTCAAGATCCTTTAGTAATCATGACAGGAAACATCCCAACATGGCTTACTGAGCTAGGAAAAACCTGGTAAGACAATCACTTCTGTAATGGTGGCCTTGGAAATGTTACTGGGTTGGTCTTGATGTATTTTGTTACAGAAACATTGTCTTTACTGGACCTAGTCAAATGTTTATTAATACTGTTGATCACAACTTGCTTAATTGTGTGGCTTTAGCATGTAAACAGACTAGGCAAGTTTGGGGGCTGGATCTTCTTGGTAGTATGTGTCTATGTATGAAACAGGAAAGTACACATAGCAGTTTGGCTGAGGATAGTCAAAATTATCTGCTGTCATGGAATTGGATTCCAAAGGTGTAGTTGCTTGATTCTCTGAGCCTGCTTGGGTCAGGGACTCTAGAACTGCAGTGATAAATGTAAGCCACTGGCCATATACATTTAAATCGGCAGTCCCCAACTCTTTTTGGCACCAGGGACCAGTTTCATGGAAGACAGTTTTTTCCACAGACATGGACTGGGAGATAGGGCTGGTTTCAGGATGATTCAAGTGCCTCATGAAGGTGGTGGTCATATTTTAAAAATGAGCTTTCATTAGTTATGTTATACTTCCTTCAGGTAGATTAAAGATGATCTATCGACTTAAGTGTAGGATTTTAAAAATTAAATATCAGATTCTGCATTGAAAGGCTACTTAATGCACTATTACTTGATCACTTAGAAATTTCATATAAGAAGTATGAAAATTCTTAAAAATTAATTGACCTGGCTGGACGTGGTGGCTCACATCTATAATCCCAGCACTTTGGGAGGCCAAGACAAGTGGATCACCTGAGGTCAGGAGTTAAAGACCAGCCTGGCCAACATGGTGAAACCCCGTCTCTACTAAAAATACAAAAATTAGCCAGTTGTGGTGTCAGGAGCCTGTAATCCCAGCTACTTGGGAGGCTGAGGCAGGAGAATTGCAAGAGCCCGGGAGGTGGCGGTTGCAGTGTGCCTAGATCACACCACTGCACTCCAGCCTGGGCGACAGGAGCAAGGACTCCATCTCAAAATAAATAAATAAATTGACCTAAACAATTTTTACTGATTTTATTTACAATTTTCTATATCATATCAAAAGTTGTTTCTAATATAAGTTTGGATTTTTTTTTTAGTAGTTTCTGATTCTCATCCAGATAATAAACTTACATTGCATCTTTTTACAGCCCATTTTTCTTTCCTTTTGATACCCGGCAAATGCTTTTTTATGTAACTGCATTTGATCGGGACCGAGCAATGCAAAGATTACTTGATACCAACCCAGAAATCAACCAGTCTGATTCTCAAGATAGCAGAGTTGCACCTAGATTGGATAGAAAAAAAGTAAGTTTCTCCCCAAAATCTTTAAATAATCTGAGCTTTTCAAAATAATGGGAAAAACTAGAAATGTAGTATATCTAAATATGCATGTTGGTCTTGGAGGCCTTGGTCATATTCAGCTAGCCCTATTTTCCTTTCAGTCTCTTGGAACTGGGCTGTGATTCTTCCTTATTCTTCATTAAGAGTTTCTCTCCTCCCCACCCCCCAGTTTCTGAAATAATTTCTACAATTCTCTTTTCTCTTTTAGTTGCCGTAACTCTTAGACCAAGAAAGAATCTTGTCTTCTCTCACTGAAACTTTTTTCATTCTAAATTAGGAGTTCAAACTATCTCCTGCCTTTAAAAATTGATCCCTTATGTAATAGTTGGAATTAATCAGATCCATTTCATTCCCTTAACAAGTCACTCCAATTAGAAGAGCCTGAAACAAAATCCTTTATATGTTTTGAGTCTCTTATACCAGTTAGCTCCAGTATTGCTAACTTAATCTGTGTTTCTAATCTTGGCTCCACATTTGTGGCTCTGAACCACGGGGCCCTGAGCCATTTCCAGTGGAGACCGATTCTACAGTTCTCACCAGCACTGTTTTTACTTAGGTCTTTTCTGTTCATTTACCTGTTTTTTTCCGCTAGGGATTTAAGTTTCTTTTCCTAAAGCCTTTATCTCCAAAAGTTTCATAAGAGACATTAGTAATAAAATAAAGGAGTTAGATGGATGGCAGGGAGTGAAGTGTATACTGAAAAGCAAAACAAAACATAAAGCAAACATTGTAGTTAAAAAAATCTTCTTGGGCCCGGTGTGTGGTGGCTCCTGCCTGTAATCCCAGCACTTTGGGAGGCCGAGGCGGGCGGATCATGAGGTCAGGAGATCGAGACCATCCTGGCCAACATGGTGAAACCCCATCTCTACTAAAAATACAAAAAAAAAAAAAAAAAAAAAAAAAATTATCTGGGCGTGGTGGCGCATGCCTGTAATCCCAGCTACTTGGGAGGCTGAGGCAAGAGAATCACTTAAACCAGGGAGTTGGAGGTTGCGGTGAGCTGAGATTGCGCCACTGCATTCCAGCCTGGCAACAGAGCGAGACGCCACCTAAAAAAAAAAAAAAAAAAAAAGTCATCCTATTCGTATCTTTATTAGGATTCCATAAGCACTGATATTGGCATAAATTAGAAATCTAGCAGGACCTTTTAAAATCTCATTTGCAGGTGTTTGTAGTAGTGCTTGTAGGATCTTGGCAGATCAGAGCCAGTAGGTTTCCAGCTCACCTGTTTGACCTGTCACCTCCATATCTATTTCTCTATCTAAATATAAATGTACCCAGGGAAATTTCATGAAACTGCAGCCCTGAGAATTGCACTGATATTTGGCAAAGACGATTTTTTTCTTCCCCAACTTGAATTTTCTGAACTTGCCATGGCCACAAGATAAATTAGTAATTACTCTTGCATCTGATTTCCTTAATGTATGCCAGGGTGCTGTTGATATTTGTAGCAATACAGCTACCTCTTAACCTTTTCTGAGTTACCTGTTTAAGGAAATAAGTGTTAACAATTGAGTTGATCTTGTTCTTTTGCATTTCAAGAAATGCCACCTGTTTATTAAAGTGTAATATGGGTAGAGCATAGTTTCCTGACAGTTGTACTTTCTTTGTAGCGTACTGTGAACCGAGAGGAGCTGCTGAAACAGGCGGAGTCTGTGATGCAGGACCTCGGCAGCTCACGGGCCATGTTAGAAATCCAGTATGAAAATGAGGTGAGCTTGGAGTCTGGTGATGGTTATTTAGCTTGACTTGTGCTCTTAATTAAATGTTATTTGAGTTTCTTGGTACTATGAAATTCTGAAAGACAGTTGGGAGACTTTGCTCTCTTTTCTCTTGAATGATTTGTTCTAAGTTCTCCATTTTTCAAAGGTTCAACTAAATAATAAAAGGCAGTTTTTTTCCTGGCGTAAGAACACATTTGTGTTGTTAGTCTTTAAGTTGATAAATTGAAAGGATATTTTAAACAGCTGATAACTTTCAAAATGTTTGAATTGCCTTTTTTAAAAAATCAGGTTTACTGAGATATAAATAATAACTGCATACTTCAAAAATGTAGTTTTGTAGTTTTAAGGGTTGACAGATGCAATTTGTTACCACTTTCACGTCAAGATAAAGAATACTCTGATCACCACAAAAAGTGCCCCCATTTCACTTTGCAAAATCAGTCATTCTATCCCCTACCCCATCCTCAGCCCTTGATAAACATTGATGTGTTTTCTGTCCCTGTAATTTTGTCTTTTTTACAATATCATAAATGGAGTCATGCAGTATGTAGCCTTTGTCATTCTTCTTTCACTTAGCATAATGCTTTTGAGATTCATCCATGTTGCATGTGTCAATTTGTTTCCTATTATGGAGTAGTTCCATTATATGAACTATATATTGAGTATTCCATTATATGGGTGCACCAAAGTATGTTTAACAATCACCAGTTGATTCACATTTGGGTTGTTTCCAGTTTTTGACTATTTTGAGTAACATTGCTGTGAACATTTGTATTCATTTCCTTGTGGAGACACATGTTTTTACTTCTTTGGGTAAATGCCTCAGAACTAAATTGCTAAGTCATTTGGTAAGATAGAGATATGTTTTTATTTTGTTAGAGATACAAAACTTTTCCAAAGTGGCTGTCACATTTTACATTCCCACCAGTAACGTATATATGCGAGTTCAATTGCTTCTCATACTCACAACACTTGGTATTGTTTTAGTTATTCTAGTGGATGTATAGCGGCATATTATGGTGGTTTTAATTTTTATTTCCCTCATGATTGATAATGTGACCTTTTCATTGCTTATTGGTCATTCATGTATTTTCTTTGGAGAAGTATTCAAGAATTTTGGCCATTATTTTCTTCCAGTTTGTGGCTTATCTTTTCATTTATTTATAAAATGTCTTTGGAAGAGCAGAAATTTTCAGTTTTGATGAAATCCATTTATCTTTTTTTTTTTTTTCTTGTTTGTGCTTTTTGCATCCTAAGAAATCTTTCTCTAAACCATGGTCTCAGATTTTTCTTATATTTGTTTTTCTAGAAGTTTTATAGTTTTGGCTTTTCATCTGTGATTCATTTTAAGTTAATTTATATATATATATATTAATTACAGTTTGAAGTTCTTTCAGACATAGGCTATTCAGATTTTTTTGCACTATCTGCTGAAAAGACCGTTCTTTTTCCTATTTAATTACCTTGACCCCTTTGTGGGAAACTGGTTGATTGTGATGTCTGGATCTCTTTCTAGATTTTTTTTCTGTTATTATTCTATACTGTGTTGATCACCATAGCTTTATAGTAAGTCATAATCAGGTAGTATAAGTCCTCCTTTTTTTTTTTTTCTTTTCTCTCTCTTTTTTTTTTTTGAGACGGAGTTTTGCTCTTGTTGCCCAGGCTGGAGTGCAATGGCACAATCTCAGCTCACTGCAACCTCTGCCTCCTGGGTTCAAGTGATTCTCCTGCCTCAGCCTCCAGAGTAGCTGGGATTACAGGCATGCGCCACCACGCCCAGCTAATTTTGTATTTTTAGTAGAGACAGGGTTTCTGCATGTTGGTCAGGCTGGTCTCGAACTCCTGACCTCAGGTGATCCACCCACCTCAGCCCCCCAAAGTGCTGGGATTACAGGCATGAGCCACCGTGCCTGGCCTTTTTTTTTTTTTTTTTTAAAAGATGGTTTGGTTATTTTCAACTTTTATTTCATGTGAATTTTAGAATCAGCCTGCCAGTGTCTACAAAAAGTTTGACAGGATTTTGATTCGGATTTCTTTCAATTTAGATCAGTTTGGAGAGAATTGACATGTTTACAGCATTGTGTCTTCTGATCCATGAATGTGGTGTACACTTATCTGAATCTTTAATTTTTCATTATTTACATCTAGAGGTCTTTCTTGCACATATTTTGTTTCGCTCCAAATGTTTTGTGGTTTTTTGATGAAGCTGAAAATGATACTGTTCTTTCATTTTCAGTTGTTTGTTGGTTTCTAGAAATACAGTTCGTTTTTGTATCATAACCTTGTTTTCTGTGACCTTCATAAACTTAAAACTTGTTAATAAATCACTTACGATTATTGTAGACCCATGGCTTGGGAAAACTTTCTGTGAAGGACCAGATAGTAAATATTTCAGGTTTTGTGGGTCACATGGTCTCCATCACAACTACTCACTTCTACCTTTGTAGTGTGAAAGTGGCAATAGACACTGAATGAGCATGGCTGTGTTCCAGTGAACCTTTATAGTCACAGAAATGTAAAGTTCATGTGATTTTCACATGTTGTGAAATACTATTCAAATTATTTTTAATCGCTTAAAATTGATACAAGTTATTCCTAGCTTGCAGAAAGTACAAAAACAGACCCTGGGGCTGGAGCTGTAGTTTGGCCCGCCAGTTGTATAGCTTGCTGCCTTGTGTCATAGACATTTATATCATCCGTGAATAAAATGAAACTTCTCTTCTAGTCTTTGTCTTTTCTTTCTTTTCAGATACTTTTAAACAAGCAAAGTCTCTTGGGATACTTCCCCCCTCTTCTTTCACCTAATTTTTTTGTTTTAAGACAAAACTTAGAGTTTTGGGGCTTCCCTGAACCTCTTAATGGAGGTTCTGCCCCTCAGCTTTCTTATCTGTAAAATGTAGGTAATAATAGTATAACCTCAAAGTTGTGACTGAGTTCATGAACTGAGTACATGAACTGGCTCATGGTAAGTATCATAGATTTAGCAGTTTAGTGTGTGATACTACCTGTGCCTATTTAAGTAATTTTAATCATGACTTTGATTTTTCATTCATTTTATTAAGCATTTTCTCCTTCTTGATGACTTTTAAAAAGCTAAGAGTATTCAGTCACCAAAGGTAAAATTATAAGTTGTTGTGTACTGGAAAGTATACTGCATGCTAGGGTTCCAGGTTATGGCAGAGTCTCTGCACTCAAAAGATTACAGTGTAGTTAGGGAGACACAGGACAAAGGTACCAAAGAGTGTGGCAAGGTAGTGGTACAGGTGCCAACTGAATGACGCATTCAGACAAGGAGTGCTGTCCTCAAGATGTCTTGAGTTAGACCTTAGTGAAAGAGAACAGGAAGATTGAGGAACCATTTTCTAGTAGGAGATGGGGCCTGAGCAAAGGGTCAGGCTTGGTGGTGAGTGGCAGAAGTTAGTACTGCTGTAGAAGTGTTGGGAGAAGGGGGATAGAAAGGAGGAGGCCAGATGGAGTGGAGGCCCTGGACTGCTGGCATAAGAGATACGGATTTTTTGAATCTAGCTTGATCATGGCTGTTGCTCAGAGGATGCGATTCTTATATGTTGGTGCATCCAAATTTGTTACTTATGAGACTGCAGGACCTTTGCTCTAACCATTTGGTATGTTTTTAGTCTCTTTAAACGTACATTCCACTTTCTTCAGCATATTTTTCTCTTGCCAGGAAATATCTTTCCTCTCTCATCCCTCATGGTTCTGTTAAAATTGCATCTTGCGTGAAACCTAAACAAGCTCAAAATGTCTTCACACAGGTTGTTCTAAGGAGCAGGATTGGATTGCTAATGTAAGGTCAAGATTTTATGCCCTTCCTTCATGGGTCTTACCTGTTGACCTCGGAAAAGATTCCAGGAGCTGCTTCACTGGGGAAGGGGAAAGTACCTCCACCCCTACCTCACAAGCACTGACTTTGTGAGATGCATAGGGCTTCAGGTTATGATTCAAATTCAGCTGTACATGTCAGCTGGTGGCCTTTAGGAAGAATTTCTAACTAGCTCTAGAAGAATCCCAGTGAAAATGTCAGGTCACAGTGTGGGCTCCTATTTGAATTGGGATGATTGGTAAGCCAGGGAAGGATTATACCAGTCTTTGGGCTCACAAGCCACCCAAACCCCCAGGATTAGGGTTACAAATGACCCAGTGACCCAGTATCCTTTTGGGAATGTGGAAGATCAGGAGCAGGGAATGTGGAGCCTGGCCTGCCCACTTACTGGCTATGTGATTTTGGGCAAGTTAACATAAACTCATCAGTGTCCTCTCAGCCCTTTACATAATTAGTGCAGCTGCCTCCTCATGTTGTTAGAATGATAAAATGAGCTGCAATGTGTGAAACACTCAGACCATTGTCACATAATAAGTGCCAGTATGTGTTAGTTTTGAGAGAAAAAGATTCCATTTTAAGTCAAGTTGTCAAACTTTTGTTTTTCTGTTTCTGGGGTTTTATGCTTTCCTTTCCTTTAAAAAGAAAAATGAAGCTCAACCAAGTACCTACACTTTTAGTGGTGTAGTTGGGTAGAATGATAATCCCTGAAGAGATCAGGTTACTCTGTGGGGGTGCTGGCCACCCCCAGGTTGTATCAGCAAAGCAAACATGACCTGGGCCTTCCACCTTCTGCAGAGGCTCACAGAGGAAGTGCTTTTAGTGATTTAATATTTTAAGAATCCTTTTAGAAACAACAGCATTGGATGAAGGAAATAGACTAATTTGATCTGTGACTTCTGTTGAACCTGGGATAATGTTATGCCAAAAGGAGAATTGACTAGCACCATCTAGTGGATACCATGTGTTACTGCAGGTTTTTCTTTGCTTCTCTTTTGTTCCTCAGGCCTCTAGTGCTTGGGATTCAGTGCAGAACAGAATATACAAAGTACTCCCACCCCCATGATGGAGCTTATCTTTTAGTTTGGGGAGGCCAATACATACACACACATTCATGTACACATATATGTTAGGCCATGTGGAAGAAAAGTAAAAATAAGAGGATGAAGCATTATGGGGATGCGTAGGGCAGTCTGAGGACATTTGAGTGGAGGCAAGTCATTGCGTCTGGGGGAAGAGTATCTCTAGCACAAGAACAGAGAAGCAGTGTTCCTAGCCTGTTGGAGGATGAGTGTGGCTCGAGCATAGAGAGCAAGGGCAGAGTAGTAGGAGTCAGAGAGACTGAGCAGGGTGGGCAGAGGGGTCATGTAGGCCGTGGTAAGAACTGGAGCTGTGCTTTGAATGAGATGGAAAACCTTTGGAAAGTAGCAAAGGGATGCCGCGAACTTGTGTTTTGTAAGGATTACGCTTGCTCCTGTGAGAATGGGATACAAGATGTCGGGAATGCTAGTGCAGAGACCATCTAGGAGGCTTTAGCAGTGGACCAGATGACAGAGAATGGCAGCTGGGTAAAGTTGGTAATTAGTTTAGAATGCATTTTGAAGGCAGCGCTTATTGTATTTACTCTGATGGATTGGATTATGCGAGTTTAAAGAATGGCCAAGGACGGCTCTAAGGATTTGGTGGGATTATTCATTTTGGGTTTAATGGTGATACCATTTACTGGTGTGGAATTCTAATAGGATTGGGGTTAATCAGGAAAGCACCACTAGGCCCAAGCAGATCTCTGTTTTGAGAGAGTTAAACGTTTAGTGGACTACCTCTAAACTTTTAAGCTAGTGTGGGTAATTTTTAAGAGTAACTGTAATAATGCTAAAATAGTACCCTTTGTTTACAAGTAATCTATAAATGTTGCCTTCTTGACAGGGTTACAGTTAGACTTAGAGTATAACCTGTGATATGAACTTGTCACTACCTGCATATCTTTGTTTATGGTCTGATCTGGCGGGACCTTGACAGATCGTGAAGGAAGGAGCAAGCTATGAACACTGCTTCAGGCATGTCCACATCAGGTGTCTCATGGAGGAGTAGTTTCACTTTAGGCTGCACAGTCACCTTCAGAACTTGTTTAATAATACCAGTGCCCAGGCTCTAAGCTGTACCTGCCAGATCAGAATCTTCAGGACGTGGCACCCCTATATGTGCATGTTGATAAAGCTCTGGGGATTCCAGTGCACCCTGGGAGTTGAGAAGCATTGGTGTCCTGTATGAGGCCGTTAGTCCTTTCTGTGCTGGTGTGGAATCAGACCTTCCATTATTTGTATTTTATTCGACATATCTCTATTAAATGGCTACTGTGTGTCAGGTACTATCAGAGATAACAGGATGACCAAAATAGTTATCATCCTGTGAAATATGCAAGCATATACTGAAATTGTGGTAAAGTCATGTAGTAAGTATTTAAGTAGCTGAAAAATAAGCCCCAAGAAAAAAGGAACAGACTAACTGTTGGGAGCAGATGCTGGGGGGAGCCTTCCCCTTGAGAGGGTGACATTTGAGCTGGTTTTGGGGTAACAGTTCACTAAAGAGAAAAAGGGGAAAGACATCCATATGCAGACAATGCCATATTGTTCCTGAAGGAAAGATATGTAGCCACAGTGGCACTTCTGTGAGTACAACCTGAAATTGTTCAACTGACATGTTGGGGCCTTAGCGGCTAGGAAATAATAAAGAGTTGCTAGTTTTTGTTTCAGGTGACCAGGACTGAAAGAATAAATCCAGCCAGGACATTTTGGAAAATAATCTCTAATGCATCCTGGTAAACAGTTGCTGTTAGTGTGCACATTTCCAAGAGGTTGGCAGTAAAAAAACACAATTCTTAAAATTTGAAATCGTTCTACTTGTGTTCTTCTGTAGGTTGGTACAGGTCTTGGGCCTACACTGGAGTTTTATGCGCTTGTATCTCAGGAACTACAGAGAGCTGACTTGGGTCTTTGGAGAGGTGAAGAAGTAACTCTTAGCAATCCAAAAGGTAATGCCTATCTGTAAGTTAGTTGGTTTGTGTTACTCAGATCAGGTAATGGACTCTGACAGTTTATTAGACATATTTAATTTCTAATGGACAGCTGTACTTGCTTTCTTTTAGCCTCTGTTTTCTCATTTATCAAATAGGGAAGGCCTGTCCAGTTCTAGAGGACTTCATTCAGTGATCTGCACTCCAATTTTGAGAATGCTTAATTTCTTAAATGTTCTTAGTTACCAGGTTTTGTTTTGTTTTTGGAAACATCATCTGAAGTTTGCTGCATTGCTTGTTTTTCAGGGAGCCAAGAAGGGACCAAGTATATTCAAAACCTCCAGGGCCTGTTTGCGCTTCCCTTTGGTAGGACAGCAAAGCCAGCTCATATCGCAAAGGTTAAGATGAAGTTTCGCTTCTTAGGAAAATTAATGGCCAAGGCTATCATGGATTTCAGATTGGTAAGTTTAGGATGGTTTGCTTTTTGCAGTTTTGGTGTAGAATGTTCTGTGCAAGTACCTCAGTCCCCTGTAGTTTACTGCTATAGTTTAGAGCAATGCTTCTCAAACTTCAATACACATATGAATTACTTGGGGATTTTGTTAAAAATGCCGGTTCTGATTCAGTAGGGCAGGGGTAAGACTGTCCTACTGTCCAAGATTCTAAATTTTCCTGTCAGCTCCCAGGGCATGCCCGATTGCCAGGTTGTGGACCCCTCCTTGGATAGCAAGGGTTCAGATAATCAGGCAAGTTAAGGTGGTATTAATTATTTATTTTTTAAAGTCTGACATTACCTTTTTAATTCAGTAGGAAAGTTTGTGCATGTAACTAAACTTCATTAAATTTACATTAGAGTGCTGTTGTGAAAATAACCCGAGTGATCAGTATTCATAGAGGTTGGAATGTTTCTGGACATTTCTTCATTTCTTTTTCTCTTGAACTTCTGGCCTCAAGCAGTCCTCTCACATTGGCCTCCCACAGCACTGGAATTACAGGCATGAGCCACCGTGCTCTTCTCATGTTTTCGGAGGCACTTTATCAGTATGTTTAAGACATTTTCACCTGTGGCCAAATTGACAAGTTTACAATTTCACTTTAACTGAAGAGTGGGCAGTTTATCAGTTATTTTAGAAGTTCCATTTAGTTTTCTATTTTAAATATAGTAAGTTTTTTCCCTTAACATTTTTTGCATTGGGATATTCAGTAATACAGACTACAGTGGAAATGCATTTAGAGCCCCAAATCAAGAGAATCAATTTTGTGTAGTGGGAGAAATAGTTTGTAACTACAGAATTTTCTTTCTTGGGGATTACTTGACCTATTAATATTTAAATGATCTCCTGAAGTGCCTTAGATGGAGGTAATGCTGGAAGTTCAGTGTGACAGTGAAAATATTATGCATATTCCATTTCAGGTGGACCTTCCCCTTGGCTTACCCTTTTATAAATGGATGCTACGGCAAGAAACTTCACTGACATCACACGATTTGTTTGACATCGACCCAGTTGTAGCCAGATCAGTTTATCACCTAGAAGACATTGTCAGACAGAAGAAAAGACTTGAACAAGATAAATCCCAGGTAGGCTTAGAAGAAACAGTCCAGTAGATCAAGTCTTTATTTTAGAAAAATGAGGCTTTTGTTAAATAGTTTGTATTTGACTCAGTTGTTATATTAATGTTTTATTTTAGAAGATTTTAATTCTTTTATTGTACTAACTAAGACATATGATTTCACAGTGGGTCACATGACCTATACTCACAGCAGGCTATAAACATCTTGATTAGCAAATACAATTCTAAATCAAACCATAAATAAGGACTCCTTTCAATTAAATTTTAGATGGACATATTATGTATCTGGGCAGACATTATATCATCTTTTAGCATTTGAGTCAGTAAAACTATTCTCAGAACAGATTTATTTTCAAAAAAGGTAGCTTAATTTAGGAACAGTCTTGTTTCTAGAGATCTCAGGAAGATATTTTTTAAAGGTCACCATGAGTGCCAACAACTATTCCTTGGTAATACATTTTGAGGTTTCTCTGTGACATCTCATAGATAACCTTGAACTTCATATCATTACTGTATAATTTTAATGTATATAATTAACAATAGATAAATTATTTAACTCAATCTGAGATTAATAATGGTTCTGTATCTGCTATTAGAAGAAAACAAGATTCTATTTTTTTGTGGCACAGACCCAAAAAGCTTGTTTGGGCTGGTAACATGGACCAATATTAATCAACTCTCATTTTATAAATTAAGTAAGAATAGCAAGTTAAGATTCTGTAGTGAGGGAGAGTGTCACCTCTCCTGATGAGTTGGAGAGGATCTTATGGTAGAGGGATAGGATTTTAGAGTGTCTTTTTATTAGAAGATTTGTAAGATTCACTTTATCTCCCATACTAATTTGTAATTATTTGGTGCTGTTTGAAAAAGTAAGTCTGTTAAGAGAAATTGGTATTCAAAGAGGCTAAGTCCACCTTTTCTGTACAGAATTTGTCATTTTAGAATTTTTAGAACCATTTTGATTTTCCCTTCACAACTTGGTAAGTTTTAAACTATTACAGTGTTGTTTAGGATTATCTCTTAGGTAAATAATGGAAAAACAAAAAAAGGAGAAACAAAAAAGCAAGTAAAACAGGAGGCTCTGTTTTAGATAGCATATATATGTTAATTTATTTAATCCCAACAACTACCATATGAGATTGGGGTATTGTTGTTACCTCTATTTTACTGGTGAGCAAACCAGGGCAGACAGATTGAGCAACCTGCCTAAGGTCACACACCTAGAGAACACAGAGTAGGAACTCAAACCCAGGCTGTCTGCATGCTTCCACACCATGCAAGCTCTGTGATATATGCTTGTCTCAAATGCAGTATGCCGCCACAGTTCTCTTGTCAGTAGTTTTTTTGTTTGTTTGTTTTTTTGAGATTTGTTCTATCCTTTATTGTTCCTGATGCTGTCAGTTTAAAAATATAAAATGAGTGGCACAGAATCCACACTCCAGAAATTGACTTATTATAATAACCAACTGTGAACAAGAGCATGAGAAATGGTGACATTCTGAAAAACCACATCCTGTTTCTTTAATAAAGTATATATACAGATGGGGGCAAGTTGTCCTGGCTCAGATTCTACTGGGTAGCTTAAATTCTCTAAAGAAATATGGAAAATGTGCTAGAATTTACAATGTCCTAGAGATGTTTAAAGGGAATTTACGTTAGTTTCTCGACTTAATATATAAAATCTAGAGAAACTAATGTAAATTCCTTTTAAACATCTCTAGGACATTGTAAATTCTAGATTCCTATCTAATAACAACACTTTGTAATGCACATCTTTAGAAATAAGATATTTCCTTGGTAGCTATGAGAGAAGACTTTCCAGTGGTGTAATAGTAATCACCTTGATCTGTGACAGGGAGTCACAGAGGATAGTTTTGAGAGCTTACCAGTGGGGGGAACATGAAAATGGAGAACTTTCTTTTTTTTTTTTTTTTTAAATCTTTGTGCTGAAGAATACTTCAAATGTAAAATAAAATGCCTCCCTTTGGAGGTCTTCAAATGACACCTAAAATGGAGAGAGGCTTAAAAGTGGGTTTTTGCAGAGAAGTAAAAATGGACATAATTCTGTGACCATTTACTTTCAATAATCTGCCACCTCATTGATATTCTGAATTATTTAGAATCCTAAACAGCATTTAGTTTGCTCTTTAAAAAATGACTAATTAATTAATCAGAACATTCTAACTGTTTCTAGTTTAAATGACTAATTTTCTGTACCTTAATTGTTACCCTATAGGAATTTCATACACGGAGGCATTTCCAGTTTGGAAAGCCATTTGTCTTCTTTCTCCTAACTTGTTGTCTTCAGTTTTAGATGGAATTTGCATTTTTGCATGTTGGTTTTTGATCCTTAAGTTTAAAAAAATTTACATGGGCCTTTCATAATCTTAGACATTTTTTAAAAAGTGAGTAATAAAGACTTCTTAACGTTTGTCTTATAAAGTATTGCTTGCCTTTTCTTAGGGATTTCTTGGAACTTTTTTTTTTTTTTTAGATCACAGTGTTGCTGCATAGATACAAACTTGTTATGCATCAGAGGCCTGAAGTAGTTGAATGAAGTCTCTCCAGGCTTCATTCTGTAGACTTGAGCTTTGCAGGGGTAGAAAGTTAATCACTATCACTAGATAGTATGTTTTTTATATTTACGATTTCCCAACTGTATTATTAGTATTGGCTGTATACTTATACAGTATTGGATTCAAAATTAGCCTAGAATTTATGAAAAGTTTGTCTAGTTCTAGGGTCCACATTCTTAAAATTAACTAATATGCAACCTATTATGCACTTACTGTGAAATTTGATTTGCATATGCTTAAACTGAGCAGCAGCATCTCATAATGAAGAAGCACTTCAGCTCTCTTTTCTTATGCTTACTTCCTTTGTAATCTCAGTGACTCTTTCATATGTAGATTATGACCAGGAAAAAAATAAAGAGGCTAAGAGTTGAACCCATCAGCTTTATTAGGATAGCTTATATTTTATTAGGATATCTTTTATTTTTTTAAACAACCGTAAGTTAATTTTGCTTGACACCATTTCTCCCCCATTTGTGTTTTTTAGACCAAAGAGAGTCTACAGTATGCATTAGAAACCTTGACTATGAATGGCTGCTCAGTTGAAGATCTAGGACTGGATTTCACTCTGCCAGGGTTTCCCAATATCGAACTGAAGAAAGGAGGGAAGGATATACCAGTCACTATCCACAATTTAGAGGAGTATCTAAGAGTATGTAACTGTGTCTTTGGGGGGTAGGCCAGTTGTGAAGACGGAGGACTTTGCCTGATTGTACCTTGCTTCTGGCTGCACACGCTATGGCTTGAGACCTTCCACATCCCCAGGACCACTGCATGAAGGCTGCTTTACAAGGCACTAGCTTCTCTTTGCTCTTGAGTGCACATATCAGATATTTCCTGTCTTATATAACCTTGAATTATTTCTCCTCAGGCTTGAATGCTATCTAATTACACCACGTTTTCTTAGTTTAAAAAACAAGTGAAAAGAGACATTATTTGTGTTCTCACTAAATTGCATTTTTGCATTTCCATCAAGGCAGCTAGCTTGACAGAATTTACTCCAGGCACCGTGCAGTGCACACTTTTATGTTTGGTGACACCTTTCAAATTACTAACTTATGGGCGAGGTGCAGTGGCTCACGCCTGTAATCCTCCCAGCACTTTGTGAGGCAGAAGCAGGAGGATTACTTGAGGCCAGTAGTTCAAGACCAGCCTGGGCAACAAAGTAGGGGCCTTGTCTCTACAAAAAAATGCAAAAATTAGCTGGGTGTGGTGTCATGAGTCTGTAGTCCCAGCCACTTGGGAGGCTAGGGTGGGAGGGCGCTTGAGCCCTGGAGTTCAAAGTTACAGTGAGTCAAGGTTGCACCACTGCACTCGATCCTGGGCGACAGAGCAAGATCGTTTCTCTTAAAAATACATACATATATATATATTAGGCTGGGCACGGTGGCTCATGCCCGTAATCCCAGCACTTTGGTTGGCCGTGGTAGGCAGATCACAAGATCAGGAGTTCAAGACCAGCCTGGCCAACATAGTGAAACCCCATCTCTACTAAAAATACAAAAATTAGCCAGGTGTGGTGGCACACACCTGTAGTCCCAGTTACTGAGGAGGCTGAGGCAGGAGAACCGCTTGAACCAGGGAGGTGGAGGTTCCAGTGAGCCGATACCGTGCCCCTGCACTCTGGCTTGGGCAACAGAATGAGACTTCATTTCAAAAAAAAAAAAAGCATGTATATATTAATTTGTGATGCTTGACTATATTTGCTAAATTCAGGAAAATAATTTTATATTGAACACAAATTGTATTTTAAATTACCACTATATAGATCCTTATTACCAATGTTTGAAAAATTTGTTTTGGTTTATTCCTGACATTGGGTGGAAGGGGCATTGGATTTAGGTCAGAATGGCTATCTACCCCTTGAACTGACCTTTCCACTAACTTGCTTTGTGACTTTAGATGGAGCCTCTGAAGAACTTCATCACCATTTTCTTCATCAGCTTTAAAAGAGAGAGAGAGAGAGAATATAGGTTAAATAATAACTGGCTAGGCGTGGTGGCTCACACTTGTAATCCCAACACTTTTGGAGGCCAAGGCGGGCGGATCACGAGGTCAGGAGTTCAAGACCAGCCTGACAAACATCGTGAAACCCCGTCTCTACTAAAAATACAAAAATTAGCCAGGCGTGGTGGTGCACGCCTGTAGTCCCAGCTACTCGGGAGGCTGAGGCAAGAGAATTGCTTGAACCCAGGAGGCGGAGGTTGCAGTGAGTCAGGATCATGCCACTGCACTCCAGCCTAGGCGACAGAGCGAGACTCTGTCTCAAAAATAATAATAATAACCAGAGTCCCCTGTTACTTAACAGTTCTGTGATTCATAAGTAATTCCTTTTAGTATTCAGTAGGACTGTCTTCTTATCCTGTTTCTTCTACTGACTTTGTGAAAGCTATTCTTCCATCTTACTAGCAAATAATGAGTTAACATTTAGATTAAGGTTATCTCAAAATAATTTATACTAATGCTTATAATTTTCTATCAAGAAAATCCTAATGTTTTCATTTTTATCTGAAAATGTTGTTTCTCTACCCATTGGGCTACCCAAAGTCAGTGATGACTAGATAATGTTGGACCAATAAGAGTTGCTTTTTCTTACCCTTCAATTGCATGTGACTTCATTTCCAGGCTTTGCCTACTTTTAGTAGGAAGCACACACTGCAGACAGGTTGGGTTCTAAGAACTTCACAGGATTTAGAACTAAACATTTTACGTTAAAAATTAAAAACCCTTAATAGTGGCTAATTGTGATTCTTCAAACATTACCTTTAATTCTCAATAACATTTTATCCTCTTGGGAAATTCTCATTTGATTCCCATCCAGTGAGGTAATATAACTGTATGGCATGGGTTTCACATAAATAGATTTTTAAAACACACTAAATGTAAATGCACATGGCATTTTTTTTTTACATTTTGTTATTGGTAGGGGCCCCACATTAGATGTTGACCTGATGTTTTACTCATGTAGTTTTCTAGCAGATTATTTTAAAGTCTTAATAACTTGTTTGTTCTTTATAAAGTGATCCAGAAGGGTGTTTCACTGTACTTTGCCACATATTAAATAGTAAAGAGATTTGAAATCTTGTCACAGTTTTTTGAAAACTTTCTTTTTGCAGCTGGTTATATTCTGGGCACTAAATGAAGGCGTTTCTAGGCAATTTGATTCGTTCAGAGATGGATTTGAATCAGTCTTCCCACTCAGTCATCTTCAGTACTTCTACCCGGAGGAAGTGAGTAGCTTATATCTAAAAGAAATGGTCATACCTATAATTTTAGTGGAGTGTTTCTGTGCTGCCTAGTCAAAGACCGTATTGTTGCACAAAAACAAAAAAATGGGTGTTAGATAGCAGGGGATGGATGTTTGGGAAAGACAAGGAAATTGCCTGAGCAAGGAAGAATGTTAAATAGGTGTCCCCTCTTAGATTGGGGAGCGGGTTCCACGCGTGACAGTAAGCATAGCATCTTTGTCAGCCAAGACCCTCAATGCCATTCAGTGGAGAATGGGGACTTGTGCTGTGTGTGGCATGTTCTACATGTTTCTGTACTGCTGTGGAAGCAAAGAGAGACATGGAGGGGGCTTGACTTTATTCCTTAACTAAACTTCGTTTCGATGAGACATTGTTTCACAATCAAAGTTAGTCCTTGAAGTTTTAAGAAAGTATTATAAATTATCTAATTGCCAAATACAGAGAATACTTCTGAGAATGGAAGAAATGGATTTATGTGCTTGGTTTTCTCTAGCCGCCTGTATTAGTCTGTTTTCATGCTGCTGATAAAGACATAACCGAGACTGGGCAATTTACAAAAGAAAGAGGTTTATTAGACTTAGAGTTCCACGTGGCTGGGGAGGCCTCACAATCATGGTGGAAGGTGAAAGGCACATCTCACATGGCAGCAGACAAGACGAGAGCTTGTGCGGGGAAACTCCCCTTTTTGAAACCATCAGATCTCGTGAGACATATTCACTATTATGAGAATAGCCTGGGAAAGACCTGCCCCCATGATTCAGTTACCTCCCACCAGGTCATTCCCACAGCAGGTGGGAATTGTGGGAGTTACAGTTCAAGATGAGATTTGGGGTAGGGGCACAGCCAAACCATATTACCGTCTTTAATTTCAAGTGCCAAATCTCAAAAGAACTACTCACTGGTAGTGAGATACAGAAAGCCTCTAGAATGTGTCCAGTTTCCCTCAGTTTTGAAACCTTTTTATTTATTGTTTGAATACTAGTTTTAGAGTGTATGTTCACTACTGATTAAATCTATAAATTTTTGATTAACTTAACGTCTTAATCTCAGTTATATTTGTGTCTACTTAAGCATGTAGTGTGCCTGATACTTGTAGGCACTGCTTGTCACCTGGAATAGAATCATGGTCCTCACCACTTGCTGTATAACCTTATCCAAGTTACTGTATCTGATAGGACTGTTTCATCTGTAAAATTGGAATAACCCCTATCACAGAGTAATGGAAATTAAATAGGCTGGGCACAGTGACTTAGCCTATAATCCCAGCACTTTGGGAGATGGAGGTGGGAAGATCACTTGAGCTCGGAAATTTAAGATTAGGCTGGGCAACATAGTGAGACCTTGTCTAAAATAAAAAAAATAATTAGCTGGGCGTGGTGGTATGCACCTGTAGTCTCAGCTACTTGGAAGGCTGAGGTTGGAGGATCACTTGAGCCCAGGAGATCATGACGGGAGTGAGCTGTGATTAGGCCACTACACTCCAGCCTGGGCAACAGAGCAAAGCTTTGTCTTTAAATATATAGGACCAGACAGTGAGCATTATATAATAGATATTAAATTTCATTGGCCTCAAATTGGATTTTCTCAAAGTATAAGGACATGAAAGCATTTATTGCTTTCTAATATTCATTCTATAATATCTGGGTTGGTCCCCATACAACCAACCATGTAGCGTAGACATGCCTCTCTACAAAGTGTAAAGACCTACCCATTTGCTGTGTCCTAGTTCAGCTTGCTTCTCCCACTTCTTTCTCCAGCTCAATGTTCTCTCCCTTGGCATCTGTTACTGTATACCTTTGTGTTTCTGAAAGCCAGGATTTATAAAATCTCCCTGACTAGAAGCAGATTATCCATTTAAAGCACCTAAAGTAATGAGAAGAAAGGAAAACTGAAATCAAGGGTCATCAGGTGTTTTTGGTTTGAGAGGAAGGGTTTCTCAGGAACCAAGTCCCTGCAGATGGGCAGGGTACTTAATAGCGTACAGCTAAAAAGGAAATGGAATCTCTAAATTTTATTTTATTTTATTATTATTTTTTTTTTTTTGGAAAGAGGTCCCAAGCAGAAGGTTTTAGTACTGAGACTGATACTCTTTTATGGTACACGTAGACCTTTATTTTCACTCACGTAAACAAATGTTTCCTTAGTAATTCTTTTTACCCTTATTTAAACTCACAGCTGGATCAGCTCCTTTGTGGCAGTAAAGCAGACACTTGGGATGCAAAGACACTGATGGAATGCTGTAGGCCTGATCATGGTTATACTCATGACAGGTAAGTACTGGGGTCTGCCAGTTTTTCTGTTGATTCTGAAGAATGTGGAGAGGGGTGTGTGTGTACACACACATGCGCACATGTGTAAACAACAAAAGTTGGAGTGGTTCATTTTAAAATGTGTCTACCTGTTAATGGATGCTTACTTCTGTTTTGGCCTTATTTCTCTGAAGATGGGAAATTAAGACCCAAGGGTTTCTTTCTCAAGTATTTCTGTGAAAATACTAGGGGTTGGGGAAGACAGATTTAATCTTGTTCCCCATTATTACATATAGTAAAGCAGAAATATCTGTACAGTACCAGATCAAGTCTTACTTATTACAACTGTAATCATTCCATTTGAATTCTAGTCTAGTCATAACAGAAACGAATTTAAGTACATTGTAATGGAAAATGTATGTGTAATTTAAAAGTGCTAATCTAATTTTTATGTCATGTGATGCGATGCAGTGTGATTAAAACTCTATTTTAACCTGATGAAATAATTTTGGTATATTTATTTCTGTTATAGTCGGGCTGTGAAGTTTTTGTTTGAGATTCTCAGTAGTTTTGATAATGAGCAGCAGAGGTTATTTCTCCAGTTTGTGACTGGTAGCCCAAGATTGCCTGTTGGAGGTGGGTACGATGTTGATGTTTAGCATTTATTCTACCTATGGGTGGGTTTGTGAGTGTGAAACTTCAGTACCATCAGCAGGAGATTCTTTATCTCACTTGCAGTGCCTCTTAGTTATTCCAGTATCATTATAGTACATTGAGACCACTAGCAGGGAAATCCATGGGGATTGTCTTAAACATATTGAAGTAGGATTACTAATGCACATGTAATGCTGGTTAGATAAAATTCCAGGCCATTTGTACATTCTAAACTCTTAGTTGACTTAGATGAGAATGGATTCTAAAATCTGGTTTTTCAGATTGAATCCTAATGTAAGTTAAATTGGTATTCTGTTGTTTTTGTTTTGTTTTTTGAGACAGGATCTCACTCTTGTCACCCAGGCTGAAGTGCAGTGGCGTGATCTTGGCTCACTGCAACCTCTGCCTCCTGGGCTCAGGCGAGATCCTCCTGCTTCAGCCTCCTGTGTAGCTGGGACTACAGGCACAACACAGCACCATGTCTGGCTAATTTTTGTATTTTTGTAGAGATAGGGTTTCTCCATGTTTCCCAGGCTGGTCTGAAACTCTCAAGCGACTGGCTCACCTCGGCCTCCCAGAGTGCTGGGATTACGGGCGTGAACCACTGTGGGTATTCCATTTTAAAAATCAGAAGACATAAAGAACTGTTGCCTCCATGTTATACAGCGAGTTTTTAAATGATAAATTAAAGCAGGTTCCTTGCACTTAATGTATATTGAATGTGCAATTGCCAAGCAAGAAAGAATATCTTGTGTGTAATATTGTACGGCAAAGCAGTGGAATGTTTTCTGATAGCTGATGTTTTTTAAAAACTTAAGTTCCTTGTCTTTCTTTTTCTCTTAATCAGGATTCCGGAGTTTGAATCCACCTTTGACAATTGTCCGAAAGACGTTTGAATCAACAGAAAACCCAGATGACTTCTTGCCCTCTGTAATGACTTGTGTGAACTATCTTAAGTTGCCGGACTATTCAAGCATTGAGATAATGCGTGAAAAACTGTTGATAGCAGCAAGAGAAGGGCAGCAGTCGTTCCATCTTTCCTGATCATAGCAAGAAATGCAGTGTCTGCCTGTTACAGCAAAAGAAACAAATCATGATTTCTTTTCTAATGTTATCACCTGAGTCAAGGAAACATGTTACGCCTTCTTGTTGTAGGAAAAACGGCTTGCAGATTATAAAGAGACATTTGGTTGATATTCATTAATGGCCCCATGGACTTAAAGTGATCAGGCCCTAAAACGTTGTTGTGATGAGGTTTCTTTAGCAAGTTCTTGTTTAAATTATCATTTATTTGATGAGTGAAGTTTTTAACATGCTTTGCTGTGTGAAATTTAAAAAAGGGATGTTTTTCCAGGCTGGAACAATAAATGTGGCTGTGCAGTTTAATTCTGGGCTGTGTGTATCCATCTAGCTAAGTCTGCAGTTTTCTTTCCTCCAAAGACAACTCTTGTACATAAGTACAGAAATTTAAGCTCACATGTATTTGACAAATATAGTTTAGTAGACTAGCTCTATGTGCTTTTCACTTTCCTCTGATTTTCTCTCCCTGATTCATTATTATCTGTGCAGCTCACAGTTTTTTTTTTGTATACAACTCACAGTTCTCAAATTTTCGTTACCCATGGGCTTCTGTTGTCCCATGTTCTCTCCAGTTAAGATCTAATTTAAAATTCATTGGATTGAAATTTATTGAATATAATTCAGCTTTTGTAACTAGGTAGACTTTTCTTATAGTTTAGTTTTAATATAGTTTAGGGTATTACTGGCTTTTTCCCAGGTGACACACTAAGGACTGTTTACATGGCAATTCCAGCAGCAACAGCCTCTGGAATGAGACAAGGAAAGCTCATTTGTTTCTTTTATGAAGGTTAAGAAGTCTACAGCTTGGGCTGGCCGGTATTTATTATTCTGTGGCCAGAGGATTTTAAATTAATGTAAATTTTTTAAACAAAATAAGCAGTTTTCCTTCCCTGTTGGAGTAAAAAAATTTTTTTCCCTTTGTTGTTTTACGTTTTTGTTCATAGTCTTCTTTATTCCACGCTCCTCTTCCCCTTCTCCCAGTGCTGACTTGGGACAAAACAGTTCAGCCTTTGTCTCGACGCAGATAAAAGCACCTGTAAGCAATGCTGTCCAGTCATTTTATGTGCTGATTTCTCAAATCTGCAATAATCCATCAGGTTAATGTTTTTACCTGAAAATAAAGAAAGTTTGCTTCACCTTTTTGTTTATAGTTTTGTGCTGTATGCATAACTTTCAATTGTATAGATGTATTTCAATGCAAGGAAATCCACATATCTCCATGATTCGGGTCATGGCTGATTTTGCTATTCAAACAATTTATAATAGCAACTTGAAGAAACTAAAATGTGAAGAGAAAATGGGAGGAGATTCCTTCCTAAGGTCCAAAACTAGGCCTGTGGCATAAATTTGAAGGAATTTTCCATAATTCATCTCCTTGAAAATAAGAGATGAGCTAGTTTTTTTTTTTAATTGAACTTTGAGAAATCAATTTTTTTGACTGTTCTGTAAGTTTTAATTAATTGACACAAAAGCCCTTTTCCCTATCCCACCACCCAAAAGAAACTCAGTGGCTTGTTTGACATAGATTGCTGTGTCAATTTACACTTAAATGGCCTTATATGGAAATGTCCCCTCCTGAGAGTTCACTTGGGCAGTGACCCCATTAAGTGGAAGGGAACTGTCAGAGGAGTTGGGGGCAGAGAATTCTCTCCCTGTCTCTGCAGAGACTGACAAGTGAATGGCTTTTCCCTGAAATCCAAGAAGGGAATTGTGTTTCTGCAGTTTTCACCACTAACAGCACAGTTGCTGAGCAGCTTCATCAAGTGAAGTTAAAGACTGAAACAATTTGTTTTCAACTGTTCTGATATCTTCCTGCAAATTAAGCACAAGGATTTTTGTGTGAACATAGCATTTTGTTCCTGATTTTTAAAGGGTTCTGTTAAAATTTAGACATGTATAAACAAAATAATGTTTCATCTGTACTTGACATTTTATCCATGTTGCAGCCCTGGCAAATTTGGCCTCATTGATTCCAGCATCTAATAAGTATATATGATGATTTTGACTCAAACTCTAAAGTCTTGAGTGTTTCAAAGTCAGTCGTTACCTGTTTAAAAGCCTCAGCCTTTAGCTTATTCCTCCTTCAATACACGGGACCTTTGGTTAATTTGGGGCAGGAAAACTCTTAAAGTAATCTCTCTTGGCAGAGGCCTTATTGCACCAGAGGGAAAAAGTATATACTTCATTTGCTGTTACTCCAGTTATGCCTTAAATTCATTTGCTTGGTAATCCTATCAACGAGCACTAACTTCTTAGTATACTTTAAACACTTAGTTGGGTAACAACTGAGATTTTGTTGTCCTTTATTTTTTGCTGAGATGGAGTCAGTCAGATGTTAGTCATAGCTAACACCGAATTTGTGTTGTCATTTAGACAGTTACTGATTCGATCTGCTTTATATATGAGAACGTATTTTTAACTATTCCAAGAAGGAAGAGGTAGCTAAATGTAATCCCCTCTTCCTATCCCCCCAGAAAACTGAACTGTAAGTTCTAGGTAGACTAATTGGGAGCAGACACGGAGTTTTAGATGCCTTAGCCAAACCCAGCAGAAACCTTTCACACAGCCACTCATCGTAAGAAACGCAGATTTTTCTCTTCTCATGCTTGTCTCTGGTTCCCTGCATTTGTAGTGACAGAACTTTCACTAGCAGGATATAAAGAAAGTAATTATGCTTGGAGTCCCTCTTTACTGGGTTTGAGTTAGGTGCATAACATGGAAAGGAGTGGTGCCTTCAAATGAATGTGACCACTCCGTATTGTGGAGTGACTTCCCTAGGGCATCCTATACATCCTACCACAGAAGGCCAAGGGACAGAGCACCAACTTCAGTATCCAAGAAATTAGATCCACAACTCTTGATTTTCCACACTGAGGACTGTCGCGAGTAAGTTGTAAGTTTGCCGTCTTCCTTCTGGCTTAGCAGGTGCTGCAGCTGTACTCTCGACTCCTGTCTGTGAGCGTGAGCTCAGGAAATGAGAGTGGAGTCTATTCCAAAAAAAAAATGTGATGAAGTTTTTCATAAAAGTGCATTCATATGCCAAATCCTTTTTGGAGGATTCTGGATGCTATTGTTCATTTCTCTACTAGTAAAATGATCAAGCCTTCATTTATTTTAGGCTTTGTTTTTTGATCCATTTTGTTTTCCCTGCTGTAATGAGAATAATTGTTTGGAAATGTCATATTCTGTATTTATGATTCTCTGAGAAATGCTTTTGTATAAGTCTTAGGTTTGACATTGCAGTAGTTGACATACACGGTAAAGGATAACCTAGTGACAAATCACTGAAGATGCTTCCTTTGTTACCTCAAAAAAAAAAATCCAGACAAAATAGCATTTATAAATATAGAAAACAGGATTGGCTGTTTTCCAAGAACTTCAAGTTAACAATTCTTATGCAAGGAAAAGTTCTTAATGCTAAAGACTTGTTCTGCATGAAGGAGACATTCTTTAATAATGGAAGAGGTGGTTTTATTTTTACTACAAGCCGACTCATATTTCCAAACCTATAACCAATTGCTGATCTCCTGTGTAAAGCATTTTTTTCCTTTTATCTGAAACAGTGATTTATATGAACTGTTGGAATAATGGAACCTCAAACTACAGATGTGTATGTAAAATTGCATAAATGCACTGACTTCCTTCTCCCTGACTATATTTTTAATAAACAGCATTATCCTACATGGTCAGTTTTATTAAATTATACACAACTAGAGGGTTCTTCTAAGAAGTGCTATGTGCTTGCGTGGGTGACTTTTGGAAAGCTTCCTATTTTGGTAAGTAATGCAGTGAGTGAACTTAGCTTTTTTTGGAGGCAGATAGTGGAGAACGCTGTAGAAAACAAATACACTTAAAAAGGTGGCCCTGCTACCTGCTTGTTGGTGGAGCATTTGTGTAAGGTATCCCTATGCGCCGGCAAAATAGTGCCATTGGCGTTGAAAATGTGCACAGACAATAGGGCCTACTGGTTGGAACACTATGAAGTCATCGTGCTTGACTTTCAAGACTGGCTCTTCTGCCCTTAGCAAATGTCCAGTCTATTTCACTGAAACAGAAAAAGCAAAGTAGAATTGATTTACAAAAGTGAAAGATGGATTTTTGTTAGAAGAGTGATGACTGAATTTAATTTTATTTTTAAAGGTCTGTGTACAGTTACACAACTCACATACGTATATGCACATATACACGCACACATACATTGTCTTGATACAACTGCCTGAGGGAAAAACACACGTTTCCTTTGATAAATCTCTTGGTCTGTAAAATTTCTAAATCAGAGATGAAAGGCACTACTAAATAAAAGCTCACCACAAGACAGGCATGGAAGTTTATAACCAATCTGATGTTGTCTAGATAACCAATTCTGTGTTTGGAGCTGGGTAGCATTGCACTTCTGGTTGATGTGATTGTATGAATTAGTGTTCGCATGTTAATGGGTATATGGATGAAGTTTTCCATCTTAATGACAGTTGTTGGGGCACTGTTCTGGTAGAAAGCACAATGTCTCTGCAAACTCTTGAGGCCAATGCATACAAAAGCAGGAGGCATTTTGGGAGGGGAGAGATTCAGCCATTGCAGAACAATTCTAACTCATGCTTACAGAAGGCTGTGTCATTCCTTCCTCTTTTTTTTTGAGCCAGGTTAGTAACCTCAACATTAGCTGGGGCCGGACGCGGTGGCTCACGCCTGTAATCCCAGCACTTTGGGAGGCCGAGGCGGGTGGATCACGAGGTCAGGAGATCGAGACCATCCTGGCTGGCACAGTGAAACCCCGTCTCTACTAAAAATACAAAAAATTAGCCGGGCGAGGTGGCGGTCGCCTGTAGTCCCAGCTACGCGGGAGGCTGAGGCAGGAGAATGGCGTGAACCCCGGGGGCCGGAGCCTGCAGTGAGTCGAGATCGCGCCACTGCACTCCAGCCTGGGCGACAGCGAGACTCCGTCTCAAAAAAAAAAAAAAAAAGATTAGCTGGTCTCCTATGTTGCTCCTCCTCTCACTTGATGTGAGAAGGGCAGGAAGAAGGGTCGTGCTGATGCCTGGAATAACGCTGTCCTTCCTATGCAAGAAATTGCAAGGAAGCAGGTCCCAGAACTGCCCCATAGCCAGCTCAAATGTCCCATTGTGGCTTTGAGGCCCAGGCACACATGCTGGATTCTTGCACTCTCATTGGGAATTGAGGTTTCAGGAATCGATTTTGGTATCTTCTATGTGGCTATGATACATCAAAATGTTAATTAGGGACACTATTAACAATTTATTATCAAGAAGATTGTACTAAGGGATATTAGGGCAGAAAACACAAGTCCAGATTGCAAGGGGTCTAAACACTGGTTAATGTTAACGTGGGCAATTGTAGAGTTATACGGGGCAGCTGCTGTTAGTTGAAATGATCATCTGTAAAGTTAACAGTAATGTAAAGAAAACCCGATGGGCTCAGCTTGCAGTTTCTTGATGGAATTTGGACATTTGTTAAAACTCATTCATCCTAGTCAGTCCTATTCCCAAAGTGTGTTCCAAAACTTAGAATAGAACATGCAGCCCTTGGCATCCAGGCAGAGTCCCTGGCATCATGATAACTCACACAGACCTGTGTAAAGGGCTTTGTGAAAATAAACTTGGTGGAGCAGAAAGAGCCCCAGACAGAGTCAGAAGGCCTGATGTAGTCCTGGCTCCAGTCTTCCCAGCTAGGGGAAGCTAACCCCACTGAACCTTACTCTCTGTGTTTTTGTGAAGCCAGTTCAGTGATCTCCAGCTTTATGTTTTAATGGTAACATTCTTCAAATCTTGTATGATTCTTTAAAACGTCTCCCAGGATTTCTTAACAGGTATAGGCATTTTGCTTGATGCAGTTCTTCCTGGTAGAGGGTTACAGCAAAGCCCTTTGCTTCTAAATGTCAATAGCACCTTCCAGTCATTATGACAACTCAAAATGCCCCTTACTACTTCCAGATAGTTCAAATATCAACGCGTTATCTACTGAGTGAAAACAGTAATTGTGTGTTGCAGCTTTTGGAAAGCATTTAGATTTTATATTCAGCCAATAATTATAGTTAGTGACAAATCAAACCTTTGCAGAATTTATAAGTAGGCACAAGAGAGGGATAAGAAGAGGAATGTAAAAGTGACGATTTTTAGTCAGAAAAAGCCACAATCCTGTCCTCCCCTACTCCTCACACACACAACATCCCTCTCACCCAGCTTCCTTCGATTAGGAGGACGTTGTCTTACCACTCTGGCCTCCTACATAAATGAGAACCGCTTGTTTAAAATGTAACTAATTTTAAAAGGACTTTAAATTCAGAAAATGTCATTGTAGTTGCCCCTGTGATCAATAAAAACAGGCTTAATAACTAAATTCATTGAGAAAAAGCTTAATAGTTCTAATGAGAATGTTAAGTATTCAAGCCAGGTTTTTCAACTTTCTAGAACTAAATAAAAAAAAAGTTGGTCTTTAATTATTATAGGCTAATAGACTAGGCAAAGTAAGTTTTCTTTCCTCCAAGGACAATTTAGTGTTGTAATAGATTTATTTGCTTCCATTGTTCTGATAGCATTCTGGATGGATGGTGAGAATATGAAATCCATTTCCTCCCAAAGCATTCAATGGTGTTTTGGTGTTTAGAAAGAAAAAGCTGCAAGTTTTGTGGTCTTCCTCTCCAACATACCAACTTCCCTCCCCACTTAACACCCATGGGAGTGGGCAGGAGTGGTGTCTCAGTCCAATTTCTGGCATTATGACAGAATACCAAAGACGGGATAATTTATAAAGAAAGATTTATTTGGATCACAGTTCTGGAGGCTGGGAAGTCCAGGAGCATGGCACTGGCATCTGGTGAAGTCATCCCATGGTGGAAGGCATCACATGGCAAGCAAGCATGCAAGACAGAGGAAAAAGGGGCCAAACACGCAAAAGCTAACCCACTCTCAAGGTATTGGCATTAATTTTTTCATGAGGGTGAAGCCCTTATGACCCAATCACCTCCAAAAGGCCTCACCTCTTCACATCACCACAATGGCAACCAAGTTTCCAACACATGAACTTTTGGAGGACTCATTCAAACTATGACAGATGGGATGACGAATCTCTTTAGTCACGGATCGACTTGACATTCATCGTGAAATGGATGAATTAAGAAATAGATGCTTTTTGTTAGTTATTGTTTTCCCTTTACATGGAGGTTTTTTGTTTGGATCTCATGGTCAACTAAGTGTACTACAAATATTTTAGTGTACTGTGTTCAGTCTTCCCATTTTATCATCTGCAGGAGATGCCATGGTATCAGGTTGTTGTTTTTCTTAAATCTCGTGCCTGGCATAATGCCTGGCCTAGACTCACATAGTCACTGAAGGAATGAATGAGCATTTCTGTACTGTTGCGTTCTTTCCTCTTTGTCAGTCAGGTTGTTTGCATAATCTGTGCTCTTTTACTTCAGGACTTTAGAATCCAGGGAGAAAGGAAAATGAAATTGAAACAACTATGTATACAGTTAAGTATTATGTGGATTTGGAAAAATCCAGAGGAAAGCTGGGGGTAATCAACAGAATTACACTGAGTATGAAAACCTACCTCCTAACATCACCATCACCACCAGAAGCAGTATAAACTGGCCTGTAATCATAGGTGACACTTTGTTCTTCGCCAAAATGTCCTGTTGACATGGTGCTATTTAGTTTTTGGTGAACAGTTCACTTGGACAATGTAGATAAAACTAAAAGAAATCAGATGTCATTCCAGAAGTAAACTCAAATTCATGACAAAGTTAGGATGTGCTAGGAGTTAGTAGGTATATTAGCACAGGTCAAAGTTAAAAATGTAATAAAAATGATGAATGAAAAAGAAAACCTCAATGTTTCTATCACCACAAAAAAAAGTTACAGGAGAAGGAGAAGTCCATTTTAAAAACAAACTAATGTTCCATCAGTTGGAAGATTATGAGTAGAGAATGTGATACTTTTTTTTTTTTTTTTCAAAGTCCATTTAGAACAGACAGCCCAGGAAAGATGAGCAACTTTTTACATTGCCAATACTTTCACAGGCTCCGGCTCTAATTTAAATTATGTTTTTAGGTTTTTTATGATGATTTAAAAAAAAAAAACTCAGTAGTACTGCTTATTTCAATTCTGAATTTTGTACACATTGGTAAAAACTGACATTTCAATACTAAACTCTTTCCTGCTACTTATAAAGTTTTTTTATGAAGGTTTCTATTTTACTGCTATGTTGTGTTTCAGAAAGATGGCTGGGCTCTGAATTCAGACAACTGAGGCTCTTATTTGAATTTGACCTTGGGTAAGTCAAGTAACTTTCACTGGGTATTTTTTATCTGTAAAATTATGGAAGCAGACCGATTAAGTCCCCTTTGGGTTCTAAAATTCTAAGTTTCTAACCTCTATTGCAGTTCTTAGATTATCTTTTTCAGATCAACTCGATTGAAGAGTGTGCATTAGATCCTATTCTAATCAAGTTGAACAAAATAAAGTAATTGTTAACTACACAGTTTTAATGCCAAAATAAAAGTGCAGGTTTCTTTTGAAATATATATTGAGTTGCATACTTGTGTCACTATTAATACCAGATATTAAAACAACTCAGGAAATAAATGTTATTTTTGTTTTATTTCTTGATCTTTTAAATCCATCTTAATGTTAAGTACTAGTGGGTTTTCTTGGTTTCCACCAACTTGTTCAATGACCATTTGTCAAGTTAGGATGTGAGACTGGGTAGGACTGGGATGTTACTAACCACTGCCATTGGTCAGATTCTTTATACCCCAAAACGTAGAGGTGTACAGATTCTTGGAGCTGGAAGGACGTCCATTAAAAAGGCAATACAGCCATCTATTTAAAAAATAATACAGTTGATATATTTCACCTAAAATTACATAGTTTGTTATGCTAACAATGGAGTGAGATATATAACCTTAAGTAATCCTAATGCTGGAAAGATATTTAAGGTACTGCTTATCAGACCCCTTCATACCTAGTTGAGGAAATAATAGCTCAGAGAGGTTGAGACCTTCCCAAGATCACCCAGGTTTCCACCTGGATGTAGAATGTAGGTTTTCTGATTTCCAGCCAGTGGCCTTTCCATAAAACCAGAGATTTTCGTCCATGATTCCTGTGAGTTGAGAGTCCCAATGTTATCTTTTCTAAAGTCTAAAAGATTCATCTTTGAAGAGACGGGTCTAGAGAATTGCCTCTTCCCATACTTCCCAGAAGTGATCACCCACCATATTTGTTCAGGAAGCAAGAAACCAGGTGGGAACCAGTTTTTCACTTTGTCAGACTAAAGAAGCAGTTTAATAAGTGCAGCTTATTTTGGGGTTCCTTTTGGTGAGTGAGTTTGTTTCTTGCTCACCCTCACTGATGATGGGATGAACGGAACAGGAGCTGTAGAGATGGCCTTTGCCTTTGATTGTCACACTTTCTGCTTTGAACACAATCACTTGATGTTTTGTAGACAAAATTTGCCATAAAACTTTTGTTCTGTAATTTTCTACTGTCCTGCTCCATGGGCTTCCAATCAACTTTCTCCCTGTTAGTCAACAACTACAACAACAAAACCACTTTCTGGCTGGGCCCGGTGCCTCATGCCTGTAGTCCCAGCACTTTGGGAGGCCGAAGTGGGCAGATCAGTTGAGGTCAGGAGTTTGAGAGCGGCCCGGCCAACACGGCAAAACCCTGTCTCTACTAAAAATACAAAAATTAGCCGGTGTCATGGCATGCACCTGTAATCCCAGCTACTTGAGAGGCTGAGACAGGAGAATGGCTTGAACCTGGGAGGCGGAGGTTGCAATGAGCTGAGATTATGCCACCGCACTCCAGCCGGGCTGACAGAGCAAGACTCTGTTTCAAAATAAATAAATAAATAAATAAATAAATAAATAAATAAATATAAAAAATAATAAATAAAAAACACTTTCTCTTCTCTCTCCTAGGCGGGGGTTGCAGGGCCAGCTCAGTGATCTCCAGTGACCATTCATTGGGACGGTGGGTGTAATCGTTAGGCACTGCTGTGTAACAACAAACAGTCTGAAACCACAAACATTATTATCTTACTCATTCCAATGGTCAGGAATCGGGAAATGCCTTAACCAGATTGTCAGGTTCAGAGCCTCTCATAAGTCCACAGGGGCTGTAGTTTTTGGAAGCTGAAGGATCCTCTTCGAAGCTATTCATATGGCTATTGGCAGGAGGCCTCAGTTCCTCGGTGACTGTTGGCTGGAGACTTCGGCTCCTCACTGGATACCTCTTTCTCCATGGGCTGCTTGAGTATCCTGACACAATGGCTTGCTTCCCCCAGAGTAAGCGATCTGAGAGAGAGAGAGAGAGAGGGAGAAAGAGAGAGAGAGAACACACAAGACAGAAGCTACAGTCTTATAACCTAATGACGGAAGTGGCATTTCATCACTTGTGTTATATTCTTTTGGTCCCAGAGACTAATCCTGGCACAGGGTAGGAGGGGACTACATGAGGATGCTGCAAATACCTGGAGGTGCAGGACCCCTGGCGGCTGTGTGGGAGCCACAAAGACACGAGCAGAGACGAAGGTGTCTGCTTTAGACTCCAACATGCCTCAAACCCAGCAGAGAGAAGTTAGAAATGCAACTGAGGGCCCAGCCTGATTTTTCTCCCTCTTGGCTTCTCTCTCTCTCTCTCTATATATATATATAGTATATATATATACTCTATACTTTCTCTCTCTATATATATATATTATATTTTAGACAGGGTCTTGCTCTGTCACCCAGGCTGGAGTGCAGTGGCATGATCTTGGCCCACTGCAACCTCTGCCTCCTGGGTTCAAGTGATCCTCCCGCTTCAGCATCCCGAGTAGCTTGGATTACAGGTGTGCACCACCATGCCTGGCTAATTTTTGTATTTTTTAATAGAGATGTTTTCACCATGTTAGCCAGGCTGGTCTTGAACATCTGGCCTCAAGTGATTCTCCTGCCTCGGCCTCCCAAAGTGCTGGGATTATAGGCGTGAGCCACTGCACCCATTGGTCAATATTTTTTGAGCCCCAGTTCCACTTGAAAGAAAATGATCTTTAAGTGATTTTTATTTCTCGTCTTACTACAAAATGTTTTGCTGTGGGAAATACTGAAAAAATAACAAGAAGAAAAAATTAAATTCCACAAATGTAGCACCTAGAAATGTAGCGCCTTAATTGAAAATGTAAAAAATGAAATAGAGTATAGAATAGAAAAATATCAGCGTATATTGGAGGTACTATGGGTAAGTATTACTTTGTGGAACTTTTATTTCAGTTACAAATATACGTATATATTTGCTTCCATAGAGTTGAGCTAAAAATACAAATAAAATATATGTGTATGTATAATTAATTAGTTACAGTGTCAACTGTACTTCTGACTATATGTTGTGGTAAAACCCACTTTTGGCCAGGCATGGGGGCTCACACCTGTAATCCTAGCACTTTGGGAGGCTGTGGCAGGCGGATCACCTGAGGTCAGAAGTTTGAGACCAGCCTGGCCAACACAGTGAAATCCCGTCTCTACTAAAAGTACAAAAATTAGCCTGGCATGGTGGTGGGTGCCTGTAATCCCAGCTACTCACGAGGCTGAGGCAGGAGAATCACTTAAACCCAGGAGGCAGAGGTTGCAGTGAGCCAAGATGGTGCCACTGCACTTCAGCCTGGGTGACAGAGCAAGGCTCCATCTCAAAAATAAAATAATCCCCCCAACTTTTTTTTTTTTTTTTTTTTTTGATACAGAGTCTTGCTCTGTTGCCAGGCTGGAGTACAGTGGTGCGATCTCACTGCAACCTCCGCCTCCCAGGTTAAAGCGATTCTCCTGCCTCAGCCTCCTAAGTAGCTGGGCCTACAGGTGTGCACCACCACGCCCAGCTAATTTTTGTATTTTTAGTAGAGCTGGGGTTCACCATGTTGGCCAGGATGGTCTTGATCTCTTGATCTCATGATCCACTCCCCTCGCCCTCCCACAGTGCTGGGATTACAGGCGTGAGCCACCGCCCCAGGGCCTAAAACCCCCTTTTGATCATACTTAAGTTTATGCTAATGAAGTAATTCAGGATGAGGTCCCTAGATAGCTTCAGGATGGGGCTGGTCACTAGGATGACACAGTGGTTAGTTAGAGTGCTGGAACTTTCAACCTTGCCCGCCAACCTCCAGGAAAGGGAGGAAGAGCTAGCGCTTGGACTCTATGAAGACTTTTGAACAAGATTTGATGGATTTTCAGGTTGGTGAACACATCCAAACGCTGGCAGGGTGGTGGTCCATCGAGGGCACTGCAGGTTCCCCCACTCCATCTCCAGCCTTGCTCAATGCTTCTCTTCCATCTGCCAGTTCCTGAGTTATAAACATAAGTAGAGTGCTTCCCTGAGTTCTATGAACAATTCTAGCAAATTATCAAACCCATCATCCAAGGTCATGGCTGTTTAGTGATATGTAATCCATCTCTCTGAGTGTAAGAAATAATATGGCAAATGTAATTATACCATCTTGCATTTTAATAATGGGAAGACATTATGACTAAGTATTTTTGTTCCAGTGCAGTTGACAGTATTTCTCAATGAAGAGGAGCATTAACTAGCAAAGAAAGAGTGTAATTCATTTATTAGGGCAACTTCTACTTACAACTAAAAGTATCTGATGTAGCTGGTTGTCTGCCCAAGTCTTAATTCTCTTTCATTCTTTCTTTTCTGTTTTTTTTTTTTTTTTTTTTTTTTTTTGAGACAGAGTTTCATTCTGTAAACCAGCTGGAGTTCAATGGCGCAATCTCAGCTCACTGCAACCCCCACCTCCCAGGTTCAAGCAATTCTCCTGGCTCAGCCTCCCAAGTAGCTGGGACTACAGACGCACACCACCATGCCCGGCTGATTTTTATATTTTTAGTAGAGATGGGGTTTCACCATGTTGCCCAGGGTGGTCTTGAACTCCTGACCTCAAGTGATCCACCTGCCTCAGCCTTCCAAAGTGCTGAGATTACAGGCATGAGCCACTGCGCCCAGCCCTCTTTCATTCTATAGACAATAACATCAACTAAGAAAAATGATTGCATCACACTTTGCTGTGAGAAATGATCACAATTAATAGTTATGATTACACAATCACTTTCTACCCACCTGGTTCTGTCCCAAACTCAGTGGCTACCTGGGACTTAAATCCAGGACTTACTCCAGGGAGAAGAGCCTGACTCACTAAACCACACTGCCCTTCCATCCCCACCAGTGATGATGTTGGGGAGAGTGGGTGACCTCCCTGCTTTACATAACTTTTATAATGGTATTTGGTTATTACACAAACCTGGGAAGTAGCTTTTTAAAAATTCCTATTTCATAAATAAGGAGACCAAGGTTTGAAGATTTATTCAATTTGCCCAAGTTCTCCAGCTAGTTAGTGGCAGGAGCAAAAGTACTATCAGGCATCCTGAAGTTAAAAGGTAAATGATGTATGTATTGGGTACCTTCTCTCTCTCTCTCTTTCTCTCTCTCTCGTTCTCTCTCTCTCTCTCTCTCTGTGTGTGTGTGTGTGTGTGTGTAGGAGAGAACAATAAGGAGAAAATGAACCTGTCTGCCATTTGCAGCCACAGAATATAAAGTAGTGGGCCCTTCTCTCTGAACAGTGCTGACATATTGCCAAGTTCACCATCAGAGCCATTGCAGTTTTTCAGCTGACTTTTCTTTCCCCCAAAACTTGGCATTGTCTAAGTTTGAAAATGAATAGGTTCTATGTTTTTCCACCTAGGAAAAAAAAAAAAAAGAAATAGCTTTCATTTAGGGGGTCACTGTAAATTGAGAAAATGAAAATAATGTTTTAAGCTGTTTAGAAATAATTTTTTTTTCTATTTAGAAAAAATAGAGGATGAGCCACTTCCCAATTCCTTCATCTAGGGCCCCGCCCCATAGAACCGAAGGCTGTGGGTCTTAGGCCTTGTCCGATGCCTGCTGCTAACAGGACCCAGCTGGTAGCCCGGGCAAGTGAGAGGAAGATGTGATCTGTGATCCTCCCTCCATTAAAGTACATTGAGCTTGGCCATGTTTGCTGACCATGAACAGATGCAGGTGGTGCCCCGAGAGATAATGACGCAGGATAAATATATCACTTCCACTGCCTGTGGGAGGTGCTTAATATTTTACAAGCATATTTGAATATTCAGAGGCATTTCTTTTCTCCCTGTGCAGGTGACAAAATGTGCTGTGAATCACTTGCAGTTTTAAAAAAGCAGTTATTCAGTTAAAGGGTTACCTCTGGAGTTTCAGGTTCGTGTCATTAGCTGGCCAACTGGGACTTAGTCTCTTTTTGGGTAATGTGGACTTTGAGTATGTGTGTAAGTATTTTCAGACAGAATTGCATTTTAGCCTGGTTTATTTACTCTTTTCAAATATTTCTACAATTGAAAGGGTGACTGTCGTCTCTGCGTTGGTTTAATGGCTAACCGGATGAAGGAAGGCTGTGGAACAAGCCTCTGTTTGGTAACTCTGTCTGAATCCTGTCATTTAGAGAGCTTGTAAAGATCTTAGCAATCACCTGATCCAGACTTCTCATGTTACGGATGAAGAAAGAGGTCAAGAAAGGTGCAGAGACTTGCTTGTATGGCTCCTAAGTGGCAGAGCCGTGGCTAGAACCCAAGACTCAGAGCCCTGGCTTTCAAGACTACTTCGAGACACCTGCGAAGGTTGGTGATAGAGGGAACATGAGAGTCTATCCCCACCCGCCCCTCACTCCCTGTATCCAATGCCAAATCTCTTCCCCAGTATCTTCAACCAGGATCCTGCTCTCGGCCCACCCACCCTGCTCCCCATTCTTCAAGCCATTCTTCCAAAGCTCAAATGATCAAGTCGTTCTTCCCATTTTCATAATAACTTTTCCTGGAAGGGCATTTTATAATTATTTTCCCTATCTGACTTTGTGAATCTAGTGACAGAAACAGTATTTTTGTCATTGCAAAAATGGATGGTTTATAGAAAGTGAATATTTCTAGGGAGTATTTCTCTCTACTCTCATTTTCCCTGAGTTTATTATTGGTTATTTCATGAAAATTTTTCTTAGGTACACTCAAGGGAATAGCAAACACTAGTTTCTTATCTAAATGGCCTTTAGTTAATATTGAGAATAAATTATACCCCAGGGAGAAGGGTATTTCTAGATAAAAAGCTCATCTGTATGTGACATCGAAATTGGCCTCCTTCCTGCTGGTGATTTTATTCCAGTTCAGTCTTTTATAACCATTCTAGGTGACATCTAATTCCCTTTTCCCAAGGTAGCCCTTGAGACATTTGGAGTACACTCTCATTTCTCCTTCTGACTTCCCCATCCTGATATTTTTCTTTCTTTCTTTCTTTCTTTTTGAGACGACGTCTTGCTCTGTTGCCCAGGCTGGAGTGCAGTGGCATGATCTTGGCTCATGGCAATCTCCACCTCCCGGGTTCAAGCGATTCTCCTGCCTCAGCCTCCTGAGTAGCTGGGATTACAGGCACTCACCGCCATGCCCAGCTAATTTTTGTATTTTTAGTAGAGACGGGGTTTCACCATGTTGGTCAGGCTGGTCTCAAACACCTGACCTTGTGATCCACCCTCCTTGGCCTCCCAAAGTGCTGGGATTACAGGCCTAAGCCACCGCGCCCGGCCGACATTTTTCTTCTTAAGGACACCTCACACAGTTCCCTAAATACCCAGTGGCCTTCCTGTCATATCCCTTTGATATGATGCCAAGATTCCTCCTTGCTTTCCCTCAAATACCTGATATCTTGTCACAGATTTATATGTTCCCTCTTCTCATGGTAGTACTTACACCAAAAGAATGATATCCTGTGTGGTCTGGCTGACACATACCGGTGTGAGATGCTCTCTGGTTATAGACACTTAACCTGCGTCCTCAGAGTCAGAGACTGTGTTCACTTTCTTGGCCACCTCTTCATACCGTTAGTTAATGTTGAGCCTGGGGTTGATGTCACCTCTCAATCTACTTTTCCCAGCTCAATGTTTCCAACTGTCTGTGACCCATTTTATTTTATTTTATTTTATTTTATTTTATTTTATTTTATTTTATTTTTGAGAAAGAGTCTGTCACCCAGGCTGGAGTGCAGTGGTGCAATCTCAGCTCACTGCAACCTCTGCCTCCTGGGTTCAAGTGATTCTCATGCCTCAGCCTCCCAAGTAGCTGGGACTACAGGCGTCTGCCACCAAGCCCAGCTAATTTTTGTATTTTTAGTAGAGAGGGGGTTTCACCATGTTGGCCAGGCTGGTCTCGAACTCCTGACCTCAACTGATCCACCTGCCGTGGCCTCCCAAAGTGCTGGGATTACAAGTGTGAGCCACCACGCCCGGATGTGTGATCCACTTTAGACCTCATTCCTGGGCATCTTCGAAGTTTACAATGTAAACTTTTCTTCTTAATAAGTAAAGATAATGACAGCATTTGTGGTAGGCACAGAGAGAAATTTCTATTCTCTGTGGGAGGCAGAGCAGCAGGTAGGCCATAGAGCTCAAGCTTCAGAGGCAGATGAGTGGGCTCATGCCTGGCAGGGCTGGGTACCAGTTGCACAGCCTTGGGGAAGTGACTTTGCTCACCTTTCCTCACCTGAAGGCTGAGAATACTGAGAATGCACTCCTCACGATTAAATGACATCATTTAAATAAGCTGATTTAGGTAGGAACTGACTAGACAAAACATACGTCTCTGCAAAACATTTGATAAGGCCTCTGAAGATATCCTTGTAGGTAAGGGAAGAAATATTGTTTCTACCAACTCCCTATCTCTTGAGATGGAAATACTTGACCAACATGAATTCATCTAAACACACTAGAGGGTGGTTAGAACAGTCCTCATAGTAAGCACTCAGTACCTGCTAGCACTTATTGTTTTTAGTCATTTTTATACTATTTTTCCAATTTGCAGTATTTCTCCCTCACCTCCTCTTCCTCTCTCCTTTCATTCCCTCTACAACCTCCTCACCATAATGCTATTGTAATAGTCAGTTCCTATGGTGCTATACAGAAATACCTGAGGCTGGGTGCATGGCTAATGCCTGTAATCACAACATTTTGGGAGGCTGAGGCAGGAGGATTGCTTGAGCCTGGGAGTTCAAGACCAGCCTGGGCAACATGTTGAAACCCCATCTCTACAAAAAAGTAAAAAAAATTAGCCAGGTGTGGTGGCACGCACTTGTAGTCCCAGCTACTCAGGAGGCTGAGGTGAGAGGATCACTTGCGCCCAGGAGGTGAAGGCTGCAGTCAGCTGTGTTCATGCCACTGCACTCCAGCCTGGGTGACAAAGTCTCAAAAAAAAAAAAAAAAAAAAAAAGAAGAAGAAAAGAAAAAAAGAAAAAAAATCTGAGACTGGGTAATGTATAAAGAAAAGAAGTTTAATTGGTTCATGGTTCTGCAGGGTAGGCAGGAAGCAGCCCCCTGGTCAGGGCCTCAGGAAGCTTCCAGTGCTGGTGGAAGTGGGGTCAGGAGTCTCACATGGCGAGTGAGGAAGTGAGAGAGGGAAGGGGGAATCTCCAAACTTGTAAACAACAAGATCTCATGTGAGCTAACTGAGGCAGAGCTCACTCGTCACCAAGGGGCTGGTGCTGAACCATTCATGCGGGACCCGCCTCCATGACAAAATCACCTCCCAGCAAGCTCCACCTCCCACACCAGGGATCACATTTCAACATGAGATTTAGAGGGGACAAATATCCAAATTATACCAGCTACCTACCCCACGGACACCTAGAATATTAATGTTAGAAGTACCCCGTGTTTTTCTTCTGTACCTATCTTCTTCTTCTTTTTTTTTTTTTTTTTTTTTTTTTTGAGATGGAGTCTCGTTCTTTCACCCAGGCTGGAGTGCAGTGGCGAGATCTTGGCTCACTGCAACCTCTGCCTCCCAGGTTCAAGCGATTCTCCTGCCTCAGCCTCCCCAAGCAGCTGGGATTACAGGTGTGCACCACCATGCCTGGCTAATTTTTGTATTTTTAGTAGAAATGGGGTTTCACCATGTTGGTCAGGCTGGTCTCGAACTTCTGACCTCAGGTGATCTTCCCACCTTGGCCTCCCAAAGTGCTGGGATTACAGCCATGAGCCACCACGCCCAGCCTTCTTCTGTACCTATTCTTTCCCCAAGTCATGTCAGGCCCCAAAACTTAGGTACTGTTGAGTTTTGGGGCCTGACATGACTTAACATTGTCTATGTTAAATAGATGTTGTTGAATGTGGCCCACTGTCCAAATGTATCAAAATCTTTTGAGGTCCTGACTTGGTCATGACACACATTTATCTATTATCTCTCCTGATTTTAAGTCTCTCACACATTGTGTCAATGTGAGAGGGATGCCAGTGGGAATGGGAGCCACCACAGGACAGGACACACACAGAACTGTCTCCTCCTCAACGGCACCACCTCCTGGGGATTAGGATATTTAACTGGCTAGGACTCCAACCAAATGCACTATATACATCAGCTTCTATTTCTCCATTTCGTCTACAAAGCTCTCACAAGAGGCCTAGAACCTGGCAAACTTTTTGCAGAAATTCTCTTAGGAGCCCCATCTAAAAGGAAATGAAGTCAAGCCAAGACCAGATTTGTTCACGGCAGGCCTGTGTTGGCTTCCAGGGATCAATGCGTTCTTTTATGAAGACTGAGACGTCAGCCCAGAGTTAGCATCTGTCTACCTGTGGTGGATGCCTCCTCTGGAAGTTGAATCTGTGGGTACCAGTGTGTCCAGGATTCTGGCATCTGTTTCACTCTGTCACTGTTCACGAAATCAACAATAGTTTGGTAACCTCATCTGCATTTTTCTGCTAGTCCCTGGGTTGTAGTTACCTAGACTGGACACCCAAACTCCCAAACTTCTTCTATTTTTTTTTTTTTTTTTTTTTTTGAGACAGAGTCTTGCTGTGTTGCCCAGGCTAGAGTGCAGTGGCACAACCTCAGCTCACTGCAGCCTTTGTCTCCTGGGTTCAAGTGATTCTCCTGCCTCAGCCTCCCGAGTAGCTGGGATTACAGGCATGCACCACCACGCCTGGCTAATTTTTTGTATTTTTATTAGAGACGGGGTTTCACCATGTTGCCCAGGCTGGTCTTGAACTCATTAGCTCAAGCCATCTGCCCTCTTTGGCCTCCCAAAGTGCTGGGATTACAGGCGTGAGCCACCGTGCCCGGCCACACCCACGCTTCTTTAAGTGAATCAGATGGGCTTGCCCTGCCATTTCATCTTTCCTAGGTGCTCTTGTGCACTCTGATGAGACTTCCATCTGTCGCACTGGCCTGTACTGATCTGTCTATGTCTATTTTGACCTTAGTCTGTGAGCAACTAAACATGTCTTTCACAGTTTCCTCTTCTTTTTATTTCATTGCTTCACATAACTCCTGGAATATAATGAATGCTCAAAAGACACTGGTGAACTGAAATCAGCAATAATGGCCAACATCCATGGAGGGCTTATTATGTGACAGGAATTGTGCTACATGCTTTATACACAATCACATTTAATTCTCACAATAATACTATGAGGTAAATAGTATTATCCTTATCTCACAGGTGAGGCAGTTGAGGTGTAGAGAAGCTGGTTAATTGCCCAAAGTCATGCAGGGCGACAGAAACAAGATCCAAATCCAGGTAATTTGGCCCCAGGCCCTGAGTAAGTGTTAATGTTCATGAAATTCTGAGGGCAACAGGCTGTTAGTTCTTTCTGTTTTTCCTCTGACATAATGCTTTTTAAAAGTACTTTTTACCTACAAATTTTATGATTTGGATAAAACAGACCAATTCCTGGAAGGACACAAACTACCAAAATCCACACAAGGAGAAACAGGTGATCTGAATAGACTTACATCTGTTAAAGAAATTGAATTAATAATGAATAAACATCCAACAAAAAAAGAATTAGGCCCAGATGGTTTCACTGGTGAATTCTACCAAAAATTTACAGAAGAAATTATACCAACTCACCACAATCTCTTCCAGATAATAGGAGCAGAGGGAACACTTACTCATTCTTTGAGGCCAGCATTTGGCTGATACCAAAATAGCAAAACCAGAAAAAGACATTACAAGAAAGGAAAACTGTAGGTTAATACTTGTCATGAACATATATACAAAAATCCTCAACAAAATAGTAACAAATTGAGTTCAACAATGTATAAAAAGAATTATACACTGTGAACAAGTGGGATTTATTTCACATATGCAAGGCTGGCTCAACTTTCAAAAATCAATTAATATAATCCAGCACATCAACAGGCCAAAGAAGAAGAATCATATGATCCTACCAATTGATGCAAAGCAAGCATTTGATAAACTTCAACACCCATTTATGATAAAAACTAAAAAAGCTCTTAAAAAACTAGGAATGAAGGAACGTTTCTCACTTCCTTTTGTCTGTGTGTGGGGTTGGCGAGGATGCTTAAGATCTATTTCAATTTAACAATACAATACAGTATTATTAACAATAGGCAGCATGCTGCGCATTAGATCCCCTACTGGCATCACTATTTTTTTTTTTTTAAGAGACTACACGTGTGAATGAGCGTGGTGGCTCATGCCTGTAATCCCAGTGCCTTGGGAGGCTGAGGTGGGCGGATCACTTGAGGCCAGGGGTTTGAGACCAGCCTGGTCAACATGGTGAAACCCTGTCTCTACTAAAAATACAAAAATTAGCCAGGTGCGACAGCGCATGCCTGTAACCCCAGATATTTGGGGCTGGCTGAGGCATAAGAATTGCTTGAACCTGGGAAGTGAAGGTTGCAGTGAGTCAGGATCGTGCCACTGCATTCCAGGCTGGGCGACAGAGTGAGACTCTGTCTCAAAAAAGAAAAAGAAAAAGAAAAAAAAAAAAAGAGAGAGACTACAGGTGTGGTGTATACCACCACACCTGGCTAATTTTTTAATGTTTGGTGGAGATGAAGTCTCACTATGTTACCCAGGCTGGTCTTGTACTCCTGGCCTCAAGTGATCCTCCCACCTCAGTCTCCCAAAGTGTTGGGATTATAGGCATGAGCCACTGTACCTGGCTTTGGCCTCACTCTTACTGGAATGTTTGGCCAACTTCTGACGTTTATTCTTGACCATGAGAGCTATTTTTTCCCTTCTTGGGAGAATGCACTTTTCTAACTAGGGATCTATGGACAGATTTAAGCAGTCTTAGGGCAAAAAGATGGGAGGCTGATGGAGTGAGTAAAGCTATCCTGGGTTCCGATCCCAGCCTGCCTCTGCCTTCCCACTACTGACTCTTTCTGAGCTTCGGCTTCCTCAGTCAAAAAGTAAGAATGATACTATCTGTCTCATAGTTTAGTTTAGGGGATTAAATTAGATAAAATAACATAAATCCTAAGCCGTGTCTGGCACATGGTAGATAATGAAAGATCAGCCTCTCTTTCTACCTTTCCTCTGCTCACTGGTGTCTCCATCACCTTTGCCTTCTCTTCTACCTTGTCATTACTCAGTAGATGCAATTACAGATTTAACACAATTACAAATAAAATTAAAATATCAGCATGATTATTTGTAAATCTAGGCAAGCTAATTCCTAAATGTATATGGAAAGGCAAATAAACTAGAATAGCCAAAACGACTTTGAAAAAGAAAATTAAAGCTGGAGGAATCCCACTCTCTGACTTTAGGACTTGCTATAAAGTTAGAGTAATCAAGACAGTGTGATATTAGCAAAGGGATTTATATTGGCATATAGATGAATGAAACAGGTAGAGAGTCCAGAAATAGACTCACACATATGTGTTCGACTAATTTTTTGACAAAGATGCAAAGAATGGAGGAAATTCAGTGGAGGAAAGACAGCCTTCTCAACAAATGGCAAAGGAACAATTAGACATCCATAGGCCAAAAAAATGAACTTTGAACTAAACCTCCACCTTATATAAAAATTAACTCAAAACGGAGCATAGAACTGCATGTAAAACAAAAAACTATAAAACAAGGCTGGGACTAGGGTGAAAAAAGGAATGTACCTAGGATGCAAAATTTAAGGAGGCACTCACTTTAGTTATGCAAGTATGATCCTGAAAGTGAGAGGCTTTTTAAATTTTGTGCCCTAGGCACCTCCCTTATGTCACCCTAGTCCAGGTTTTGCTATACAGCTTTAAGAAGAAAACATAAGAGAACATCTTCACAGCCTGAGTTTAAACAAAGGGCTCTTAGCCATAACATAAAACCACAATTTATGAAAGAAAAAAATCAATAAATTGGACTTCTCAAGATTAAGAACTTTTGTCAAAGACACTGGTAAGAGAATTGAAAGACAAATTAACAAACTGGGAGAAAATATTTGCAAATCACATATTTGACCAAGGATTTGTATATGTAATAGACATATATTCTGGTACATTGTATACAGAATATGTAAAGAGCTCTCAAAACAGAACAATACAAAAAGAAACAATCTAATGAAAAAGTGGACAAAGGACTTGGTTATTTGCCAAAGAGTGCTATGGTCTGAATGTGTCCCCTGAAATTCATATGTTGAAAGTTATTCACCAATGTGATAATATTATGAGGCAGAGACTTTAGAAGGTCACTGAGTCATGGGAGTGGGATTAGGGCCCTTATGAAAGGGATTGAGGGAGTGGATTTGCCCCTTTCCATCTTTTCCACCATGTGAAGACACAGCGTTCATTCATAGGACACCATCTTGGAAGCAGAAAGCTGGCCTCATCAGACATCAAATCTGCTTCTTGATCATGGACTTCCCATCCTCCCAGAACTGTAAGAAATACATTTCTATTGTTTATACACTACCCAGTCTAAGGTATTTTGTTATAGAAGCACAAACAGACCAAGACACATTATATACAGATGGAAAATAAGTATATGGGAAGACGTTTAAAAGCATTAGCCATTAGGAAAATGCAAATTAAAACCATAATTAGGTATAGTGATACACCATAAAATGCAAATTAAAACCATAATTAGTGTATGGTGATACACCAATTAGAATACTAAAATAAAAAATACTGACAATACCAAGTGCTGATGAAAATGGGAGCAACTGGAACTCTCCTACATGGCTGATGAGAAAGGAAAATGGTACAGCCACTCTGAAAAACAGTTTGGCAATTTCATAGAAAGTTAAACCTACACTTACCACATGAGCCAGCAGACGCATTTCTACTTATTTACCTCAGAGAAATGAAAACGTATGTTTGCACAAAAACCTGTACACAGTATTCATAGCAACTTGCTTCATAATTGTCAAAAACAGCAAACAACCGAAATATCATTCCATGGATGAATGGATTTAAAAAAGCCCTGTGGTACATTTACACAATGGAATACTACTTATCTATCAAAAGGAATGAGCTGTTGATAGATGCAACAACTTGGATGATTCTCAGAGGCATGCTGAATGAAAGTAGTCAACCTTTTTATTTTTTTTAATTTAATTAATTAATTTATTTATTTATTTTTATTGATCATTCTTGGGTGTTTCTCGCAGAGGGGGATTTGGCAGGGTCATAGGACAATAGTGGAGGGAAGGTCAGCAGATAAACAAGTGAACAAAGGTCTCTGGTTTTCCTAGGCAGAGGGCCCTGCGGCCTTCCGCAGTGTTTGTGTCCCTGGGTACTTGAGATTAGGGAGTGGTGATGACTCTTAACGAGCATGCTGCCTTCAAGCATCTGTTTAACAAAGCACATCTTGCCCCGCCCTTAATCCATTTAACCCTGAGTGGACACAGCACATGTTTCAGAGAGCACAGGGTTGGGGGTAAGGTCACAGATCAACAGGATAAGAATTTTTCTTAGTACAGAGCAAAACGAAAAGTCTCCCATGTCTACCCCTTTCTACACAGACATGGCAACCATCCGATTTCTCAATCCTCTCCCCACCTTTCCCCCCTTTCTATTCCACAAAACTGCCATTGTCATCATGGCCCGTTCTCAATGAGTTGTTGGGTACACCTCCCAGACGGGGTGGTGGCCGGGCAGAGGGGCTCCTCACTTCCCAGTAGGGGCGGCCGGGCAGAGGTGCCCCTCACCTCCTGGACGGGGTGGCTGGCCAGGAGGGGGGCTGACCCCCCCACCTCCCTCCCGGACGGGGCGGCTGGCTGGGCGGGGGGCTGATTCCCCCACCTCCCTCCCGGACGGGGTGGCTGGCCGGGCAGAGGGGCTCCTCACTTCCCAGTAGAGGCGGCCGGGCAGAGGTGCCCCTCACCTCCCGGACGGGGCGGCTGGCCGGGCGGGGGGCTGACCCCCCCTCCACCTCCCTCCCGGATGGGGCGGCTGGCCGGGCAGAGGGGCTCCTCACTTCCCAGTAGGGGCGGCTGGGCAGAGGCGCCCCTCACCTCCCGGACGGGGCGGCTGGCCGGGTGGGGGGCTGACCCCCGCCACCTCCCTCCCAGACGGGGCGGCTGGCCGGGCAGGGGGCTGACCCCCCCACCTCCCTCCCGGACGGGGCGGCTGGCCTGGCGGGGGCTGACCCCCCCACCTCCCTCCCGGACGGGGCGGCTGGCGGGGCGGGAGGCTGAGCCCCCCGCCTCCCTCCCAGACGGGGCGGCTGGCCGGGCGGGGGGCTGACCCCCCACCTTCCTCCCGGACGGGGTGGCTGGCCTGGCGGGGGCTGACCCCCACCTCCCTCCCGGACGGGGTGGCTGCTGGGCGGAGACGCTTCTCACTTCCCAGACAGGGTGGCTGCCGGGCGGAGGGTCTCCTCACTTCTCAGACGGGGCGGCCGGGCAGAGACGCTCCTCACCTCCCGGATGGGGTCGGGCCGGGCAGAGGCGCTCCTCACATCCCAGATGGGGCGGCGGGGCAGAGGCGCTCCCCACATCTCAGACGATGGGCGGCCGGGCAGAGACGCTCCTCACTTCCTAGATGGGATGGCGGCCGGGAAGAGGCGCTCCTCACTTTCCAGACTGGACAGCCAGGCAGAGGGGCTCCTCACGTCCCAGACGATGGGCAGCCAGGCAGAGACGCTCCTCACTTCCCAGACGGGGTGGCGGCCAGGCAGAGGCTGCAATCTCGGCACTTTGGGAGGCCAAGGCAGGCGGCTGGGAGGTGGAGGTTGTAGCCAGCCGAGATCACGCCACTGCACTCCAGCCTGGGCACCATTGAGCACTGAGTGAACCAGACTCCGTCTGCAATCCTGGCACCTCGGGAGGCCGAGGCTGGCGGATCACTCGCGGTTAGGAGCTGGAGACCAGCCCAGCCAACACAGCGAAACCCCGTCTCCACCAAAAAAATATGAAAACCAGTCAGTCGTGGTGGCGCGCGCCTGCAATCGCAGGCACTCGGCAGGCTGAGGCAGGAGAATCAGGCAGGGAGGTTGCAGTGAGCCGAGATGGCAGCAGTACAGTCCAGCTTTGGCTCGGCATCAGAGGGAGACTGTGGAAAGAGAGGGAGAGGGAGGCCGTGGAAAGAGAGGGAGAGGGAGACAATGGGGAGAGGGAGAGGGACAGGGACAGGGACAGGGACAGTAGTCAACCTTTTAAAGAGATTATATATTGCAGGCCAGGCACAGTAGCTCACGCCTGTAATCCCAGCACTTTGGGAGTCCGAGTCAGGGGTATCATGAGGTCAAGAGACTGAGACCATCCTGGCCAACACGGTGAAACCCCATCTCTACTAAAAATACAAAAAATTATCTGGTTGTGGTGGTGTGTACCTGTAGTCCCAGCTACTTGGGAGGCTGAGGCAGGAGAATTGCTTGAACCCGGGAGGCGGAGGTTGCAGTGAGCTGAGATCGCACCACTGCACTCCAGCCTGGTGACAGAGCAAGACCCCATCTCAAACAAAAAAAAAAAAAAAAAAAAAAAGAGATTACATATTGCATGCTTCTTTTTGTATGACATTATTGAAAAGACAAACTAAAAGTCACAGGATCAGAGCACAGATTGGTGGTTGACATGGGTTTTGGGTGGGGAGAGGGTATGAGTACAGAAGGCTAGCATGAGGAGTTTTTTGCACTGCTTTTGTATTCTCATTATGGTGGTTACCTGAATCTATGTGTGTGTTAAAATTCATAGGCCTGTGCACTCAAAAAGTCAATTTTATTATTTGTTAATTTAAAAAATTATGCCTGCAGAAAAGTACACATAGCATTAGTATACAACTTGATGAATTTTTTCACACTGAACACATCCATGTAACCCACACCCAGATCAAAAGGGAGCATTATCAGAACATCAGAAATCTCCCTTGTGCCCTATTTCAACTACTATCCCCCTCAAGAGCAACCACTCTCTAGACTTCTAACAACATAGATTAGTTTTGTATGTTTTAGTACTTCACGCATTTCACATATTATCAAACACTTAATCACTTACTTAGAAGAAATCTAGGACATATTATTGCTGTAGTAATGACACCTTAATGAAAAAACCCTAATGGGAGAGAGGATCTGGGGGGATAATGAGTAAGAGTTCAAGGGCAATGGGATAGTTAATATTTGTCTTGCTGGGTGAAGAAAAGATCAGTATAAAGGTGGTCACTGCTGCTACAGAGAGAATGTTCTAGAGTCTGCCTTCATAGCCAGTGCCTGGGGTGGTCCTCAGCATTGCAGAGAATCATACAAATACTTGTTTACACTTAGTTCAGGGAAATTTGGAATCATGCTCCTAGGGGCCGTGTGTGGAAAATAGATTGTTTGAGCCCAAGACTCATCAGCCTTGGGCTCCTGACTTAGTATGCAGAGCTGGAGACACATCCAGCCACTTGCCTCCCTCTTCTTCTCATCCAGATTCCTCACTCTTATTCCATCCACTCGCCTCCCCATTCTTCTCATCCAGATTCCTTACTCTTATCCACAACATATGTTCCCTGGCTGTTTCCCGGCGTTCTCTGTTATCCCTGAAGGTCCAGAGGGTCTCCTGTCTTCTTGTATCTCTGATCCAGCCATTTGCTTGATAATCTTTCAGAGGATGGGAAAGCATCTCTTACAATGGCCCAAAGTGAAAGTGGCTGGAGATGAGCACGGGAGCGAACATGGGCAGAACAATCTGAAGTGAGACCTTCTTATAGCTATCAAAGATGGAGTCTGTACCTTGCCTTTTGAAAACAGGAAATGCACAGCATAGGCCTTTATTTCATATTATCTGCGTCTCCCATCACTTGTCCAAGTGTGTTTGCAACATTTATACTCTGTGGAAACATAACACTCAAACTCTTGGCTCTGAAATCAGCTATCAACACCCTGACACATTGCCTCTAAAGATGGTTATCTCATTTCATGGGCTCAGTTTCTCAGAGATAATACACGACAACTATTATTTCCATTCTGTTTTACCTTCCTTTTCTAGTTTCTTAAGGTGGAAGATTAGGTTTTTTATTTGGGATCCTCCTCCTCCTTCTCCTTCTTCTTTGACAAGATTTTACTCTGTCACCCAGGCTGGAGTGCAGGAATACAGTGACATGATCATAGTTCACTGCAGCCTCAAACTCCTGGGCTCAAGTAATCCTACCACCTCAGCATCCTAAGTAGCTGGGACAACAGGTGCATGCCACTGGGCCTGACTAATTTTTCCTTTTTTTTCCCACTTTGTTACCCAGGCTGGTCTCGAACTCCTAGCTTCAAGCAATCCTTCTGCTTCAGCCTCCCAAAGTGCTGGGATTACAGGCGTGGGCCACCACAGCCAGGCTTCTTTTTAAATATAGGTGTTACAACTACATATTTCCTTCTAAGCACTGCTTTCAGTACATCCCACAGGTTTTGCTATAATGTGTTTTTGTTTTTATTTATCTCATAGCATTTTCTAATTTCCCTTGTATTTCATTTTTTGCCCTTTGGTTATTTTGGAGTATGTTGTTTAATTACCACATATTTGTAAAGTTTCCCTTTTTGTCTGTTATTGATTTTAAATTTCATTCCATTGTGGGTATAGAACATACTTTGTTAGATTTTAATCCTTTTATTTTTATTTTTTGAGACAAGATCTTGCTCTGACACCCAGGCTGTAGTGCAGTGGTGTGATCTCAGCTCATTGCAACCTCTGCCTCCCAGGCTCAAGTGACCTTCCTACCTCAGCCTCCCGAGTAGACGGAACTACAGGCATGCACCACCATGCCCAGGTAAGTTTTCTATTTTTAGTATAGATGGTGTTTAACCATGTTGCCCAGGTTGGTCTCAAACTCCTGGGCTCAAGCAATCTGACCACCTTGGCCTCCCAAAGTTCTGGGATTACAGGCATGAGCCACTGTTTTAAGACTGGGTATTCTGTTGTTGTTGGGTGGAGTGTTATACAGATGGTTGTTAGGACTAATTTGTTAATAGTATTGTTGAAGTCTTCTCTTGTTGATCTTCTGCTTACGTTGTTTTGTTCACTGTTGAAGTGGGTATTGAAGTCTGTAACTGTTACTCTTTAGTTGTCCTTTCAATTCTGTCAGTGTTGCTTCATGTATTTTGGAGCTTTGTTGTTAGGTGAATATGTGTTTATAATTGTTATATCTTCCTGATGAATTGACCATTTCATCATTATAAAATGTCTTTTGTCTCTAGTAACCACCCTGCTCTCTTTTGGTTACTATTTGCCTGTTATATTTTCTTCCATCCTTTTACTTTGAACCTATTTGTGTCCTTGGAGGTAAAGTGTGTCTGTTATACACAGCATATAGTTAACTGATGCTTTTTTTTAAAAAAATACATTCTTCCAACCTTTGCCTTTTGATTGTTTAGTTCATTTAAATTTAGTGTAATTGCCAATAAGGTAGGATTTGCATCTGCCATTTTTCTATTCACTTCCTGTATATCTTATTTTTCCCTTGTCTTTCTCAGTTACTGTTTTATTTTGTGTTACATAAGGATCTTCTAGTATATGATTTGAATTCTCTTTTTGTTCCTTTTACTATATATATTTTAAGCTATTTTCTTAGTGGTTGCTCTGGAATTACACTTAACATCTTAATTTAGAAATAATCTAGTTTGAATTAATACCAACTTAATTGCAATAGCACATAAAATTTTGCTCCAGTATAGCTCTATTCCCTCCTATATGCTATTATTGTCATACAAATTACATCTTTATATATTTTAAGATCATCAGCACAGCGCTATAATTATCGTTTTAGGCAGTTGTCTTTTAAATTACATAAGAGAAGAAAAGAGTTACAAACAAAATGAAATGCATTCACATTTTTATATTTACTCATGTAGTTATCCTTACTGTTGCTCTTTATTTCTTTATATGGAGTTGAGTTACTCTCTAGTGTTCTTTCATTCATTCCAAGGACTCCTTTTAGTATTTGTTACAGAGCAATTTTGCTAGCAATGAAGTCTGTCACTTTTTTCTAGAAATATCTTACTCTCTCTTTTGTGTTTGAAGAATAGTTAGCTGGATATAAAATTCTTAGTTGACAATCTTTCTTTCAGCACTTTGTCATCCACTGCTCTGACCTACATTGTTTCTGTTGTGAAGTCAGCTGTTAATCTTATTGAGGAACCCTTGTACTTAATGAGCATAATGACTCAATTTTCTTTTGCTGTTTTCAAGAGTCTCTTTTTTGTTTGGCTTTGGAACGTATAATGATGATGTGTCTAAGTGTGGATCTCTGTTTTTACCCTACTTAGAGTTTGTTACATTTTTTGGATGTGCAGATTAATATTTTTTACAGAATTTGAGAAGTTTTCAGCCCAAATGTTTCTTCAAATATTCTATGATCCCCCTTCTCTTTCTCCTTTCCTCTTTGACTCTCATTATGCATTTGTTGGTATTCTTGATGGTGTCTCAAAGGTCTCTGAGGCTTTGTTCATTTTTCTTCATTCTTTTTTTTTCGTTTCCTCAGACTGAATACTCCCAATTGCCAAATTTTTATGTTGAGTAATTCTTTCTTCTGCCTGTTCAAATCTGCTGCTGAGTCCCTCTAGTGAATGTTTTTATTTCAGTTATTGTAATTTTGAACTCCAGAAATTCTCTGTCTTTTTTTTAAAACTTCCATGACTTTATTGATATTCTCTGTTGTTGTTTAATTACCACACGTTTGTAAGGTTTCCCATTTTTTTGTTATTGATTTTTAATTTTATTCCATTGTGGGCATACATACTTTGTTACATTTTAATCCTTTTAAATTTATTGTGGTTTGCTTTAAGACTAGGTATTCTGCTGTTGGGTGGAATGTTCTATAGATGCTTGTTAGGACTAATTTGTTAATAGTATTGTTGAGTCTTTTCTTGTTGAGCTTCTGCTTAAGTTATTTTATTCATTATTGAAGGAGGAAACATTTTTCTTAGGCTTTCTTTTAATTTTTGATACATGGTTTATTTCAATAATTCGAACATATTTATTACAGTTCTTTTTTCCTTTAGAGACAGAGTCTCACTCTCTTTCCCAGGCCAGTCTCAAACTCTTGAGACTTATTGTGTTCCTTTGGAGGTGTCATACTTCCTTGCTTTTCAATATTCCCTGTGTCCTTATGCTGATATCTGCACATCTGGGGTAATGGTCACTTCTACCAATTTTTGAATTTGCTTTCATAGGGGAGGACTTTTTCCTGAGGATGAATCTATGGTGTTAGTTGGGTAGGGCACTTTGGCTTTGATTCTGGATGTGTGCAGTAGTGTAGTCTCTGATTTTTTAGGCTGTAAATAGTATCAGTGGTACCTGTCATTTCCTCGGTGGCCTAGGGTGCAGTTGTTAGTGGGGGCTGTGGTGCAGTTTTTCTGGGGAGTGGGCCCTTGGGTATGCTAGTCTTTGGCCTCCAGTGGTGGCAGCAGTGGGCCGATTGTGCCTACTTTTTAAGCCTCAGGATGGCAAACATTGGCACTAGTGTTAGTGGGTTCAGGTGGGCCAATTTTTTTATTTTTTTTTTTGGTGAGGAGTCTTGCTCTGTCACCCAGGCTGAAGTGCAGTGGTGCGACCTTGACTCACCACAACTCCACCTTCTGGGTTCAAGCCATTCTCCTGCCTCAGCCTCCCAAGTAGCTGGGACTGCAGGCATGTGCCACCACGCCTGGCTAATTTTTGTATTTTTAATAGTGACACAGTTTCACTATATTGGCCAGGCTGGTCTCAAATTCCTGACCTCAAGTGATCTGCCTGCCTCGGCCTCCCAAAGTGCTGGGATTACAGGTGTGAGCCACCACGCCTGGCCTCAGGTGGGCCAATTATTGGGCCCCCACGTGGCCTACTCACATACCAGTAGTGGCAGCAGTGGACTGGGAAGTTCAGTGGGTCCTGAGCAGCCAGTGTGGCATGGGCAATGGCAGTAGAAGTAGGGATGACACTCTGGGTCCCAAACAATGTGTGCTGGTGTTGGTTACTGCAATGAGCTGGGCCAGTCTTCAGTCCTGCAGGTGGTGTCGGCAGGTATGCGCCAGCTGTGGTGGTAGCAGCTGGGTGGGTAGACTCAACTTCATGCCCCCAGGAGGAGCGTTCAGGTGCCAATAGTGTGGACTAGGCTGGGCAATTCCCTGGTCCCCAGACTGTGCTCTGGCACAGGTGGTAGGGTGAAGTCAGGCTGAGCAGGCTTGTCCACAGGCCTCTGATGGTGTGTATAGGTGCTGATATGATTATCAGGCCACCAGTGGAATGCTCAGGTTGGTGGTGGCATGGCTGTGCTGCTGCACTGTCACTGCGGGGTTGGCAGCACTGTCTTCAGTGGCAGCACCTAGGTGGGTGGGTGGGGAACTGTATGCCATTTGTGCCTCGGCAGCATGCTTGTTCACTCCTCAGCCCCAGGTGCAGTAGCCCGTGTTCGCTGGTTCTCGAGTCCTGGGAACAGCAGCCAGCACTTCGCTTGTGCCTCAGAGCCAGCTATGCAGGACTCCAGGATAGTGTGTAATCTGCTGGGGGCAGGGCTCTGAAATGGTGCCTCACTTGTGCCTCGGTCCTGAAAACAGTTGCCCATGCCTTTGTTATCCCTCTGCCCTGAGTGCAGTAGCCTGCGGTCAGTCATTCCTGGGGAGCAGCTGGAGCTTCACTTGCACCTCAGCCTTAGCACCACTGGGCTCCAGGACAGTTCACAGTCTCTCATCTACATTCTTTCTCGTGCATGGTCACTGAAGTCTCTGCTTGGTTATCTTGGCAGAGAGCTGATGACTGGAGAGAAATTTCTCTTTTTCTTTTTTTTTAGAGAAAGTGTTTTGCTCTGTCACCCAGATGAGAGTGCAAGGGCACAATCATAGCTCATTGCATCCACTGAGTCCTGGGCTCAGGTGATCTTCTCACCTCAGCCAGGACAGAGATTTCTTTAAATGTATGAAACAGTATCTCTCCCAGCCTTTGCCAAGAGACTCTGTGTGTATGTGTATGTATGCATGTATATTAGGGCATGCCTTCACTAGTTGGCAGGCAGTTTAAACTCTGCCTTAGCCTTTGCTTCTGGCTTATGGAGATCCTGAAATTCAGCCAGAGGTGAGAGATTAGGGCCTTTTGGGTCTTTCCTGGGTGTGTGCACAGTGCTGCACATGCAAATAGCCTTCTAGATTCCCAAGAATATGTCAGAGTGTTTCCAAGGCCCCCATGGACATCTCATCCCCCAGATTATTTTAAAGTTTTTTTTAGCCAAGCCAGGCATGGTGGTGTGTGCTTGTATTCCCAGCTACTTGGGAGGCTGAGGTGGGAGGATCACTTGAGCCTGGGAGATCAAGACTGCGGTGAACCATGATCACGCCACTATACTCCAACCTGGACAACAGAGTGAGACCTTGTCTCAAAGAAAAGAGTAAAGAAAAAAGTATTTTTTTGGCCAGCCCCTAGTGGTATTACTACCTGAGGAAGCTGTAATGTTAAACAACTTCCACTTTTTCTTAAACAAATGTCCGGGGAATGGGGCTATTTGAACAGAGTGAGCTGTGAGTTAGGCCATGCAGAGACAACTCTGAGAAGGGAGATTTTCAGGATGCTGCCAGGCAGGTCAAACAGTGACAATTCTCTAGGGATAGGCTTTTGCAGAACTCCAAACCCATCTGTCTCCTCCCGTGGCTGCTAGACTGATGATTTTCACAGCTATCATTGGTGTGAGGCTGTTAGTTTTCAAGGCTACTGAGGAGCTGAGGAGGAGATGAGAATAGGGCAAGTTAAAATACCACAAAACTCACTGTTCTTTCTGAGGTTCAGCCAGTTTTCTTGAATAAATGCCTTGCAGATAGTAGGACTCCTTTGGTTAATTTCCACAGTTCTTAAAAAGTTGTGGGTTTTTTTTGTTTTTTTGTTTTTGTTTTTGACAATTTTTGCTAGTGTTCTCATTGCTTTTATGGAAGTGTGGGTTTTTAGAAGTTCTTACTACACTATTTCAGAAGTGCTTCACAGCAGTTATTTAGTAGATGTGTGTGCGTGTGTGTGTGCACATGTGTGTGTGAGAGAGGCCTCAAGGTTGGGTGTGAGAATAGTTTTACTTGTAGATGAAGGCTATGATGGTAAGTGCAATTTGTAGAAAGTTTTCCCAGCCCATCTCACTATAAAAGTAGTAACTTCTCTGCTTGAATCTAAAATTCCACCCTTACAAGGCTATCTTTCTGGTGGGGATGGAGTGTGTGTATATGTAAATAACTGTGTTTGAATTCTTTTAAAAAATGCACATAACTTTGGGAGAGATGGAAGAGATAGGTGGAATTCATCAAATTCCTTCTTTTCTTAACCAGGAGGAAGCCCTGAATTCCAGTGTTAGAAGAGTAGGGGTTGGGGCTGGGGAGAAATAAGCATTAGAGAGGAGGGGGCAAAGTAAGAGGAAGGTGCTAAAGACGGGGATTTTCTATTTTCTAAATTTCCTGGAAAGGAAATGTGGGGTTGGGTGTGTTACACTAGCTAGCTAGTCAGACACGAGCGGAACAGGAGAGGGCTCCCCTACCCCCACATGCACCAGGAATGTCAGGTGACCATTAGGTGGCGGTCAGGCAGTTGTTAAGTTCTCTCTAAAATAATAATCGGTCATAGCCAGTGCCAGAGAAAGGCAGTCTCCCAATAGTTAGAAAAACCTGAAACTGGTGATCAGCAGCTTCCTAATAAGATCTCAGCAGTTGGGCGAGTGGGCTCAAGTATGTTCACTAAGAGGCAAAATGAAGCATCTGGCTGGTAAAGGAAGAGCACCTCGAGTGAGCATGTGTACAACTCCAGGGAACACACTGTGCATGTTCTCCTCTCCCAAGTGCTAACAGGCCACTGGGCATGAGGACAGCCCACCACAAGGGAAGAATCAGGGGAGAAGGGACGCAAGACCCCCGGGACTACGCCAACCTATAAAACCCCAAGTCAAAGCTCAAATTGTGCACTTGGTCTCTCAAGTCACCTGCTTTGCCCTCTTCCAAGTGTACTTTCCTTCCTTTCGTTCCTGCTGTAAAGCTTTTTAATAAACTTTCACTCCTGCTCTAAAACTTGCCTCGGTCTCTTCTGCTTTATGCCTCCTCAGTCATATTCTTTCTTCTGATGAGGCAAGAATTGAGGTTGCTGCAGACCTATACAGGTTCACCGCCTCTGACATACTTTGGTGCCACATGACCTGGATGCGTTCCTCTGCTAACAGGGGTTGTGTGTGTGTGTGTGTGTGTGTGTGTATGTGTGTGTGTATGTGTGTATGTGTGTGTATGTGTGTATGTTGTGTGTATGTGTGTGTATGTGTATGTGTGTGTATGTGTGTGTGTGTGTGTGTTTGTGTGTGTGTGTGTGTTGTTCGTGGTTAGGAAATCGGGAGGGGTGAGGACATAGAGGAGGCTATCTCTGGACTGGAAATAAGCAGGCAAGATGGCCCTATGCGGTGTCTCTTTGGTTGGGTCCTTCTATCTCTTGAGGAGTTCTCCTATGGCACGTCTAGCCAGAGATTCTATAGTTGTATTGAGACAGGATGGTTCCCTTGACCTTGACCCCCTTTGTGGGCAGGAACTGGAGTGGCTCATTTCACTCAGCCTGTAATCTGTGGATGGCTGAGTGTTAACAGCTCAGTGAAGGGTCAGGGTGACAGCCTCCTGCACCTGCCCTTCTTGACACCTGAGTTCTTGTTTGGTGTCCAGGAAGAATCAGGTCACGTGAACTATTTGAAGGGTAGTGTATGTGGAGAATTTTATTTGGCAATAAAAATGTCTCTTAGCGGGATGGGGAACTGGAAAGAGGATGGTGTGGGAAGAAAGTGATCTTTTCCTGAAGCTGCACCATCTCAAGTTAGCCGAGTCTATCCTTAGTCTCTGATGCTCAGCTGCATGTAACCCTGAAGTTCAGCAGCTTGTATCCCTGAGGCTCAGAAGCTTGTATCCCCAATCACTTGCATCAGCTGCCTCTTTTTGCTCCACCAGCTGACATCTTTCTATGGGCATAGAATAGGGGATGGGGTGGGCCAAAAAGGCAAGCACAGGATAAGGGGTGGGGTGGGTCAAAAAGGCAACAGGGTCAGCTGTTTTGACTTAGGGCTGAGGTTCTGGGCTTGAGGGTGGAGTTTAGCCAGGAGCCCAGCCCTTCTGTATCAGCGTCAGCTGTTTTCACTTAAGGCTAAGGTTCCAGGCTTGAGGGTAGAATTTAGCCAGGAGCCCAGCCGTTCTGTATCAGGGTCAGCTGTTTTCACTTAAGGCTGAGGTTCCAGGCTTGAGGGTGGAGTTTGGCCAGGAGCCCAGCCGTTCTGTATCAGGGTCAGCTGTTTTCACTTAAGGCTGAGGTTCCAGGCTTGAGGGTAGAGCTTAGCCAGGAGCTCAGCCGTTCTGTATCAGCATGAGTTAGAAACCTGCAAAATACAGCAACTTAAAGCCAACAGGTAAGGGCTTGGCATGTTTCTGAGTTTATTATTTATTTTTTGATAAGTATTTTCCCTATTTATATATGCATAATAAAACAAAAAACCAACTGAGTCCCACACCAAGGTGTGCCATCTTTGCTTTTTAACCTTTGGTGTTTCAACAAATGCCCTGATCCAAGAATTCCTTCCCAGCAAAGCCTTTCTCTCTGGCGCGGTTGTCAGAGGAAGGAAGCAGCCTCTTGCTCAGGTAGGTTCAGGTTGCTCATGGATCATTTTGATCACTGTCACCAGCATTGATAATGAAAGATAGACAGTTGTGTAGGCGACACAGGAAGCGTGCTGATAAATCCTCTTTCTTGAGAACTGATCAGGAGTTTTGCTGAGCCAGGAGTTTTTAACACCACAGACTATTTCTATGTAATGTGAGCCGAAATTCCCACTGATGATCTCAGGATCTATTTCAGCTGTCCCTTATTCCCATTAAGATTAATTTATAAGCTTACTATTTGTCACCAAGGCTAGTTTCTACTTCAGGCAAAATAGTGGCATAAGCATGTTTCCTGCAGTGCCTTAACCATTTAGTCTAAGTCCCCTTAAAACTCTAGACCTGCATGGATTGCATACTTCCTTCTCGGCCCTTGCCTACAAATTTACTCTCAAATTCTCCATTCATAACCAGAGGCAAATGCATAACAACGATTTATAGATTTTCCCAAGGATATTTTCAAATGAAGAGGGACAAAAAACGTAGTTAGCCGGGTGCGGCGGCTCATGCCTGTAATCCCAGCACTTTGGGAAGCCGAGGCGGGTGGATCACCTGAGATCAGGAGTTTGAGACCAGCTTGGCCAATGTGGTAAAACCCCATCTCTACTAAAAATACAAAAATTAGCTGGGCATGGTGGCACATGCTTGTAATCCCAGCTACTCAGGAGGCTGAGGCAGGAGAATTGCTTGAATCTGGGAGGTGGAGGTTGCAGCGAGCCGAGATCATGCCATTGCACTCCAGCCTAGGTGACGAGAGCGAAATTCCATCTCAAAAAAAAAAAAAAAGTAGTTGATGCTTTGATTCAAGAATAGTAGATTAGGGGCATCCCCTGGGCAAATCCCCATTGTTCTATAATGATTGTCTATTGAGCTATGAGGAGGAGGATTGGGAGGCCATGTCAAAGCCAGGGAGAGCCTGGCAGATTATTGATGCCTGCTGTGGGTTAGCAAGGAGTTACCTACTGTGGTATACACGACATATTACCAAGCCTGGTGTAGAGGCAAGATGCCTGCCCTGCAGTTCATAAGAATTAGCTTTTATTAGGCCCCTGCCACTGATTTATGGACTGGGTTACTGAGTTCAATGAAATGTGAATTAAATGAGAAGATGTATGAGAGAGCATTTAGCAGAGTACAGGATTAGAAAGCAGTTCTGTTTCTTCAGGCTGTGAACTCCCTGAGAATTTACAAACCTGTTGTATTCATCTTTGAATTTCAGCCCAGTGCCTGGCCCACAATAGGCCCTCTATAAATATTTGTTGAAGTAATGTATGCTGCCTATAAAGACCAGGTGAAGGAATGAATCCAGTGGTAGGATCTGAAGACTCACCTGAACAAACAGGAAGAATTTGGAGGTCATTGGAGCTTTTCTATAGGCTCTTGGAAGTTACCCTTGATGGGTTTTCTTCCAATTTTTAAAAATTTTAAACATTATTCTTAAAGTAAAGCAAACATGCAGAGAAGTACAGAAATCATAAGGGTACACAGCTCCATGAATTCTCACATACCCATAGAACCACAATCTATGTAAAACCAGAACAGCACCAGCACCCTAGAATGCTGGCATTGCCTCCTCCCATTATGAGCTCTTCTCTCCTCTCAAGGACACCCTCATCCTGATTTCTGATATTATGCATTAATTTTTTCCAGTATTTTGTGAGGTTCAACTATGTTGTTCCATGGCAATGTAACTTGTTCATTTTTTTAAAAATTATTGATTTGCTTCAATGGATAATTCTTTTTATACTTTAAGTTCTAGGTACATGTGCACAACGTGCAGGTTTGTTACATATGTATACATGTGCCATGTTGGTGTGCTGCACCCATTAACTCGTCATTTACATTAGGTATATCTCCTAATGCCATCCCCCCCCTCCCCCCACCCTACAACAGGCCCCGGTGTGTGATGATCCCCATCCTGTGTGCAAGTGTTCTCATTGTTCAATTCCCACCTATGAGTGAGAACATGCGGTGTTTGGTTTTCTGTCCTTGCAATAGTTAGTTCAGAATGAGGGTTTCCAGCTTCATCCATGTCCCTACAAAGGACATGAACTCATCCTTTTTTATGGCTGCAAAATATTCCATGGTGTATATGTGCCACATTTTCTTAATCCAGTCTATTATTGATGGACATTTGGGTTGGTTCCAAGTCTTTGCTATTGTGAATAGTGCCGCAAAAAACATATGTGTGTCTTTATAGCAGCATGATTTATAATCCTTTGGATATATACCCAGTAATGGGATGGCTGGGTCAAATGGTATTTCTAGTTCTAGATCCTTGAGGAATCATCACACTGTCTTCCACAATGGTTGAACTAGTTTACAGTGCCACCAACAGTGTTCCTATTTCTCCACATCCTCTCCAGCACCTGTTGTTTCCTGATTTTTTAATGATCGCCATTCTAACTGGTGTGAGATGGTATCTCATTGAGGTTTTGATTTGCATTTCTCTGATGGCCAGTGATGGTGAGCATGTTTTCATGTGTCTGTGGGCTGCATAAATGTCTTCTTTTGAGAAGTGTCTGTTCATATCCTTTGCCCACTTTTTGATGGGGTTGTTTGATTTTTTCTTGTAAATTTGTTTAAGTTCTTTGTAGATTCTGGATATTAGCCCTTTGTCAGATGGGTAGATTGTAAAAATTTTCTCCCATTCTGTAGGTTGCCTGTTCACTCTGATGGTAGTTTCTTTTACTGTGCAGAAGCTCTTTAGTTTAATTAGATCCCATTTGTCAATTTTGGCTTTTGTTGCCATTGCTTTTGGTGTTTTAGTCATGAAGTCCTTGCCCATGCCTATGTCCTGAATGGTATTGCCTAGGTTTTCTTCTAGGGTTTTTACTGATGCATCATCTTCCTGTGTAGGAATTTATTATAATTTGTTCATCTATTCCCCTGTTGATGAACATTTAAGTTTTTGCCAGTCTTTGGCTGTTACAAATAAAGTAGCTATAAACATTTTGATGCTTTTGACCCATATTTCTGTGGGATGTAAATGAAACCTTGGAGAGAAATTGTGAAGTTATAGGGTATGTTTAGGTTCAACCTTAGTAGATACCACCAAGAAGTTGCCCAATGTGGATGTGCCAATTGACACTCCCTCCAGCCATGTATGTGAGTCACAACTGCTCTGTAATGCCTGTCATTGTCAGTCCTTTTAGTTCTAGCCACTCTAGTGGATATGTAACAATATTTATTCTGATTTTAATGTGCATTTCCCTGATGACTAATGTGGATGAGCAGCATCTTTTCATATATTTAATGTCCATTTGGATATCCACTTTTTTTTTTTTAATTGAGACAGAGTCTTGCTCTGTTGCCCAGGCTGGAGTGCAGTAGCATGATCTCGGGCTCACTGCAACCTCCACCTCCTGGGTTCAAACGATTCTGCTGCCTCAGCCTCCTAAGTATCTGGGACTGCAGGTGTATGGCACCATGCCTGGCTAATTTTTGTATTTTTAGTATAGACAGAGTCAGAGTTTCACCATGTTGGCCAGGCTGGTCTCGAACTCCTGACCTCAAGTGATCCACCTGTCTTGGCCTCCCAAAGTGCTGGGATTACAGGTGTGAGCCACCGTGCCCAGCCTCTTTATTTATTTTGAGATAAGTTCTCACTCTGTCACCCAGATTGGAATGCAGTGGTGCAATCATAACTCACTGCAGCCTTAAACTCCTGGGCTCCGGGGATCCTCCCAGCTCAGCCTCTCGAGTAGCCAGGACTATGGGCATGTGACATTACAGATGGCTAATTAAAAAAAATTTTTTTGTAGGCATGGGGTCTCACTATGTTGTCCAGGCTGGTCTCAAACTCCTGGCCTCAAGCAATCCTCTTACCTCAGCCTCCCAAAATGTTGAGATTACAACTGTGAGCCACCACACCTGGCTCCTCCTCTTAGTTTCTAAGACAAAGGCTTACAGTTGGAATTATTACTTTTAATGAATATATGTTATTGATTGTACTTGTTAGAAGTTAACACATTCTGATTTGGTAACTAGAATTTGGGACTCCTATGGAAAACTTGTGGATATACATATCCACAAGTAAATATATATATATTTGATCAGAAAGATTAGTATTTAGAAGTGTACTTTTCATGTGTTATCCTTTCTCAAGGACAACTCGTACTTTTGGAATGGCCATCAAGCACTTCATATTGTGTGTTTTAGAAATATAGGTAAAACATTCTCCTGCCCAGCAAAGGCCCAAGTTTTGCACCAGTGCTGCCATTTGCCTTTTCTATCTATCACTTTGCTAGAGAGAAGTAAAATCCCATGCAGATTTTATTTATTTATTTTTTGAAATGGGGTCTCACTCTGTTGCCCAGGCTGGAGTGCAATAGTGCAATCATGGCTCAATGCAACCTCCGCCTCCCAGGCTCAAGCAATCCTCCCACCTCAGCCTCTTGAGTAGCTGGAATTACAGGTGCACCACGACACCCGGCAAATTTTTTGTGTTTTTGGTAGAAACGGGTTTTTGTCATGTTGCTCAGGCTTGTCTTGAACTCCTGAGTTCAAGCTGTCCTCCCACCTCAGCCTCACAAGTAGCTGGAATTACAGGCACGTGCCACCATGCCTGGCTAATTTTTGGGTTTTTGGTAGGGCTTGTTGCCCAGGCTTGTCTCAAACTCCTGAGCTCAAGCGATCTGCCCACCTCGGCCTCCCAAAGTGCTGGGATTAGAGGTGTGAGCCACCGTGCCTGGCCTGTGCAGATTTCATAACATTCAGTAGTGTGATAGAGCTCTGTAAGGGACAGCCCACCCAGAGGCCTTTGCCATTCTCATCTGGAATGCCTGGTTGGCACCCATTCCCTGTGCCTGGACTCTGCCTCTGGTCCTATGCCTTTGACCTGACCCTTTGGCTGGATTGTTTGTCCCTGGATGCTCTCTGCTGGTTCACTTTTAGTTGCTGGCTCTGTAGCTTGTGGGCTGATGATGTCCCCAACCCTGACCCCTATGCTCTGCCCAGTTCTCACAGTTCCAAAGCAATTAGTTCCACCTATGGTCCTTTGGGATTTATTCCCAGAATGTAAGCCTGATTCAGTATAAAAAATCTATCATTTTTTTCTGGAATCAAAAACTATTCTGTGGTGCATAGATTACGTGGTGAGCATGCTTAGCTATTTGATTCTAAAATTCATCATAGTTGATAACTAGGACAATGCTACAAAATCCTGATAGTTTAATAATACAGTGTAATGAAAAGAGGTGAAATCAAGGGCATTCCTTTGAGCATTTGCAGTAGAAGAGAGGACAAGTTCACCTTGGGCTAATTTGTGCATTCAGAAAAGTGACTGAGCACGCACTTTGCTCCTCTGATGAGGTGTCACACCTATATAGATGTTGTCTGGCTTGTGTCTATTAATTCTCATCTCAGCAGCAAATGGAATATGTGCAATGGACTAGTTTTTAATCGGTCTGTGACATTTGCATCTAAATAAATTGGCGTAATCTTGAAATAAATGACTGCAGTCAGTGTGGCTCACAGTTATATGAACGTCCTTTACTATTCACAGCCCATTCTTTGAGCATTGCTCAGATTACACATTACCCCCTGACGCACAAAAGGTCACGTGATGCTGTGATCATGTTTGCTGGTGACGTGGGTCCCACACTTCAGTTAATCACCAGGTTGAAGGTTGACTGCCATGGCAGCCCCAGAAAGCTGGAGCCCTCAGTGCTCACAAGGAAAAACTTCTGCCTGTTACCAACTCCTTTAGCTTTTCCCTGTAGTCATTTAATTAGATTTCATAAAATAAAGCTGCTTTCTCTTGTGCATTGTCAGCAAGAATAGAGTGTGCATAGACTGTCTTCTGAGTTCCTGATTTTATTTGGAAATCCATTAAGCTTAAAATTTCTAGATTTAAAAAAAATGAGTATCCTCTTATTTCATTAGTGTCTTTGAAAAGATTTATAACAAATATGTGAAGAGACATGCTGTCCTTTAAATAGGAGCACAAGGTTTGCTGAGCAAGGACATGAGCCCAAACAGTGGCACTATTTTTGAAAATGTGTGGTAGGAATGTACTATGTGTACCAAGTAAAATAAAATGACTCTGCTTATTATTTATTTATTTGAGACAGTCTCGCTCTGTCACCCAGGCTGGAGTGCAGTGGCATGATCTCAGCTCACTGCAACCTCTGCCTCCTGGGTTCAAGTAATTCTCATGCTTCAGCCTCCCGAGAAGTGGGACCACAGGCATGCACAACAACAGCCAGCTAATTTTTGTATTTTTAAATAGAGATGGGGCTTCACCATATTAGCCAGGCTGGTCTCAAACTCCTGACCTCAAGTGATCCACCTGCCTCGGCCTCCTAAAGTGCTGAGATTACAGGCGTGAGCCACCATGCCTGGCCAGCTTTGTTGATTTAAAATAGTAATTTGGATGGCTTTACTGTTAAAATAATTAGAAATAGCTACAAAAGGACTGCATATAGACTATTTAGTTAGAAACATAGTTAATATTTAGCATCACTTTTGTCTCTAGTGAGTCCTTCCTCTCCCTTCTTTCTCTCAGCCCCATAGGTTGTCACTCACCCTTGCCTGTACAGGAGACTCCACCACCCGCCTACTGAAGTAACCACTTCTCTACCTCCACCACAAACACCACCTCCCCTCTCTCACTGTTCCTTCCCCACTCCTCACCATCTCAGGAACTGGCAACCCTATTTACCTGGTTGTTTGGGATCCAAACCCAGGTGTCGTCTTGGACTCCTTTCTCTCAATCATACTCCATGGCCAGTGCGTCTGAATGACCTGTTTCCTCCATCTCCCCAACACCTCCCAAATTTGATCCCTTCAGCATTTCCGCTACCCATCCTTGCTTCCCTCCTTCACCCACACTGAGCCACAACGATCTTTAAAAAAATCTCATTTCAGTCACATCATTCTCTAGCTTCTCTATTGCAAGAAAACAAAACAAAACACCACATAAGCCCAGTCCACAACTCTGCAAGATTGGAGCCTATTTCCTTTCTAGCTCTGTTCTTGCTCCTGCTCTGGCAGTTGAGTTGGTTTTATTTCAGTTTCATGAACTAACTCCTACAAATCTAGCAATGCAATAGAAAAACCAGCAGTTGCTAGAGACTGAGTTTGTTGCTCCATGAAGCTTTAGCAGTGTCTTGGAGTGGGAAAGGCAAAGTTGGATTCTACTGGGAATCTGAAGTTTGGTTTAAGGCAGGTCTGTCAATGCAGGGGCTTGATGAAGATCGCATAAGAATCAGGAAATAATAGGATTTGGACTGGTGGAAACAGCAAGGCGAATATTTTGAGATAAATGTTTTAGGGCTTAAAGTGTTGGTGGTTTTATTAAAGTGTCGATGGATCTTTCCAGAAGTTTCAGTCATGAATAATCAAGATATTTGCCTGGGGAAGAGTGTGCTGGAGTAGTAAAGCGATGCCAAGGAGGACAGGGATAGTATAAAATCATGTTCCAACAGAGGAGGCTTTGTGTGTGTGTGTGATTATGTGGGGAGTCATTCCCATCTCAGGTACAAGCTGTGTGGGAAGGTAAATGGTTTCAATTCTTAGAACAATCAGTCCACAAAAAGGAAGTGCAAATGTCTCTGAAGTATATGAAAATACATTCATTTTGGCTCATGATAAGAAACATATTTGAGGCTGGCACAGTGGCTTATACCTGTAATCCTAGCACTTTGAGAGTCCGAGGCAGCCAGATTGCTTGAGCTCAGGAGTTCAAGACCAGCCTAGGCAACATGGCAAAACCCCGTCTCTACCAAAAATACAAAAAATTAGCTGGGTGTAGTGGTGCACATCTGTGGGATGTGTGGTCCCAGCTACTTAGTAGGCTGAGGTGGGAGGATCTCCTGAGCTTGGGAAGTCAAGGGTACTGTGAGCAAAGATCATGCCACTGCACTCCAGCCTGGGTGACAGAGCCCTTCTCTATCAAAAATACAAAAAATTAGCAGGGTATGGGGGCATGCACCTGTGGGACATGTGGTCCCAGTTACTTTGTAGGCTGAGGTGGGAGGATCTCCTGAGCTTGGGAAGTCGAGTGTACAGTGTGCCAAGATCATGCACTCCAGCCTGGGTGACAGAGTGAGACCCTGTCTCAAAAGAACAAAAACAAAAACAAAAAACAAAAAGAAATATGTTTGAAAACTACACTGAGATACTTTAGGCTTTGTATCCCCACCCAAATCTCATCTTGAATTGTAATCCTCATAGTCCCCATAATCTGCACATGTCAAGGGAGAGACCAGGTGGAAGTATGTGAGCCATGGGAGTGGTTCCCCCATGCTGTTCTCATGTTAGTGAGTGAGTTCTTACATAATCTAATTGTTTTATAAGGGGCTCTTCCTCTTTTGCTTGGCACTTCTTCCTGGCGCCTTGTGAAGAATGTGTCTTGCTTCCCCTTCGCCTTCTGCCATGATTGTAAGTTTCCCGAGGCCTCCCCAGCCATGCTGAACTGTGAGTCAATTAAACCTCTTTCCTTTATAAATTACCCAGTCTTGGGGAGTTATTTACAGCAGTATGAAAACAGACTAATACGACAGTTTTTCACCTATCAGATTTTCCAGTATGAAAAACTTTGATGAAACCTTATAATGGAGAGAACAGGGACTCCCACACATTAACTGGCAGGAATGTGAATTGGTAGAATGTCTAAGGAGGGCAATCTGGCACTATCTCTTGAAATTATAAATGCACATACCTGCTGTGCAGAATACAAATGATCACTTCTAGGCATTTATCTAATAAGTTGGCCAATATCTAAAGAAACTAGTGTCCTCTGGGATGCACTATGAGAGGTGATGCTGAAACGGATAGAAAGTTTTGAAGTTTGTCAATGATCTTTCTTATTGCCTTATGGAAGATATCTCTGTAGTAGGAAAATTAGCCCTTTGATTTTGAGAAAGTATGCACATGATTTTTCCTAGTGCTTTCATATAGCATATGGTGATTTTTGTCATGTGAAATTCTTTAATTTTATGTTGACACGTGTTTTGATCTTTCCTTTTTTAATGCCTTCTGGATATGTGTCACACTCCAATATTACAAAAATATTCTGCCTTGGTTTCTTCTTGCATTTTTAAGGCTTCGTTCTTTTGGGTTACCTTGACATATTTGATCCACTTGGAGTTTATTGAGGTATAAGTTGTGAGGTATGGATTCAATACTATTATTTTTCCATGTGATGACTCACTTATCTCAATACAACTCATTGAACAAACCTTCCAGCTCTTAGCATATTTTTCTCTGGACTCCTAGTCTGTTCCATAAATTTGTCTATTTAATGTGTCACACTATTTTAATTATTGTAGTTTTATATTATGTTTTAATATTGGTTAGTTCCACCCCATTTCCTTCTTGTTCAGGAGTTTCTTGGCTTTCTTAGGTTGCTTATTTTTCACATGAACTTTAGAATCAGCTTGCCCAATTCCATACTCTCCCTCACCAAATTCCACTGGTGATTGTATTTATTATGTTAAATGTACATATTAACTTAGAGGCATTTATATTTTATGATGTCACATCTTCCCATTCAAGTATATGATATGTCTTTACATTTGTCCAAGTTTATTTTGTGTCATTTGATTATATTTAAAAATTTTCTTCAATAGGTATTTCACATTCTTGTTATAATTATTACAAAATTTTTTGTTTCTGATGTAAGTGAGATTCCCCACCCCCCATCAACTAACTGCTATTATTTGCATATATGTGGGTTTTTGATTCTGTGTATTTATTTTGATATCTTATGGAATTTTCTTATTGTTTGTAGTATATTTTAAGTTGTATTCTCTAAGTATGATATTATATTGTTTGCATATAATAATTTTACTTCCTCTCCAATTAAATATTTATAAATTTGCTTTTGAATACTGGTTAGGTTTAATACCTCAAAAACAATATTAAATGATAATGATGATGGTATCATCTTATTATCAACTTTAATGGGATTCCTTTTTATATTTTTTCATTAAGCATGATGCTGACTTTTGGGTTGAGACAGAAGTGTTGCACTGTAAGGTAGCAGTTATCTTTTTTCATTTTATTATTTATCAAGAATGTATATTGAATTTTATTAAATGCATCTTCAACATTTATGAAGAAGGCCATAGTATTTTTCTTTTTAAATCTGTTAATATAGGTAAATAGGTTTTCTGATAATCATGCTTTTGTTCTGGAAATAAATCTTACTTGGTCATTATATATCAAGTTTTAAATAATTTGCTGGATTATTTTGCTAATTTTTTTTTTTTGAGATGGAGTCTTACTCTGTCTCCCAGGCTGGAGTGCAGTGGCATGATCTTGGCTCACTGAAACCTCCGCCTCCTGGGTTCAAGTGCTTCTCCTACCTCAGCCTCCCAAGTAGCTGAGATTACAGGTGCATGCCATGATACCCAGCTAATTTTTGATTTTTGGTAGAGACGGGGTTTTGGCATGTTGGCCAGGCTGGTCTCAAACTCCCGACCTCAGGTGATCTGCCTGCCTCGCTCTCCCAAAGTGCTGGGATTACAGGCATGAGCCACTGTGCGTCTGGCCTATTTTGCTTTTTTTTTTTTTTTTTTTTTTTTGAGATGGAGTCTTGCTCTGTCACCAAGGCTGGAATTTGATGGCGTGATCTTGGCTCACTGACACGGCTGCCTCCCCAGTGCAAGCGATACTCCTGGCTCAGCCTCCAGAGTAGCTGGGATTACAGTTGTGTGCCACCATGCCCGGCTAATTTTTTTTTGTATTTTTAGTAGAGATGGGGTTTTACCATTTTGGCCAGGCTGGTCTGGAACTCCTGACCTCAGGTGATCCACCCGCCTCAGCCTCCCAAAGTGCTGGGATTACAGGCAGGAGCCACTGCACCTGGCTGCATCAATTGTTTTTGTATGTGTCATATAGCTCTGTTGAGCTTTTGGTGTCAATGGTGTGTGACTGGGGTCACATGTCCATCTCTGAACCAATCTGTCACCAGAGGAATGCCCAGGTCTAGGTCATGTGGCTACTCCTGGACCTGGCAGTGGGGTCAGTTTCATGTGCAGCACATGGGCTGAGAGTTGGTTTCCCCATGGCAAAATGGGGCCCCAGCTATCCAAGAAGGAGAGATACTCACTAGATGGAGAAAACCACAGATGTCCCACCATAGGCAATTTGGTGATAATGTAGCTTGGATATTTCAGGCTTCATTTGTAGTAGAGACAGGAAGCTTCTTGGCTGATAACTGAGTGAGTCATCAGCACTGTTATCAACCCTCGACTGACAACTTCCAGACTTCTTTTATGTGGGAGAATAAACCCAAAATTTGTTTAAGCCATTAACACAAACACCTTCTATATGGAAATAAAAGCATAAAATATTGTGTCTGGAAAACCCAGAGACTGGATACTACTCTATTTTCAGATCCCAGAATAAATTCAGGTGCAAAGAAGAGGACTTAAATTGCATCTCTTTATTTGCGGGTCAGTTATGTGGATTTATTATATGATAAATCACCTCCAGCTTACTTGGGATTTAGCACCCATCTTCTTTCTGAAAGAATCTAAGTTTTCTGTAGCCATTGGCAAAATGGTCTCTCTATTTCCCTCTGGACCTTCAGTTGCCTATAGACAGTGACGTCATTCCTGCTACCCCTTTCTACATTTGGTTAACTTTTAAGGATACAAGAAAACACCCCTCCTCCCTGCAGAGGGTGGGACTGGATGCTGGATTAAAGCTGGCATCACCTTGAAAGAAAAAGTTGGCCATGTATAGAGAGAAGAGACACTGGATCCTATGTTCCAGTATAGGGAATTAAAAACAGTTATTGAGTTTAAAATAATTTTCATGTTATCAGGAATCAATGTGAAAATACCTGATTTCCACTTGGAAGTAGCTCAAGTGCTTTATGAAATATTTATATAGGGAAGATATGCTTCCTTGCTGTCTTTTTATTCAAGACCTCATTTAAACCTACTCTAGATCAAATCAATATTACAGTGATAATGTAAAATAAATTAAAACTGTTTTAAACAGCTGCTGGAACAATGGTTTAATTCAAATCAGAGCAAGTCTAGAGGGAAGAAAGTAAATGTGAACCTGTCTCAAACAGAATTTAAGAATTGTTCATTGATTATAGAATAAAATAATCTGAATATATATGCTAACACTTAAATGACTAATTTTAATAAAGATACTACTAATTAAAGGAATAAGATAATTACCTAGTGCTTGTGGCTATAATGTATGCAAATCATTTATTCTTCATGACGATTCTTCAAAGACACTTAAAACTCCCATGTACTTAGTATTTATATTTTTTACACTGCCTTTTTGGGTTGATTGATTGTTTTGTAGGAAATACTGGAAGTGGAGGAAAGGTACTATGGGAAGGTGGATAAAGCATAAACTGGTGATTTGGAGGCTTGGAGCCTCATTCTGGTTCTGCAGCTACTCAGCCTCGACAGCTATTAGCTTCCTCAGTGCATCCTCTTCCTCCTCAGAAAAGATCTTTGGAGAGTCCCTTCCGATTTTCACATCTTACACCGTCACAAATCAGGAGTAGTAGTTACCTTGCAGAGAGGCAAGTGAGCAAACTAACTAAAACTCTCAAGTGCCTCCCCACAATAAACCAAAACCCAGCAAGCACCGTGCATCATACCATATATTATTGATACATACAGACATATGATACATATGTCACATATGTGATGCACATCACACATACATACATGATGTACATCACACACAATACATACATCATCCATATTTATATGATATATACATCACACATATGTACATATATTCTATATGTATATCTATATTTGTCCCTATAGCTCATGTGCAATATCCACTAAGTATCAGACTTTACATTGAAGGATACATAGTATCTACTTAGTGTCAGACTCTGCACTGTAGGAGATTGATATATCAGATACAGAGTAGAGATTCAAACAAAGCGTGGCTCCTAAGCCAGACTCCTCCTTATGTTTGAGTCTTGGCCATGCCTCTTGCAAACTGAGTGACTTTAGACATTTTACTTCAGCTCATTTCACCTCAATTTTGTCCTTTAATTGGGCACCAGTCATACTTCCTACCTCATCATGCTGGCATTAGGATTAAATGAGATAATATGTAAAGAATACTCATATTAGTGTCTGGTACACTGTAAATACTCTACATCACCACTATCATCACCTAGAGCTCTATAAAATTGGGGTTTCTGTCTCCTCTCCATGTTATATGACATCTGAAGGTCAAAAAGAATAACTTGCCCAGTGTTGTCATGGGTCCTGATAGAACTGTTCTGGCCAAAGTAGGCTGGTGCTGTTCTTCATGGTAGAAAGCTGTCACTAGGCAATGTGTCCCTTCTCTCTATACGTGGCCAACTTTTTCTTTCAAGCTGACTCCAGCTTCAATCCAGCATCCAGTCCCACCCTCTGCAGGGAGGAGGGATGTTTTCTTGTATCCTTAAAGGTTAACTGGATGTGGGAAGGGGTAGCAGGAATGACGTCACTGTCTACAGGCAAATGAAGGTGCAGAGGGAAATAGAGAGACCATCTGCTGATGGCTGCAGAAAACTTAGATTCCTTTGGAAAGAAGGTGGGTGCTAAATCCCAGGTAAGTTGGAGGGGATTTATCATCTTATGATAAATAATTTAGTTTGGGTCTTAGTTCAAATCCTGGGAGATCAAGCTTGGTAACCTTTGCAATTTCTTCTAAATATAAGTTTCTAAGTCTGTGAATGATGACACGGTGCACCCAGGCTAGCATTCTCACAGGATGCCGTGGTGGACAGAGTATGAAAACCTCATCAGGAGTGGTGTTCTCATTGAGGCCAGTGGTTCCCAATTGGCTACCTGTGAACCTGCTGGCCTGGAAAGTTGATTTTCTCCATTTGTGACAAAATGCAAAAAATAAAGACAATTATATTTGCATTAGTTTGTAACATTTTTATAATAACCTATGGGTATAATGCAATTGAGGTGTAACTCTAAACTAGATCTGTGAAGAGAAATGAGTCCTGTAAATTGTTTTGAAATTCTTCCTTTCCACCAAATCCAGAAGCCTTAGAATTTCTAATGGGATCCAGCCTTCTACCTGGCAGAAATAGTACATGTGAGATCACTAGTCGTGCTGCCTGGCTCATTGGGAACAATCAGTCCTGCTCTGCCATTTACTAGTGTGTGGCCTCGAGTTATCTTACATCGTTGAGACTCAGTGGTTTAAAACTATAGTGGTTTATTTCTTATGTCATATGCCCATTGCAGGTTCCCATTGCTTCACATTGTCCTCTCTCAGAGACACAAGCTGGAGGAGCCCCCATTGCACCTCTTGGAATCTTGCCAGTTGTCACGCTAAGGAGAGGAGAACACAGTGGGACATGGGCAGGATTTTAAAAGTTTCCATCTGGAAGTGGGGCATACTATTCCCTGCACATTTTATGGCCATGGCCAATAATATGACCACATCTAACTTTAAGGAGGGCAGGAAGAGAAAGTCTTACGAAGAAGTAGCAGTAAGATCGAATGTACTATCATTCACCTCATATTCCATTTCATTTATTTTAGCTCAGCATTTTTACTGATTAAGATAAATTTACATGTTGATTCTGGTATGAATTTTATCAGCTGCCAAAAATTTCAACTCCATGGTTATTTCCCTAAAAACTTCTTGTAGCTTGATAGTGACCCCCCGATTGGTATGTTGTTAAACAGTTTTGAGTCCACTTAGCTGAATTTTCTCCATAAGGTGATCATGAGAAATGTTATCACTTTTTTTTTTTTTGCTAAAATCAAGATACATTATTGGTATATTTGGCCTTTGACTTGTCAATATAAGGACTCTATCAAAAAAGGAAATGAGGTGGGTCAGGATGAAGATTTGATATTCTGTAAGTTGGGAATAATATAAAATAAAAGCCTGGATTTTTAGCTTTCATTTAAACATAGAGGCAATATTATTTTAATCACTTTTGCTAATGTGACAGGGTAATACATTGGTTGGACTTTTTAGTTGAGTATTTGGGGGATCTTGCAGATGGTTGAAAAGCTGTCAGTAAAGTACCAGATCAGCTTTCGGAATCTACAGAAAAGACCCATTTCTCTGAGCGTGGTAACAGTAATAATAGTTAACACTTTCATGGCACTTAGTACATGGATGTTTTGGGACCAGGACATGCAAATCAATATGCTTTTTCCCCAGCATTAATCATGTTGCTCTGCCTATAAGCTAAGGTGCTGGAAGATTATAGTTTTCCTTTTTAGCCTGGAAAAAATGAAAGGATCTTGTATTGTCTCTGCCATAATATGCATTTTAAAGATTAAAGACTAAGAGAATACTTTTAGCAAGGAAAATTATCTGAAACATGCAGTAACCAGCATCCAGAAAATAAAACCACTTTTAATTATCCTATATTTCAAAATAATATGAAATACACAAACAAAGGGGTTGCTCAGGCAAAAGTACAATAAACTGAAATGTGATTTTAATTAACTCACAACCTTTTTACACTTCATCTTGCTTCATTTGTGTGTGTGTCTTGATGGAAGGCAATGAAGAGCACTATCCACTAGTCCAGGATTTAAGGTAAGAGAAGTTAGTTTCAGGAAAGAACGCAACTCCAGGGGCACAGAAACCACCTGAATGACGACACTAGTACCAGCAGAGGGTGCTGGCGTGGCACAAAATTAAGAATTTTCAAGAGGAAGAGGTCTTAGATTGAAAGACAGCAGGTGTGAGGAAAAATGTAATAACTCTATCCACTTGGAGGTCTGAATTCTCCGCTTGCAGATCTGTCTGGGGTTCAGTGATTTCCTGCAATGGCCACATGAATTTTAGGTATCTCCTGAAGCAGAAAAGTGTGACATTTGCTTCTGCGTTTGAACAGGACAGGGAGAAGCCGTGCAGTTTGCCTTCTGTTTCCACTGGAGGACTTTTAGCAATCCCTGGCGTCTGTGACACCTACAGCAGAAGTTCACATGGAGTCCTTACTTTAATTTTTTTAAAAAACAAAACAAGCTATTTTTGTGTTTACTAAAAAAAAAATTGGCCCAGACTGTCAATCCAGGGGAATCACATTTTCTTTTTTCATTTGGCCACCTTAAAAAGAAGGTAACAGGTACCTGGGAACCCACAGGTAATAGAGATTGTGAAAGGTCAGGTGGAGGAGACAAGGCTGGATGCGCTTTATTCAGCGGAGTGCAGCCTCCTTGGCGGTCGCAGCACCAGCCAGCCCAGCCAGGACGTGTAGAAGAGCCCGCCCCCCCCATCCCCTCCGAAGTAGGTCACAGCGAATGCTCCTTTTATGCAGAGTCCCCTGTTGCGATTCCTGCCGCTAGCAGCGCCTCTGCCAACCTGGGCTTTTGAACTGTTCTTTCGGGCGTTCTGGGCTGGGAGTCAATTGACCCACTGGATTCGAATCCAGACTTTCTGGGCCTCAGTTTCCCCCTAGGTTCAACGACAGGGGTGGACAGCCTTACACCAAGGCCTCTTCCCGGCCTCACACGGCGCGGCCAGACGTTCCTTAGTGGTGCGGCAAGGCCCCGCGCTCTGGAAAGGGCCGGCGAGAATGAGACAGCTGGGTCAGCACCAAGGACAAGGGCCCCGGGTCCGCCTGGCGGAGGCGAGGTCACTTCCAGGCGAACCCGGCTGCTGAGCAAGCGTCGGGCGCAGGGTTCCGTGGCCGGGCGGGAGGGCTTGGGGTGCCGGGAGAAGCGCTGTGGGAAGGGGAGCAGTCCCGGGGGATGAGGCAAGGCCGGGCCCCGCGGCGGTCTCGCAGATTCTGCGCCAAGAGGCCAAAGGTGGCTGCTGCGAGCGCGCCGCCCCTCCCTTGAGGCGCCCTGCCGCCTCCCGCGCCCTGCCCTGCCCGGGCCTTGGGGCGCACTCGGTGCTCCCGGCTCTGGAAGCCCCTCAAAGCCCCGCTTCCCTCACTCGTGGACCTCTCCAGCCCCTTTCCTGCCCCAGCGTCGCCTGGCTCCCTGTACCAGGGCTGCTTCTGGACACACCCGTGACTTCGACCCACTCCTGGGGGATGGGGTCCCGCATCGTCTTCCTGCAACCCCCATCCCAACTCCCTGCGGGGAAAGAGGCCCCACTCCCCGATGCTCCAGAGCCGGGGCCGCCAGGCGCCCCGCCCCCCGCTCGCCCCGCCCCGCCCCGCCCCGCAGGCCCCGCCCGCCGTTGCCCGGGGAACCGCGGATCCCGCAGCTGCAGGAGGCGCCCGGCCCGGCGGAGCAGCCCTAGCCGCCACCGTCGCTCTCGCAGCTCTCGTCGCCACTGCCACCGCCGCCGCCGTCACTGCGTCCTGGCTCCGGCTCCCGCGCCCTCCCGGCCGGCCATGCAGCCCCGCCGCGCCCAGGCGCCCGGTGCGCAGCTGCTGCCCGCGCTGGCCCTGCTGCTGCTGCTGCTCGGAGCGGGGCCCCGAGGCAGCTCCCTGGCCAACCCGGTGCCCGCCGCGCCCCTGTCTGCGCCCGGGCCGTGCGCCGCGCAGCCCTGCCGGAATGGGGGTGTGTGCACCTCGCGCCCTGAGCCGGACCCGCAGCACCCGGCCCCCGCCGGCGAGCCTGGCTACAGCTGCACCTGCCCCGCCGGGATCTCCGGCGCCAACTGCCAGGTGAGTGGAAGCGGCGGGCGCGGTGCGGGGCGCTGGTCCGGGACCAGCAGCCTCTTCCCGCCGGCCCTGCTGCTGCTGCCCGACAATGGGCACGCCTGACACAGGCTTTCCCACTTTGGGAAGAAGATGGATCCAGTCTCTTGGCCCGCGTGGACGCGGACCCCCGGGCCGACCCTGATTCCCTTACCCGCCCTGGTTCCCGGGCGGGGCCAGCCGGGCTCTCGGGGTGTGCCGCTCCGGGGCTCGGCACTTCTCGCGCGGGGCTCTAGACGCTCCGGTTGGCCACTGAGTGGCGCGCCCCTCCAGGCCGGGCCGAGCCAAGAACCACTTGAGCGGTGCCCGCCTTGGCAGCGCGGAGGAGCCGGCTCCGAGCGTCCCCGGCGAGGTGTTCAATGTCCAGGTGGTCCACGCTCCACGTCCGGCTGGACCCTGTGTGTGTAAAGGGTGTGCGGTGTGGGAGGCAGGTGATGGTGGGCCCCGTGCCAGGTGGTGGGGCACTTTCTCCTTCTCTTCCTACGCCCTTGAGGGCTGTGACAAAGCAGCCAGAGGACGAGGAGGGCAGCTGCCTCCCCTCGGCCTGCGACCAGCCCTCTCTAAGCTTAGGAGCAGTGTTGGAACAGTCGGAGGCATTCGAGGGGGCATTGTACGTGGCGCTGGCAGGGCCGCCCTTCCTGCCGGACGCTCCACGGGGCGCACGCTTGGGGCTGGCAGCCGGGGCGTGAGCAGGGCACCGGGAAGCCGCCAGAAAGCGTGGGGGCGGTGCGAGGGATGGGACGATGGGATGTAGCCAGCAGCCGCCCGTGAATTTGGGGTTTTCAGGAGAATTTGGCAGAAAATAATATCTGGGGCTTTTACAAGTCCGTTAAAGCTCTGTGAAACCTATTAACATCAACATTTCCAGTAGGCAATTTGGTAGGACTGTGTGTACGGGTAGAAAATCCCCAAACCTGTATTGCAGGGTAGGGCAAATAATGAAGTTATCTGAAATGATTACATTAAACCACATGAATATGGACGATATTTGGGATCAGATACTATCTTCCTTACATTTAGGGTGGAGGAGTTTGTTTCATATAAATTTGATAACAATGATTGGAGAGTTACTTTGAGAATGCTCAAATAGGTTCTTTCAATGGGGAAAAAGGCTGCCCTTTCATTATGACAGGTTTTACATTTTTTAGAGGTAAATGGGATTGAGAAACTTGACCTTGACAGCCAGATTTTTTTGCATTTATCTAGAATCTTTTTATTTCATTTAATAGCAAATTAGCAAACTGAATCTATCTTTTCAACACTGTGCTCTTCCTCTTTGTTTACTGGTTACAATAAGCTTTAGTTACTTGAAGGGAGGTGATGAGGAGGAGGAAGAATTTGTGTGATGTGAGCCTCAGGAGTAGATTTGGGACATGATAGCTTCTTGGGGGAAATGCCTGTTGGAGCCATTCTAACCATTAGAACAAAATCTTGCTTTTGCAAAAGTCAAAATAACTGCAAATCAAAAACCAAGGAATGCACTCACGCTAATTTTCCCTGTGGATTGATGATTTATATGACTTTTCCTGAAGAAATGAATTGTCTGAGTGTGTCCATCAAACTGCTGTTATATTCACACGTCTGAATTTTATCCTTCAAAGAAATAGTTGATTTGGACCTAGGGTTTAGTGGGAATGGATGGGAGAAGGTAGGTTAGAGTGCCCATCGATTTACATGAGAAGAAAGACTCACTGGGAATTTAACACAACTCTGAGATGGTTTTTGGTGACTCTAAAAACAGATATAAGACATCTTCAAGAAAAAGAGCTCTTTAGTGCCACCTAAAGATGACTAACAGCGAAACATAAATATTTTGATTTGTCCTAAGTAGTGACTTGATGTATAATATAATTCATTCCGAAGAGTCAGGAACTAATACATAACATTGCAGGACCAACTGGATCAAAACAGATTCAGATTTCTTTTGTAGCTCCCATTGGAGGTAGGCTTAGCTGTGTGAACACCATCCACCTGAGCAGAAGCAATACTGCATGCCCTGGTGTGTGAGTTGGAGAGAGCGGTGAAGTTACTGTAATCCTCATAGGAAAGCTTAGTGAACTTGGAACTTGATTGGACTTGGTTACCCAGAAAAACTTACTGAGATGATTCAGGGCCTTACAATCCATAAAAATGGATTCCTGATGATTTTAATTTAATCGTTCATGATCTCGCAGTAAGACTTGAGACTCATTTTTCATGGGAACAGCAAAGAACACAAAAGACAATTTCAGAAGAGAAGTTAAACCTGGGGTGGTGGGGAGGGGAGGGGAGAGAGGGAGAGAGAAACTACACATACTCAATTACAGATAAGGAAATTGGATCTTAGCCACTGCAGACTATGTGGTTGCTGAAATAGAACCTTGTGCTCACTGGATAAATTGGAAATGGAATTTTACCTGGATGTAAAGAGGATCTTTTAACAGAGCGTCACTCCTCCTTCTCCAAAGACAATAGTGTTAGCAATGGTAACATTAGAACCTAACCTTGAAGTTTCTTTCTGTGTGTGGGGAAATTTTGAGAAAATCATAAACTACGAATTAGGATTAAAATGGCTGTCTTTAGGCTTTTTTAAAAAAGGATGTCTTTAGCTTTTCTGTGGTTGGCTGATTGAGTTTGCGTAAGTCAATGGGGTCTAGGACATGCTTCTTTTGTCACCTGAGTCATGGAAACTCCTAGGATTTGGGAATTGTAGGTCGTGTGGGTTTGAAGTCAAGCTGAAGTTAAAACTACTGGGTCTTATTTCCTCATCTTCAACGATGGGATCTATGGGACCTACCTCATGAAGATAGTGATTCCATTCCTTGATGTCTGATTGCTGCTGACAGCTTTAAAGCCTCACCTCTCCCCTTCCTCTTTTCCTCCACATCAAAACAAGCTGATAAGAAAGCCCAGGGGTTCCCTCCTTTGGTGCTGGTGGGAGGTTCAAACCATGCAAACTCCTGCCCTGTGCTACTCCAGCCCCAACCCCAAAATGCAGCAAAACCCACAAGCCAGTCTCCTTTCCCTGTTCTCAGAAGCCATTTAAACCCATTTGGGAGCTGCCTGCTCTCCCCAGAGAGCCCCATTATGTCAGCAGTAAACCTTTTTGTATCCTGTGTGTGTGTGTGTGTGTGTGTGTGTGTGTGTGTGTGCGCGTGTATGCATGCCATTTTCAGTCTCAGGGTCCAAACCAAATTTTGAGTGGGTGTCCATCCTGTCTCTGTGGGATGTTCACACTAAGGTTCTGGGAAGGATTAAATTAATTAAGTGCTGTAAATCACTGAGCACCTGTGACATTTCTTTCTTTGTAAACTTTCTGCACATATTTCAAATGCTCATTACCTTAACTAGATCGAGCTAATCATCATCTCTTTTAGTCAAATGCAGAAAATGAAGCTCATTTTGATTGAGTGACTAATCCAAGGTCACATTTTGATACTGCCCTGAAAGTCCTCTAACACATGCAAACATCTTAAATCATGAGAAATTCAGCTGATTTTAAAACTGTATATGAAAATCTAATTTGTAGATATGTAATGATGATGATGATGGTAGCTTACCCTCCTTTTAAGCACTTGCCACGTGCCTGCACTGTTCCAAGGACTTTGCAGACATAACTTGCTGATCCTTGCAATGTCCTATGAGCTGGGTGCTGTCCCTACTCCCATTTTATAGATGAAGTACAGAAAAGTGAAGTGACTGTCCCAATGTCACACTGCTAGTAAGTGTGAGAACTGGAACTGGAATTTGAGCCAGCCAGGCTGGCTTGATACAGGGCTATAGAATCTAAAGAGTGCCTAGATGAAAATCCAGCCCTGGACCTGTCATAGTTACAATAGGGAGCAAGAGCTATAACCTCCTTGAGTTTTATCATTAAAAAGGGGATAAAGAAATTTCTGAGTCCAGTCTTGCTCTAAATGAGCTTGTATGAGTGTGCTCAGCTGGAATAAAAAGGCACAGAGGTGACAAAGACACAGATTCTCCTTATGCCACATGCTAACCAGGAACCTTCACCTTAGAGTTAGAATTCTGGGTCCTAGCTGAAGTTATTTTTACCATGATGGCAAGCAAATGGACACTACATAAAAAAAATGTTTCTGATAGGTTTGAAAAAACTTCAACTGATTAGAAATTGAGGCCGCTCTTGCTTGTTCTGGTTCATTTGGGGAAGCAGGCAGGTATCAGAGGTGGCAGTGGCTGGGCCAATTTTTCTTTTGTGGTGAGTGATACAGAAACTCCTTCTATTGGGCTGTCCGTCAAAGAAGGGGCTATTTACATTTGTATTACTTTGTTTGTAAAGCTTATTTTATTTTCATAAAATAATTATTTGCCTAATATTTAAGCAGTCAGATACCTGTTTGTTTTTTCGTTACATGTTCCCTAAGGATCCTATCCTTCAGGATTATAATAACAATGTGTTAATTTCTGCACTTGGAGTAAAAAGGGGACATGTGTGGCTGCTTTTCATGCAAGTTAAATTTACTTATTAAACTGATTTTATAATCCTTTCTTCTGATTAACCATGCTAACTTGAAACAGTGGTCTGCTTCAGAGGAACCTATTTTTGACTGAGGTTTGCTAACAAAGAATTCTAGTTCTTTGTACTACATCAGTCTTTGTTACTGGACTTTACACACAAACACACACACACACACAGACACACACAAACTCACATTGTAGTATGTACAAAATGTTGAATAGTAGCTGAGATGTAAAGAGACATTGCTTCTTTCTCTGGCTTTTCTATGAACTTCTTGTGACTTTGGGATAATTATTGAACATCCTTGAACCTCAATGTTCATATCTCTAACATGGACTAACAATGCTTATCTTGTTTTCTTTATAGAAATGATGTAACTCACAAATAAGAACATAGTAAAGTTCTTTTTAAAAGTGTAAAGAAGTATGCAAGAATGAAGTTTAAAACATTTTGAAAAAAGGTAACACGTTGCAAAAATAAAAGATATACTAAGAAAAGGATTGTAGTTTTCCCCATATAAAATGATTATATTAGTTTATTCAGTGTGTTTGATTGTCTTCCTTCAATGAACAGACACAGCTTTTTCTCTCTACTAGGATGAATTATGTTATGACATGTTTTGAAAATGAAAATTTAATTGTATTAAACTTTTTATAAATGTGTACTTTTTATTCTGAAATAAATGATTTCTTAGAAAATTCTCAGTGACTTGAAGTTTTCTTTTGAAATGAAAGAACAAAAACTTGTCGAAATTTTTGTAAGAATGTTAAGAAAAGCAGGAAACTTGATGTTTTCTTGGTGTTATTAAAGCAGAATGATTTGCCTGTTTCGTGCACTGCATTCTTGCTGCATTCTTAGGAGGCATCACTCTTCTCAGCTTGGCCACCTCACAAAAACGTGTTCCTGTCTTTAGCTTCTTTGCTTAAGCTTCTCATGTGACATGGTACCATCAAAAATGGTTTTGTTTATGCTCTCATTTGATAAGCATCAAACAAGAAAGAAAACCTAGTCTGAATTTGAAGGGTATTTGAGTCAGAAAGCTGAATGCCAGGGTTGTATTTTTAGATATCCTTATCAATTCAGTAGGCAGCTGTGGTCAGAGCTGCTTAACCCAGAGGCAGTGACTGCAGAATCCTGCCCCCACCAAACAGAAAACCCGACAATGTGGCAAAGGTTTGCAGACAGAATTTCTTTATATTTACCCCTTCCTCTGCTTCCCCACATTAGTGCTCAGCCCTGGCAGTGTATTAGACTGACCTGGCAGCTTGAACAAAAATGAGTGGGTCCTACGGTTCCCCTGTCCCCCAGATTCTGATTTAATTGGCCTAGGGTGGGGCCTGGCACTGGTACTTTTTAAGTGCTCCCCAGGTGATTCTACTGTATGACTAGGGTTGAGAAGCTCCTGCTAGACTCTTATCATCTTCCTTCATAGCCTGTTCAGTGTATAGCATGTGGCAGAGAAAAACGACAGTTGCACCTGCTTTGGTCACTCCTGCCTGAAGGGCAGCCAGGCTCACAGCCTGGAAACTCCTGGTCCACACCCTCCTCAAATGGTATAGATTTTGCATCTCAAAGTGAACTTAGAATGGAAAGAGTCCAAATGTGGGAGTCAGGCCTGGGTTAGAATCTGGCTCTGGGTGTCCTTGGGTAAGTGACTCCTTTCTCTGAGGCTTGGTTTTATCATCTGTGAAAATGGGATCCTGATGCCAACCTTGAAAGTTGCTATGGCTTAGAAGTGTCTAGCCCAGTGCCTGGCCCATCAGAGAGACACCAGATAAAAGGTGCTCACTTCTGTTAATTCCTCCTCTGTCCTTCTCACCCAGTGAGTGCAAAGAACAATAAGAAAACAGTGAAGAGAGCATGAGCTGGCAGTCTAGACTATTAGGGAATCACTCCTCATGTTTTATTTGAACACACTAACCTACCTTCAGTCAATAATCACCATGTGCATCTTAGAGCAGTTGTCTTTGAGAGGAAGAGCTCTCAGAATCTCTGCTCTCTTCTCCCCCAGTTGCATGGGAACCCAGCACTGGGGCTACATACAGTAGGCTCTACGTAATACTGTTGAATAAATGACAGGTTTAGTGGGGTGCAGCTGTGGGCACCAGGAGGGCACTGGGCCTTGTGGAGTAGATCCAGGGCATATGAGGAGGGATTGTGTTTAGGAGAAGGAAAGCACATGAAGACATTTAATCTGTTTAATCATTTCCCTTGTGCCAGGTCTGTTCTGGGAAGTGCAGAATATTTTTCAATAAATGCTTTGCAGTAGCTCTAGCTTTTAATATTTCTAATAAAGCTTTCTTTTAACAATACTTTTCTGTGGCCAGGTGCTGTGGTTCACGCCTATAATCCCAGCACTTTAGGAGACTGAGGCAGATGGATCACCTGAGGTCAAGAGTTCGAGGCCAGCCTGGCCAACATGGTGAAACCGCATCCCTACTGAAAATACAAAAAAAAAAAAAAAAAAAAAAAAAATTAGCCAGCCGTGGTGGCACATGCCTGTAGTCTCAGCTACTCAGGAGGCTGAGGCAGGAGAATCACTTGAATCCTGAAGGCAGAGGTTGCAGTGAGCCGAGATCGCATCACTGCACTCCAGCCTGGGCTGAAGCGAGACTCTGTCTCGGGGGAAAAAAAACACAAAACAAAAAAAATCACCTTTTCTGATGAACTAAATCAAGGGTGGCCAAAGCACAGTTCTCATCCCCATTCTTTCTACCAACTAAGAATGGTTTTAACATTTTTAAGTGGTCAAAAAAAAATCAAAACCAAACTAATATCTGGGCCGGGTGTGGCGGCTTACACCTGTAATCCCAGCCCTTTGGGAGGCCAAGGTGGGAGGATCGCTTGAGCCCAGGAATTCAAGAATAGCCTGGGCAACATACTGAAACCTTGCCTCTACATTAAAAAAAACTCACATTGCATGAAAGTTATATGAAATCCAGATTTCAGTGTCCAAGGATAAGGTTGTTTTGAGCACAGCCACATACGTTTGCGTAAGTGTTGTCTGTGGCTGCTTACATGTTCCAGTGGCAGAGGGGAGGAGTTGCAAGAGACAGCATGGCTCACAAAGCTGAAAATATTTCTTTATTTGTTGAGATGGAGTCTTGCTCTGTCACCCAGGCTGTAGTGCAGTGGTGTGATCTCGGCTCACTGCTGCCTCCACCTCTCATATTCAAGCGATTCTTGTGCCTCAGCCACCTGAGTAGCTGAAGTTATAGGTGTGTGCCACCACATTCGGCTAATTTTTTTTTTTTTTTTTGTATTTTTACTAGAGATGAGGTTTTGCTATGTTGGTCAGGCTAGTCTTGAACTCCTGTGCTCAAGTGATCCACCCATCTCAGCCTCCCAGTGTGTTGGAATTACAGGCATGAGCCACTGTGTCCGGCCCAAAAATACTTATTATATGGCCCTTGATAAAGGAAGAAGTTGGCTGACCCTCTCCTAAATATTTCCGTAAACATTGGTGGAAAGAGTTTATTTTTTCATTTTTATTTATTGGACTTGGCCCAAGGCTCCTCTCCCTTTTCCCTTTTCCTCTTGTTCTCTTCCATCCCTCTTGATGGCTACCTCTACCTAGGCTCCAGGTAGGGCCCTGGGACTGACAGAAAGAGTACAGTCATTGTCTTCAAATTGCTTAAATCTCTAGAGTCTTCCTGGATAGATCTGAACTTTTTCTTTTATATCAGCCCTTGGCCAACATGTCTGGACACCATAGTTAGAGTTTATTTCCAGGGAAGTATGTGAGGCAGGGAAAAGAAATGCTAACTGGAGGGGTTTGGGGTGTGGGTGAGCATCTTAACTGAGTTACTACAGGCTTATCAGCTTTCCTAAACCCCGTTTCCTCAATCATTGACAGGATGGTTGGAAAGATGAAAGTGAATAATAAGGTCTCTGGCACAGAACTGGCCCTCTATAAACACAAACTGCTATTTTGATAAAAGTGAATATGAGTCCCCATCTTATGGCTAAGGAAACCTACCTGGGGTCCTATAGCTTGGTGACAGAGTTGGGGATCTGAGCCCAGGCATGGTGGCTTTGAGTATGGGGTCATTACTCTTACTGTACTGCTGTGCCTCAGACTGCTCCATGGTTTGTGACTTTCAAAGTGAGCACCAGAGGGAAAAGGGAACCAGAGGGTTGCGGTTCCATTCTGGAAGTTTTAGTTTCTGTATGGAGGCTTTGGGTTTGTGTAATGTTAAGGTATTTCTTTCTTAAAGAGAAAAGAAAAGGCACGGGGCTTTTGAAAAACAGGATTTGAGAAATGAAATCACTGTACTTGAAAGAAAGGCGCTTGGAAATAGAAACGTGTCTGCTATCTTTTGCTCACAGTTCCTGAAAGCAAGCAGGTCCTTTAGAATTTCAACACTGGTACTTATCTGGTCCTTGTAGTTAATATAAAGGAGCATTTGTAATTACATTTTGGGTTTCGGAGGCAGATTAAAACTCCTTTATGGAAGACATTCTGTGGTGGAAGAAATCACAAGAGAAGAAAAGTATCTAGTCCTTCTTTTCCATGAGACGACTGAAGCGAAGAGTCTGTAGCAATGGGCTGATGGGGGCTGAGTGGAGGATGGCTGAATTACCATTACTCCTAGTATCCCACCGCGTTGAAGTCAGATTTCTGCACTATGTCATTTGGAGCAAAACCTTGTGGTTAATTTTCAAGCACAATAGAATGTATTAGAATAGGACAAAAAGTCAAATATGTCCGAGGTATATTACTTTAGAAAGGGAAAATGCAATACGGGAACAATGAAAAGAACACGAAAATCTTTAGCTTCCAATTGACTAGCTGTATTGCTTCTTCTACAAAGGATTCCCAGACCCTTTTCATTTCATAACTATTTTTAAAATTAAGATATAATTTACATACAGTAAAATTCACTCTTCTTGGCATTCATTTCTATGCATTTTGACACATAGGTGTGTAACACCACCGCAATCATCCCTATACATTTCCTCATGCCCCGTTGTAGTAAACCTCTCCCCGGCCCCAGTCCCTGGCAGCCACTGGTCTGATTTCCATCACTATAGTTTTGCATTTTTTCTAGAACGTCATACATGTGCATTTTCCACTGAACATAATGCTTTTGAGATACATCCATGTCGTTTCATGTATCAATTGTTTGTTTCTTATTATTGCTGAATAGTATCCATTGTATGGCTAGATGACAATTTGTCCTTTCACTAACTGATGACATTTGGTTTGTTTCCAGTGTCTGGTGATTATGAATAAAGCTTCTGTAAGTGTTCACATACAGGTCTTTAAGTGGACATGTTTTCATTTCTCTTGAGTAAATAACTAGGATTTCCTGGGATTGCTGGGTCATGTGGTAAGTGCGTGTTAAACTTTAGAAGATGCTGCCAAAGTGTTTTCCAGAAGAGGTGTACCATTGCATTCCCATCAGCAATAAATGAGGCTTCCAGTTGCTTGCATCCTTGTCAGTTCTTGGTATATCATTGGTGATTTAGGTTTTAGCTATTCTAATAAGCGTGCAGTGGTATCACATTTTGGTTTTAATTTGCATTTTTATAATGATTAATGGTGTTGAACATCTTTTCATATGCTATTTGCTATCCATGCCTCTTCTTTGATGAAATGTCTATTCAAATGAGTTCTGAGGTTGTTTTTCCATATTTCTGATTCAAATTCAAATCCCTTACTTGATATGCGATTTGCAAATATTTTCTCCCAATCTGTGGCTTCTCCTTTCCCTTTCTTTTTTTTTTTTTCTTTTTCTCTCTTTCTCTTTTCTTTCTTCATTTTTTTTGAGACAGGGTCTCACTCTGTCACCTAGGCTGGAATGCAGTGGTGCAAACTTGTGATCTCGGCTCCTTGCAACCTCCGCCTCCCAGGCTCAAGCAATCCTCCCACCTCAGCCTCCTGAGTAGCTGGGACTACAGGCATGTGCCACCACACTGAAGTAATTCTTATTTTTAATAGAGGTGGGGTTTCACCATGTTGCCCAGGCTGGTCTCAAATTCCTGGGCTCAAGAAATCTGCCCACCTTGGCCTCTCAAAGTGCTAGGACTACATGCATCAGCCACCGTGCCCAGCCCTTCCTTTTCTTAACAAGGTCTTTCAAAGGACAGGTTTTAGAGACCAATGAAGTCTGATTGGTCCATTTTTTCTTTTATGGTTTGTACTTTTTGTGTCCTATCTGAGAGATCTTTGCCTAACCCAAGGCCACAAAAATCCCCTCTTGTTTTCTCATGTATCATTTAAGGTTTGACATGAAGGTCTTTGACCCATTTTAAGATCGTCTCTTTCTATGTGGTGCAATGTATGGGTAGTTTTCGTTCTTTTTTTTTGCTTACAAATGTCTAATAGTTTCAGAAACATTTGTTGAAAAGACTGTCTATCTCCACTGAATTATTTTGGTACCTTTGTTTAAAATCATTTGACCAAGCATGTGTGGGTCTATTTCTGGACTCTTTATTTTATTACATTTATGTCTCTTTTTGCCAATTCTACACTATCTTGAGACTACTGTAGTTATAGTAAGTCCTAAAATCAGGTTGAGTCCTGTAAATATGTTCTCCCCCCTTCTCCCCACCACCTGCAAAATTATTTTGGTTACTCTAGAGCCTTTAGAACTTGCTTTTTAGAATACCACAGGTGAGGAGCTAGAGAAATGCAGTTCTCCCAGGCACATATTGAGATGACAAGAATCCTCCAAAACAGGGTAGAATTTTACACTGAGGTAGAACCAGGATTCTTTTTTTTTTTTTTTTTTTTGAGGCGGAGTCTCGCTGTGTCCCCCAGGCTGGAGTGCAGTGGCACGGTCTCAGCTCACTGCAAGCTCTACCTCCCGTGTTCACACCGTTCTCCTGCCTCAGCCTCCCGAGTAGCTGGGACTACAGGCGCCCGCCACCACGCCCGGCTAATTTTTTGTGTTTTTAATAGAGATGGGGTTTCACCGTGTTAGCCAGGGTGGTCTCGATCTCCTGACCTCGTGATCCGCCTGCCTCGGCCTCCCAAAGTGCTGGGATTACAGGCGTGAGCCACCGTGCCCGGCCAGAACCAGGATTCTTAACCTGGGATCTGTGGATGGTTTCAAGAGTGCGTGGACACTCACATACTCTTTTTTTAAAATCATCATCATCATTATTATTTTCGGTGACAGGGTCTTACTCTGTTGCCCAGGCTGAAGTGCAGTAATGTGATCATGGCTTACTGCAGCCTTAACCTCTATGGCTCAAGTGATCCTCCTGCCTCAGCCTCTCGAGTAGCTGGGACTATAGGCATGCACCACCACGCTTGGCTAATTTTTAAATATTTTTGTAGAGGCAAGGTTTCACCACATTGCCCAGGCTGTTCTCGACCTCCTGGGCTCAAGTGATCCTCCCGCCTTGACCTCCCAAAGTGCTGGGATTACAGGCGGGAGCCACTGTGCCCAGCCCATCATCATTTATTTATTTATTGCTAACAAGAATTCAAACCAAGTATGCAGTTTACCAGAACAGAGCAGGAAATCAAGGCATGACTGCCATCATCAAATCTTAATCTTCAGAGAACATTTCCATTATGCTGGCCTGAAGACACTCAGATTCTATCAGTTTTTCCTGGGTTCCATGGTTAAGCACTGCAGCTCCTTTCAAATTTTTCCTGAAGACATTATTTGGATCTTTCCAATAAGGCTTTTCTCCTACTTGGCAGTAGATGAATGCACATTCTTCCCGAACATGCTTCAGCCCGTCTCTACAACTGGTTTGGCCCGCATGCCATTGGGGCTATATCTGTTACCTCCAATGTCCTTGGAACTGGCAAAGAAGGCAAAAAAGGTCTTGTGATTTTGCTGTTTCATAGTCTGGTTGAACTCCTCAAAGTCCAACATGCTCACTTCCTCGTAGCTGGCCATCTGCACAGTGCCATGGACTGTGGGAGGAGTCCTTGGGTCCGACCATTGTGGGGTGGGGCTCACGTGGGACCCACATACCCTGGAGATGCCAAATTTTGTATGTAGATATTCTCCTGGGGAATGGCTCAAAAGTTTCAAAAGATTCTTTAAGACCTCACCTACCTGTAAAAGAACCACTGGAATGGAGGAAGAAGCAGCTGGTTGAATACATGGGACTTCTGAGCATGGACTAAGACATAGACCAGGAGCTAGCCAGGGACCTCGAAGTACCCCAAAGTAGGATGCCCAGGCAAAATACAGATGCACAGTTAAATTGGAATTTCAGATAAACAATGAGCATTTTTTGTATAAGTGTGTCCCAAATATTGTACATCATTTATCTGAAATTCAAATTTAACTGGGAAACTTGTATGTTTAATTAGCTAAATATGGCAACCTTACCCCAAAGGCCCAATTCCCAGCTTTTTTCTGAAAGGTTTGTCAATTGCACTTTAAATTCTTGTCAAATAATTGTAGAAGGTAAATTTTGCTAACTTGCATTTAAAATATGAAATCAGCTCATAGTTTTGCATCTTCATGGGTCCTTTTAAGGGTAGCCATCCAACTGCTAAGGCATTATAAACGCATGGAAATGTGTAAAAGACCTGTTGGTAACCTTCCCTTCCCTTTCTTCGGCCTCTCCTGCCAATATCATCCCTCTGCACTAATCACTGTTTCCATTTTGCTGTGTAGTTTTACATTTTCTTCTTGGTATGTATAAGCATATGTGAAGCCTATGTAAATACTTTTATATGCATGCAAACTATTTTATATAAAAGCTAACTCAACCTATACGTAATGTTCTGCAATGTTTTCCTTAATCTATTTTGAGCATCTTACCATATCTTTTTTTTTTTTTTTTGAGACGGAGTCTCGCTCTGTCGCCCAGGCTGGAGTGCAGTGGCTCCTGGGTTCAGGCGATTCTCCTGTCTCAGCCTCCCGAGTAGCTGGGACTACAGGTGTGTGCCACCATACCCGGCTAATTTTTTTTTTTTTGTATTTTTAGTAGAGATGGGGTTTCACCGTGTTAGCCAGGATAGTCTCGATCTCCTGACCTCATGATCTGCCCACCTCGGCCTCCCAAAGTGCTGGGATTACAGGCATGAGCCACCGTGCCTGGCCACCATATCTTAAAACAGAAAGCAAACCCATTATTTTCGATGGTTGACTAGTATGCCATTGTGTGACTGTTTACATATTCAGTCCTTACTAAAGCACATTATTTCCAGTTTTTAAATAATGTCACAAAAAATTAGCTGAGTGTGGTAGCACACACCTATAAACCCAGCTACTTGGGAAGCTGAGGCGGGAGAATTGCTTGAACCTGGGAGGCAGAGGTTGCAGTGAGCCGAGATCACACCACTGCACTCCAGCCTGGATGACAGAGTGAGATGCTGTCTCAAAAAAAAAAAAAAAATGTTGCACTGACCCCTATACACACACACACACACACACACACACACACACACATATATTGACATAAATGTATATACATTAAGCATTCTAATAAATACTGCTAAGTTGCCATCCAAAAAGGTTGGAGAATTTTGCAAATTTACTGACAGCATATGAGAATGCCTACTAGCCCCCATTTTTTTTGTGTTAACTGATAGGTAAAACATGATATTTAATTGGTTTAATTGCATTTAAAAAATTATGAATGAGGGAAGATTTTTTTTTTTTAATGAAATTGCCTGTTCCTATTTTTGTCTAATTTTCTTTTGGGTTGTACATTTTCCCCACATTGATTCGTAATGGCTTGTTGTTAATGAGGGAAATTAAATTCGCCCTTTGTCCTTTGTGTTGTAAATCTCTTTTTCCCTATGTATCATTTTTCATTTGACTTCGCTTATGCTCATTGTTTTGCTCTTTAGAAGCTTATAATTCTTGGTTCTTATTTAGCCAGATTCATTAATGGGGAAGCTGATCAATTTTAATTAGAAGTCTATGCTTTATACTGTTACCATACTGTATAATATGTTGAGAATGAGCAGATTCAAGCCAAGAATTTGCTTTTGAAAAATTCTATTTTGTCCAAGATTTGTATTGATAAGGTTGATTCTATTATTTCTTTAGAATGTACAATTAAAGCTGGACGTGGTGACTCATGCTTGTAATCCCAAGCACTTTGGGAAGGTGGGGTGGGTGGATCGCTTGAGCCTAGGAGTTCGAGACCAGCCTGGGCAACAAGGCAAAACCCTATCTCTACTAAAAATACAAAAATTAGCCGGTATGGCAGTGCATGCGTATAGTCCCAGCTACTTGGGAGGCTGAGGTGGGAGAATCGCTTGAACCCAGGAGGAGGAGTTTGCAGTGAGCTGAAATCCAGCCATTGCACTGCAGCCTAGGCGGCAGAGCAAGAGCTTGTCTCAAAAAAACAACAAAAAAAGTACAATTAAATTTAACTTCAATTTATGCCTATTTTAAGAAGGGTTGGCATAGATTTTCTAAGTCATATTTAAATATTTTTAATTTGTCTTGACTTTTTATTGAGGCTGGAACACTGCAACCATTTTATCAAGATTCTTTTTTTTAAGAACTACTCAGCACACTTTTAATAATTGTCGTGTGTTCCTTAGTATTTTGTTACAATCACCAAGTTAATTTTAATGGCATTATTGGATAATAGAGTATTTCTTAAAAGTTTTTGATGGTGTAATGGTCTGATTTCAAACAATGTTCTTCAACCAGGCTTGGGCAGAAAGGCTTGCACTAATATTCAGCAAAATGCAAATTTCCCTTATGCTTTACTCTCCATATTGTATTTTTAGCTCCTTTCCCCTTGAGAACAGCCTTATTTCTCCTGACGAGGGGTTTTTGTGACCCTCTATCTTCATTTTTACTCTTTAAAATTGGCCATTGGTTTTTTTGGTTGTGCAAAAGGGAATTCTTTTATTTCTGTAGAAAAGCCTCATAATGAGAGAGATAATAGGAAAAACAGAGAAATGAGAACTAATATTAGCATTTCTATGAGGCCCCAAATAAACCTTTAGCTGGAGAGAAGTAAATTCCATATTATTATTATTTTTTTATTTTACCAAGGGAGAGTAGGATGTGGGAGGGTGGAAATTTTGGAGCTGCACACTGACTAAAGGGGAAGTCACCTTTCTTTTTGTCTCCTAAGGAAAATAAATTGTTATCATTACGTTCAAACTTAACAGCGTGATGCCAAAAACCGATGCTGACACCTTTTTAAAAATCACAAGTCGATTTTATGCAAGGTTTTTCTTGCTTCCCTTGCTTTCCCCGGACCCTACAGATGTTTTATATGCTTAGAAGAGCACATAAATGCAAGTAGAGCCTGTGGGAATTTAGGCGAAGTCAAGAGCTTTTTCTCCTAACATAGATCTTTCCCGGTAGTATGTGAGTATGCTTGATTGTTTTCTTCTTTCTCCTGTATATTTGGAAAAATGATTGACTTGCAAATGTTGTGCAGGAAATGGAGACCAGCAGGGTACAAGGCTGTTGACAGAGGCCATTCAGTTGATCTCCTTGCCTCACTTTGCCCTTCCACATTTTTTTTCTTTTATTGTTTTCTTTTAGAGACACAGAGTCTCGCTCTGTCACCCAGGCTGGAGTGCAAGTGGTGGGAGTGCAATCACAGCCCACCGCAGCCTTGAACTCCTGGGCTCAAGTGTTCCTCCCACCTCAGTCTCCCGAGTAACTGGGACTACAGGCACATGCCACCATACTTGGCTAATTTATTTTTTATTTTTGTAGATACGGGGGTCCTTCTAGGTTGCCCAGGCCTCTATGTTGCTGGTCTTGAACTCCTGGTCCCAAGCAGTCCCCCTGCCTTGGCCTCCCAAAGTGTTAGGATTACAGGCGTGAACCAATGTGCCCAGCCCTGCTCTTCTACTTCTACATGCATGCCTTGAAAACTCCTTCCTCAGTTGGAGGCAGGTCTTCTTTCCTAGAAAAGGGAGTCTTTATTTCCTGTTAGGGCTCACCTGTACACCTGCTTCCTTCATGGGTTCTCCTGATGAAGGGCTGCTTGTCTCCTGGTGTAAACTCCTAATGAGAAACCTGGGAAGAAGCATGCTTCCTTGGAGAGTTCTTGTATTCTATTCTTAGGCCTCTGACCACAGTCCATTAGACTAGAAAGGAACATCAATGAAGTTTGTTCATATTGAAGTAGACAGTTAATAAAGAGTCTTGAAACGTCCTGTGGTGTCTCATCATCCCATATCTCCAATTCTCTGTATCATAAACCATCCCAGGTATATCTGTGGAATCTGTGTTGTCTTAAAACATTTTATTGAAGTAAAAGTCACATAATATGAAAGTAACCATTTTAAAGGGAACCTTTTAGTGGCATTTTGTATGTTCATAATCTAGTTCCAAAACATGTTTGCCATCCCAAAAGGAAACACTGTATCCATGAAGCAGTTGCTCCCCTTTCCTCCCTCCTCCCAGTCACTGGCAACCACCAATCTGCATTCTGTCTCCATGGATTTACTTATTCTCGATATTTCATAGAAATGGAGTAATCCATTATGTGACTGTTTGTGTCTGGCATCTTTCACTTAGTATAATGTTTTTGAGATTCATCCACGTTGCAGTATTTATCCATACTTCATTGCTTTTTTATGGCTGAATACTATTCCATTGTTCATATATATCACATTTTGTTTATCCAGTCATCTGTTGATGGACATTTGAATTGTTCCCACCCTTTAGCTATTGTGAATAGTGCTGCTATGAATGTGCTCGTACAAGTGTGTGTTTGAGTCTCAGTTTTTAATTCTTTTGGTTATATACTTCAGAGTGGAATGACTGGGTTATATGGTAATTCCATATTTAAATTTTTGAGGAACTACCAGATGGCTTTCCATCTGTGTTATCTTCTTACACAACCTGAGCCCCAGGATCCCCCCTGGATGGTTACTTGCAGCCTCTCCTTGCATTCCAGACTAATGTCTTGCTACTGTCGTTACCTGGGTGATAGCATCCCAGAAGCTCCATTCCAGCCGTGATCTGAGGTCTCAGCTCCCCAGGACACTCTGCTGGCTCAAATCCCTTGTCTCTTCATGTAAGGCCCAGCCTCCTGTACCTCCCTCCCAAGAAAGCCTGTGAATTGGGAAGCTTTGTTCTCTGGCTCAGCCTAGGCCATGAATGCTGCCCCTCCACTCCAGTAAGTTATGCCTTATGCTAACTCCTGTGGTCTGCTGAGCTCCTTTGGGAGAAGCAGAGAGCTTGCTGGGGCACTTGAGCCACTGGGAATAAGTGGCCCTAGATGTCATTGGTCCAATTGCCTCACTCCACTGAAGAGGAAACTGAGGCCAGAAAGTTGAAAAAATAATTATGCAAGGCCGTCCAGATTATAAGCAACAGCACAGGGTTTGAGAAAGGTCTTTGGTATTTGGTCAGTTTCCTCCTCCTAGGACCTGGCACCCCTCAGGCACATTTAATACATCATGCAGAGAAATACAGCCTCCCCGTCAATCATCGTGGGTTGTAATACTATCCCAGTCAACTTGTTTGTTAAGAAACTAGCTCATGTGGGTTGACCTAGAGCACTTATATTGCTGGTTTTTTAATGAGCTCAGTATAAATGAGAAATCTGAGTGGGCTGGGGGTGGGACCCCCTGTGCTTGATGAGCCAAAGCAGGGCTAAAAGACTGTAGATCACTTGTTGCTTAGCAACCACTGCCAGGAGACTTGGTTTTCATAACCCAAGCCTTGTTAATTTCCCAGGGATTAGGATTTGGGCAGTGAGGTTTAGTAATGAGGTTTAGAAAGGAGTGCAAACTGGGTGTTTTTTTGGCTCAGTTTGTCTCCTAATGCACAGATCTCTCCCACCCCCAGCAAACAAACAAACAAAGAAACAAATCTCCATCAGGGAGCAGTTCTGGCAACTCTGGACAGTTTGAGGCCCAGAGAAGCTCATAAACAATTTCATCCTCAGGTCAAGGGCTCAGCATGACCCTCAGCTTACTATTCATCCTCCGTTCCCAGAACTTGGGGTCTTCCAGGCCTGCCCTACTCCCAGTCTGACACTAACGAGTTCGGCTTTATGGAATACTGGGAAAGAGGTAGAGTTCTTTGTTTTTCAATGCAATTTGGGGAACTCACTCTACCACTGGTCATTTCTGAGTACTGATTACAACAGCAATGCATTTTATAGATGTTTAGAGTGGGAAGGGATTCTAGAAATTGTATTGGTCAGTTCACTAATTCTGCAGAAGAAAATGAAGGTGAAAGAGATGAATGTCCAAGTCAGGATTAGACTTTGCTGACTCTCCACCCAGGGCTGTCTCCACCAGAGCATTAATGCCCAGACATTGCAAACACTGAAGACCATCCTGTGGGGGAGGCATGGGTGGGGATTTATAATAAATATATTCTTATGGACATTCAGATTCAAGTTAAGTGTTCAGTTACTTACATGAAGGGTTACATGCTAGGTTCCTTTCCCTATATTATGTGTTTTAATCCTCACATTTCTTTGGAGGAGGCATTTCCCCTACTTGATAGATGATGAGACTGTGTATTAGTCCATTCTCATGCTGCTAATAAAGACATACCTGAGACTGGCTGATTTATAAAGGAAAGATGTTTAATTGACACACAGTTCAGCATGGCTGGGGAGGCCTCAGGAAATTTACAATCATGGTGAAAGGGGAAGCAAACATGTCCTCATTCACATGGTGGCATCAAGGAGAAGTACTGAGCAAAAGGGGGAAAAGCCCCTTATAAAACCATCAGATCTCATGGGAACCCATTCACTGTCATGAAAAGAGCAGCAGGGGGGGCCCTCCCGTAACATATGGGGATTATGGGAACTACAATGCAAGATGAGATTTGGGTGGGGGCCCAGCCAAACCATATCATTCTACCCCTAGCCCTTCCCAAATCTCATGTCCTCACATTCAAAACACAATCATGCCTTCCCAACAGTCCCCCAAAATCTTAACTAATTCCAGCTTTAACCCAAAAGTCCAAGTCCAAAGTCTCATCTGAGACAAGGCAAGTTCCTTCTGCCTATGAGCCTGTAAAATCAAAAGCAAGTTAGTTACTTCTTAGATACAATGGGGGTACAGGCATTGGGTAAATACACCTGTTCCAAATGAGAGAAATTGGCCAAAACAAAGGGGCTACAAGTCCCATCCAAGTCTAAAATCCAATAGGGCAATCATTAAACCTTAAAGTTCCAAAATGATCTCCTTTGACTCCAGGTCTCACATCCAGGTCATGCTGATGCAAGAGGTGGGCTTCCATGGCCTTGGGCCACTCTGACCCTGTGACTTTGCAGGGTATAGCCCCCTCTTCTGTCTGCTTTCACAGGCGGAAGTCATTGAGTCTCTGTGGTTTTTCCAGGCACGTGGTACAAGCTGTTAGTGGGTCTACCATTCTGGGGTCTGGAGGACAGTGGCTCTCTTCTCACAGCTCCACTAGGCAGCTCCCCAGTGGGGACTCTGTGCAGGGTCTCTGACCCCACATTTCCCTTCTGCACTGCCCTAGCAGAGGTTCTCCATGGGGGCTCTGCCCCTGCAGCAAACCTCTGCCTGGACATCCAGGCGTTTCCATGCACCCTCTGAAATGTAGGTGGAGGTTCCCAAACCTCAGTTCTTGACTTCTGTGCACCCACAGGCTCAACACCACATGTAAGCCACCAAGGCTTGGGGCTTGCACCCTCTAAAGCAATGGCCTGGGCTGTACATTTGCCCCTTTTAGCCATGGCTGGAGCTGAAGCAGGTGGGACACAAGGCACCATGTCCCAAGGCTGCAAAGAGTGGGGTGGCCCTGGATCTGGCCCACAAAACCATTTTCCCTCCTAGGCCTCCAGGCCTGTGATAGGAGGGGCTGCTGTGAAGGTCTCTGACATGCCCTGGAGACATTTTTCCCATTGTTTTCATGATTAACATTTGGCTCTTTGTTACTTATGCAAATTTCTGCAGCAGGCTTGAATGTCTCCCTAGAAAATGGGTTTTTCTTTTCTATTGCATCATCAGGCTGCAAATTTTGTAAACTCTTATGCTCTGCTTCATCTTGAACCCTTTGCTGCTTAGAAATTTCTTTCTCCAGATACCCTAAATCATCTCTCTCAGGTTCAAAGTTCCACAGATCTCTGGTCCAGGGGCAAAATGCTGCCAGTCTCTTTGCATAGCAAGAGTGACCTTTACTCTGGTTTCCAACAAGTTCCCCATCTCCTTCTGAGACCACCTCAGCCTGGACTTCATTGTCCATATCACTATTATCATTTTAGTCAAAGCCACTTAACAAGTCCCTAGGGAGTTCCAAACTTACCCACATTTTTCTTTCTTCTTCTGAGCCCTCCAAATGGTTCCGGATCCAAAGTTGCTTTCACATTTTTGGGTATCTTTACAGCAGCGTCCCACTCTCTGTGGTACCAGTTTACTCTATTAGTCTGTTCTCACACTGCTAATAAAGACATACCTGAGACTGAGTAATTTATAAAGGAAAGAGGTTTAATTAACTCAGTTTTGCAGGGCTGGGGAGGGCTCAGGAAACTTACAATCATGATGGAAGGGGAAGCAAATGCGTCCTTCTTCACATGGTGGCATCAAGGAGAAATGTCAAGCAGAAGGGGGAAAAGTCCCGTATAAAACCATCAGATCTTGTGAGAAGTCACTCACTATCATGAGAACAGCAGCATGGGGATAACTGCCCCCATGATTCAGTTACCTCCCACTGGGTCCCTCCCATGACATGTGGGGATTATGGGAACTACAGTTCAAGATAAGATTTGGGTGGGGACACAACCAAACCATATCAGACTGGAATGCACAGAGGTTCTTGGTGGCTTGCCCAAGACATATAGCAGTGCATTGAGATTGGAATCCTTTGTCTACAAATGCAGGGCTTTCTTAGATTTTTTATATTATAAAATATAAATTATATGTATTATATTACATATAGTTATTTCTTATAACAGCTATCTGCTCATCCTTATATAAGAAAAATACTTTATAAAAGATGCTGATCAAAGTTCTCAAATACATTCCATTCAGTTTAAAACTATGTGGAATGAATTGAAACAGTGGAATATTAACTGTAATCATTGCATCATTTTATTTTTTGGCAAGTAAGACATCTTAGATGTGCAGGCCATTGTTTTAAGATGAACCCCAAAACCATTTTTATTTACATCAGAAGCAATTTTTATGCATGGCTTAATGCTTTTGCCCAATATATTCAGAAGTAACTGCTCATTAAAAGTACAGTTTTATAGTTTAACTTACAGAAAATCTCTAAAGATAAAATGAGTTTCTGAAAATGGTAATCAACTTGCATAATCACTTGTGATATAAGATTCAGTCATTTGGTTAACCATAGCTGAAAGCCAATAGAAGTACTGATTTTAAGATGAGTGTAATATCTGTGTTTGAGTGAGTATGAATAAACCAGAAATGCAATGATGTGTTTGGGTTTTTATTAAGTAGATATACAGTATCTTAAATATGCATGCACTAAGCACTCCTGCAAGAACTTTAGCAATCAAGTGATATCTAATTTTGTCATCTTAGAGTTGAAAAAAATGGAAGCCAGAGAGGTTTGAAGACCAGGTCAGATCAGGGTTCTTCTACATTGTATGTATTAGTCAGGACCCTCTGGGTTGCAAGCAACAGAAGACTCAATTCAAATAACTTAAGCATCAAAGGCAGTCTGTAGGTTCATGTGGCTGAAAAGTGTAGGCACAGCAGTGTCTGGGAGCTCAACTTATATCACCTGGGCCATGAGTCTCTTCATTTCTTGGGTCCACTTTCCGTTTTATAGGCTTCATTCTCAGATTCTGAATAGTGACTTCTGACAGCTCCAGGTTCACACTATTCATATTGCCAGCAACCCTAGGGAAACAGAGAGCACCTATTTTCAGTTGATCAGGAAAGTCCTGAGATTAGTTCTGGTTGGACTGACTTGGGTCACGTGTGCATCTCTGAACCAGTCATTGTGGCTGAGGGGTTAGATTCTGCTGATTGGTCAGGCCTCAGTCATGTGTCCACCACTGGAAGTTTTTAAAGTTAGTGTTTGCATAATGCATCTTTTTTTTTTTAACCAATTGTTTTGCTTTCTGACTTTTTGTATACTTATATTTAAAGTGTCTCTTTAGCAAATAGCCTATAGATTTTGTATTTTATGCAGTTTCATAATATTTGTCTTTTAATGAGAAGATTTGGTTCCTTTATATTTGCTTGCCAATATAATTAAGTTTGTTTCTATCACATCACAGCCCTGGTTCACTCTTAATGGAAAACTATTATCCTTTGAGTTTCCAACCCTAAATATGGAGAGATTTATTAGGCTCCAATCTTTGAACGGGAAGCTCTGATAAATCTCACGTCTCAGAACACAGGAGCCTGATTAATCTCCCCTCATTTAGGACTAGAAACTCAAAGGATAGTAGTTTTCCATTAAGAGTGAACCAGAGCTGCGATGTGGTAGAAATAAACTCTGTTATATTGGCAAGTAAATATAAATGAACTAAATCTTCTCCTTAAAATACAAAGATCATCAAACTGCATAAAATACAAAATCTAACTATAGAGGGTTAGAGCTTAGAGTTCAGTGAAGCCACTGTTGTCTCTTCTCAATTTCTCAGGATTTTAGCAACTTCTTCTGGAAAATTCAGATACTCCTTGAGAAAAAGCTTTCCCAAATGCTGGACACCCTTCAAAGTACTTTAAACAACACTTATCCAGCTTTTTAGTTATTCTCAGCAGGATGGTTGGTCTGAATGACCAGGTCCAACTTTAGAGGAAACAAAAGACTCAAACTGATGATAAAAAAGTCTTGTAGCTTTACTGACACAGCATTAAAAATGAATAATGTATTTATTCTTAATAAGTGGGCAGTGATAAGGATGAACTTGGCCATTGCATAATGTTTAATATTGCAATGTAATAAGCAAAAATTGCAGTCAGCAATAAAATATTAGTTCCAAGATCTACAAACATGTATACACACAAACACAAACCCCATTACTCTGCTCTGTTTTTCCATAATGTTTGTCACTTTCTACCTCCTTTGTAACTTACTTTTTCATTGGGTCCATCATTTACAGTCTGTCTGTCTCTTGCTGGAACTTAATCTCCACAAGGGCAGAGATTTTTTTTTCCCACAGATATAAGCCCTTGAACTAGTGCCTGAATGTAGTTGATAACTTAATATTAGTGTTTGTTGAGTGAATGAATGAGTAGTCCCAGAGTGATGGAGCTGGAAGGGAGATTGGGTGCATTCGGTGTAGCAACTTCACTCAATTCAACAATAACGTTTTATCAAATGCTAGTTCCATTCAGATCCTGGCATTGGGCATAGCAAGGTGAATTAGATGTTTTCTCTGTGCACTGTTGTTACTAACTAGACGGGAAAACATGCTCAAGAAGGTTAAGTGACTTTTCCAAAGCTATCCAGATTGTAGAAGAGCAAAGATCTTGTCATTCTTTGAGACTCTAAAGTTGATCCCTGCAAGACATATTTTGCTTTATAGGCAAAAGAAGAAAAAACAGTCTGCCTCTCTCCATGAGTGGTTCTCAACCCAGGCCACATATTAGACCTCTAGGTGAGCTTTAAAATGCAAATCCCTGGGCCCTACTCACATATATTACATCAGAATCTTTGGGATTGGTGTCTCAGCAGAATATTAACAAAAGGAAACCCCCAAGTGGTTCTAAAGGGCAGCTACGCCTGCGGACTACTAGGGGTTGATCATTTGGAAGATTTACTCATGAATATTCTGAGACTACAGTGACCCACAGAAAGGAAATAATTGCAGCTTTCCAATATAATTACTCAAATTACACTTGCCAAAGGTTGATGCATGTAGGAATCCTGTGTTTGAACAGAAGAATGAACTTTGGAGTGGTACCAGCCTTGGGTGCTAGGTTGTTATGCTAGAGAGAGTTCTAGATGGGGCATCCAGAAGTCAGACTCTATAATAGCTCACAGCAAAACCCTGGGCAAACCACCTTTTTCGAAACTTAATTATGTCAGCTCTATGATGGAAGGCTGGCTTTCACATTCTCTGAGGTTGCTTTGAAGACTATGATTATCATAATGGTGGGAGTGCTTATGTTTTTTCCTTGCAGCCAGGGAGAGCCATTGGTGGTATCTGCCCCTCCCCACTCCCCAGCACCCCGTGATTAAAGGGAATGTGCCTGTGTGTGGATACACTTTCAGAATGCAGGAAGTGCCAAGGGATTTTCACACTGGTAGGTGGTGGTATTTCCCTTTCATCCAATCTGAGTTAAACATATTTTTTTTTCTGACTTGATGTCCTGCCAGGTTACATCTCCAGTGCTTTCTAGTATGCTGATGTGAATGCTCTCATCTCACTTCTTTTCTCTTGGCTAAAATAAATTGTGTGCAGAAACACATTTTAAAATGGTTTTAAACTTTGCATGTTTAAATGAATTTTAACAAGAGAAATATGTCTAAACTTTTGCATCATTAGGAAGTCATGGCTCTACCAAAGCCACCTGCTCAGCAGCTTTGGGAGAAATCAGCTAACTCCCTGTGTTCAAGAAGACACCTTTAACCCAGGACCAAGGAGGGGAGTGGCCATCAGGGTGGAAAAACAGGACTATAGGTACCATAGGCTAAACGTATAGGCATAAACTTGGATTATGGAGTTCATTTAATTTTAATTTTAAGTTCTGGGGTACATGTGCAGTGTGCAGGTTTGTTACATAGGTAAACATGTGCCATGGTGGTTTGCTGCACCTATCAGCCAATCCCCTAGGTATTAAGCCCAGTATGCGTTAGCTATTTTTCCTGAGGCTCTCCCTCCCCCAACTCCACTCCATGACAGGCCCCATTGTGTGTTGTTCCCCTCCCTGGTTCCATATGTTCTTATTTCTCAGCTCCCACTAATAAGCGAGAACATGCCGTGTTTGATTTTCTGTTCCTGTGTTAGTTTGCTCAGGATGACGGCTTCCAGCTCCATGTCCCTGTAAATGACATGATCTCATTCCTTTTTATGGCTGCATAGTATTCCATGGTGTGTATGTGCCACATTATCCAGTCTATCGTTGATGGGCATTTGGGCTGATTCCATGTCTTTGCTACCATGAATAGGTTTATTTTAAATATGTGCTCAAGTGACATACACTTTCCTGTGTCTCCCAGGAAGCAGTCTTATACATTAAATCTTCATATGTGCTTTTAAAGGTCCTAGTGTTAGAAACGTGGTATTTCATGAAGGGTTCACCCTGCTGCCTAGAGGGCCAAGATCTTGAAAAAATCAAGCCCATTATCTAGCGGCATCTTCCACAAACTACGGATGTGGGATCCCAGGAACCCAAAGATGGTTCCAAGAGGATGTATCTGGCCAATGCAAACCCAGACTTTTCTGCATTTCAGTCTTCAAGTTGATGCTGGGAAACCCCTCTTCCTCTCCATAAATTTCCGTAATTAAATTGGAGGAGTGTGGCTTGCTCAATGTTGCTGAGGCTGCAAAAATTCAAAGCTGCACAAATCCATGCGTCCGTCTGTTGATTGCTACAGAGAAGTCTGGGATAGGCAGGATTGAGTGCCAGAGTAGACATCCATGTGTTACTTGTGGGAAGTTTGAGTTTCAAGGTGACTTAGCACTGACTGTGTCCCTGTGGGCGGACCAGTCCTTTCCAGGAAGGTCCGTTTGGTGTATCCTGTCATGGGAGGAGCTCTTAACACCCCGATTGTACTTCTCTGGTGAAGTAGGTTAGGGAAAACTATTACTTAATCCCGTTTGATGAGAGATGAAAGGTTTCCAGCCAACCTGTTTGCTGATGTGGGTTTGCAATGGCAGTGGATTGGCATAGATTCTATGCCACAACGGAAACTTGCCAAACACTTGCTGGCCAACTTTAATTACCAGCCAGATCAAGGGGACAGGAAGAAAGGAATGAAATGGTGACAGTTAAGGTAGAGTTGACTGGGAATCCATCTGGACATCAGTATGACCCAAAGCAGTGCCAGTTATGTAAATATTGTGTGAAATTACTCTATTAGCCTTATGTCTAAATTTGGCAGCTACAGATATTAAAATGTTGTGACAGATAAGTAGTGTCAAATTTCATTAAAAATATACTTCTTGAAGTGAAATGGGCACCTCTATCAATTGGGGGTATGGAAATTTGTTCATTTTTCTGGAAAGCAATTAGACAACATGAATTAAGAACCTTAAATCTTTTGATTTCATAATATCCCTTTTTGGAGCTTGTCCTTAGAAAGAAGTTGGAAATTTGGGCCAGGTGTGGTTGCTCACGTCTGTAATCCCCCAGCACTTTGGGAGGCCGAGGTAGGTGGATCATTTGAGGTCAGGAGTTCGAGACCAGCCTGGCCAACATGATGAAACCCTATGTCTACTAAAAATACAAAAATTAGCTGGGTGTGGTGGTAGACGCCTGTAGTCCCAGCTACTCAGGAGGCTGAGGCAGAAGAATTGCTTGAACCCTGGAGGTGGAGGTTGCAGTGAACCGAGATCGTGCCACTACACTGCAGCCTGGGTGACAGAGCGAGACTCTGTCTCAAAAAAAAAAAAAAAAAAGAAGTTGGAAATTTGTATAAACAGAGATATTCATCAAAACATTATTTGTAATAGTCCAAAATGGGAAAACACCTAAATGTTTTCAAGTTAATAGGAGAATGTTTAAATAATGGCATAGCTCTATGACAGAGCTTAGCCACTGCAAAAGATGTTTTTAAAGACAATCTTGCATCTATGAAATTATATGAAAAGAAAAAAGAAGACACAAAATTGATCAGTGCTATAATCAAAATTATGTTAAGGTGCATAAAATAAAATTGGAAAGAAAGATACCCTAATCTTTGACAGAGTGACATTGAAAAGTCAAGTCTTGTACCTTTAAGTTATGTAAAGATTTTGGGATTTTGGCTTCATTTGCAGTTTTTCTGTACACATTGTGTTATGATGTGAAGGGAATTGATTGTAAGTCCACAAAAGACTCCTCTTCCCTAGCATGTTGGTTTGATGGGAATTTCTACAATTAAAGCCACCTGTTTGGCTTACGGTTTTAAGGACAGTCAGGAGGTTCGTGTCTGGACTGTTGGGATGGCAATATGGCATTCAGCCAACAGTCACTCCTCTATCAGCAGGATTTGTTTGTGAGCTGAGTGAGTGCTGGAGTCAGGCTGGAGTCAGCTCATGGAGGAGCAGCAGAAGACAGGCCTGGGTAGGGCTTCTTGCTAGATAGGTCAGAGATGGGGTGCGGTGGTCTCTGAGCCACCCTGAGGGAGGGCTGGAGTCAGGATGAGGTGTGAGCCCATAAAGTCTCTGGGGTTTGCCTCTGTTGGCTTGTTTGAATTTCTAGAATTTCTGCCTGCTCTAGCCCCCAGGCTAAGTCAGGTTGGCCAGAGCTGTGTCTTTCCTGGACCATTCCAGAGTCCACCATGCTGCAGCATCCCAGGACAGCCATGGTAATGATGGTGAAAGCTGACTCAGAACCTGGGTGCAGGTTGACTGGGTGGCAGTGGTGACAGCGGTGGTGACGGTGGTAGTGCGGGCTGGGAGTGGGGGCAAGGCTGTAGCTGTGCCAGATGAACAGTCAGTGGCACCATCCCATAGACATGGCCTCCATTCTGTGGGGAGTGCAAATGTGGGTGTATTTGCCTGACTAAATGTGACTTTGAGAGGCCCTGGCAAAGTATGAAAATAATATTTTCATAAGAACACAAATCCAGCTCCCTCTCCAATCTCTCCTTTACCCCAGCCCACTTTGTCCATCCCATTCTCAGAGGGGCACCCAGCACAAACATATGGGCTCTTTTCTGCCTCAGGCCCTTTGCACATCCTGTCACGAAAAACTCCCTCTTCTTTCAGCTCTACCCATGCATGGGTCACCCTCATCCTTCAGGTGCCCACTAAGCCTCCCCTCCTGAAGGAGCCCTCCTCCGATGCCTCACACTGACCTTAGCCCCTTGCTTGAGCCCTTCTCAGTTCTTGTAGTGACTTACATTGATGTGTTTACTCGTTTGCTATCTGTCCACACCGTGACAGGCACTTTGTCTAGTATGTTCCCAGTTGTTTGCTCTGTGCCTGGTATGGCACCTGGCATCTATAGTTGCTCAATGACCATTGTTGAATGAATAAAAAATAAATGAAGGAATGAGGAACATGCTAACTGACATTTGCAACCACTGAAATGGAAGAATGCTCATTGTAGGATGCATGCCATTTGCTGAATTCTCTACACAGGCCCGTTTATCCATTTCTCTTTAATGACGATAATAGTGATAGTGATGATGACAGCTAGCGTTTACTGAGCAGGGACTATAGGATGGGCACCACCTTTTACCTTTCGTAATTTAAATGCATTTTCCATTTAGTTTTCCCAGCAACATTATGAGCTCTGCTATGGAAGGAACAATGACTCTGCCATGTTAAACAGTGTTCTCATCATATTTTTATTCAAATTAGTAAATCTGGGTCATCCATTCAGTGATTGACTCCAACCACAAATTCAGAGTATGATAGAAATAAAAACGATGACTGATCCTGTGAAGTATTTATTCATTTGCATAGTTTTATTTAAAACAGAACAGTTTTAATAATTCTAAAACTTTTAAATAACTGTTGAATTGCAAACAGCATTATTTTGCTATGGACCCTTTATCCTTTATTCTCGTCAAAGCTGCAAGTTGCTAAGCAACCAAAGATCAGAGTCCTCTAAACTTGTTGTGTTATTATTATACGACCACAGTCCTGGTGGATGGAAAAAAATCAACAAAGATAAAAACATGCCTGAGAATGATTATAATAATTCAGTGATTATCCAGATTGCATTTTAGAGAATCGCATTTATTCCAAACCATATGCTCAGTCTCTTTATTTTTACTAGGTCATGAGATTAGCTTTCATCGAAATTATCTGTAACTACTGATTCTCATTATAATTCTTCAAAAAAGTAAATTATTTTAAATTAGTTTCATTTGGAAAACAGCCCATACTGCTTTCTAATTTTTGCTGTAAACTGTGGGGCATAAATAGGTGCTAATCATGAAGACCAGATTTGATAGGAATTTATACCGCAGATTATGGTAGAAAGTACAGCCAGGTCTGTCCACCTCCAAGAAAACTGCCCCCTCACTGGATGAGTGGTAAATTCCACTCACTCATAATACTTCTGTCACTCACTGGATGAGCGGTAAATTCAAGGTAAATTTCCAGCTCTAGAGGGGAAGACAGGAGCTCAGTTTGAGGTACGTAAAGTCTGAGGGGCCCAGCAGACATTTCGATGAGATGTTTGGCACTTAGTTGGAGGTGTTCCTCTGGAGCTCAGCAGAGACATCTCCAGAGGGAAATGGAAAGAGAAAGGATGGGAGTGGGTGCAATTGTCCAGGGTGAGCATGTATAGTGAGAAGAGAAGGAAAAACAAATATTTGAAATCCGGGTAGAGGAGGAAGAGCCGATGAAGAGGGGGATGGGGTGGAATGGTGGGTGCTCGGGAGAGAATTCAGACATTTAAATCTGTTCCCCTAGCTCCTCCTATCATCAATTTCATGCTCATCCTTTAAAGTTCAGCTCAGCCATCACCTCCTATTGGAAGCCCTGCCTGACACTGTGCCTTTCCTTAGCCCCAACACACACACACACACACACACACACACACACACACACACACTCTCTCTCTCTCTCTCTCTCTCTCACATACACAGACACACACACAAACACACACACACACACACACACTCTGGTAGGTACTATCTCCTGTTCTCAGCAGCATCTGGAAAATGGTTACCATTGCACTTTTCAGACTGTTGAAAGGGTTTCAGTATCAGCTCTCCCACAAGACCAGCCTTAGGTGTCTTATTCATCTCTCCCCAGCCCCTAACACAGTGCTCTGCACAGGAGAGGAGGAAGGCAAATGTTTGCCCATGAAGGCAACCTCCTCCCACTTGTAAATGTTGCCCTTGTCCCTGCTGTACAGCCCCCATGATGCCCTAGCCCCCAGCCCCCAGCCCCCATCCCTACTTTGGCTCCTGGGGAAAATCTCTGCACAAAGTCAAGAGATGCATTTCTGGCACCCTATGGCCATTGAGGTATGTTATTAAATATGTGTAAAGTACTTAGTATGAGTGCCTGGCCACATGTGCTGGTATCATCGCCATCATGATCATTATTGTCACCATCATCATCATCACCACCATCATCATCATCGTCACCATCATCATTGTCATCATCATCAGGAATTAGGCTTTTCTGAACTGACCTGATAACCCAATTATTTTGTTTTCTTTCCTTTCTTGTTCTTTCCTTTTTTTCTTCAGGAAAATGTGCTTTGATTTCTAAACAAATTTTAAAACCAGCCTATTTGTAAACTGGGAAAAATGTGGACTTCTTTACTGTGCATTTTCTTTGACATTCACAATTTATGGACTTCATGATTTCTTGGTGAATGCTGAATAACTATTGATAAGAGCTCTAGTTGGTGGGGAGGCAGCAACGTGTCAAGGTTAAGAATATCCTCTTTGGAATTCAGACTTCAGAACGACTTGCAGTGTCATGATCTTCGACAAATTACGAAATCTGCTGAGCCTTGGTTTCCTCATCCATAAAATGGGGTAACAATATATATCTAAGAGGGGGGTAGGGGCATGAGACTTACATAAGTTATGTGTAAAAACCACCAACTGGACTGCCTACTGCATAGAAGGTATTCAGTTGATGGAGTTATTGTCATCAGTGTGGATTTTTATTAATTTGTTTACCTGTGGCAAAAGTCAAACTTTATGCTATTAAATTATAATTAATATGTTAAATAATTAACTATCTTACAAAATAAATTTGTTTTCCTAGTTTTCCTGGAAATTTTTGTCCATCTTTACAGTTGTATAGTTCAATCTTGTTGAAAGCAATAACCCTTGCTGATAACCAGTCTTGACTTCTTGCTGTGGTTCTCACTGTCACTCTCTCATTCCTTTATCTTTTCTTTTTTTTCTCTTTGAGACAGACTCTTGCTCTGTCCCCCAGGCTGGAGTGCAATGGCACGATCTTGGCTCACTGCAACCTCTGCCTCCTGGGTTCAAGTGATTCTCCTGCCTCAGCCTCCTGAGTAGCTCAAATAACAGGCCCCCACCACCACGCCCGGCTAATTTTTGTATTTTTAGTAGAAAAGGGGTTTCACCATGTTGGCCAGGCTGGTTTCAAACTCCTGACCTCAGGTGATCTGCCGGCCTCGACCTCCCAAAGTGCTGGGATTACAGACATGAGCCACTGCACCTGGCCCTTTATCTTTTCTATCCTGGTATGTGATTATGAGATGAAGTAACCAGTTTAACTTTTAAGATGCCATTTGCTTAGCTGATTATATCAGTAAGAAGAAATAAGAAGCAGGATCAGTGGGCTCTTTGTGAGTATTTTGAAAACCTCAGTGAAATATTTAGCTACAGTTTGAGAAGCAAACTTACTAGGCAAATGAAAGTTACCCTTAGTTATACTAATCAGAAAATATTGAGTCTTCTGAAGTTCTTAGGAGCTGAATACATATTCATCAAATTTTAATTAAAACATTCTATGTACAAGGTTTCTTAGGAAGTTTCAGCCTATCGTCTGCTGAATTTTATACTGGAGTTTGGGAGAGATTGTGGGCTAAATTTGTGAACTAGTTTTCACATGTGTCCTCACCTGTTCAAATGTCATTATGCTTCTAAATGGAGTGCAGCCTTCAGCGGTGGCCTTCAGGCTCAAAATTGTTGGAATTCTCTCCTGCCTTCTTGGGTGCCATCTCCCCATATGCCCTCTTGCTTACATTTCAAATGATTTCTATTCATTTGATTCAAACCTTTAATATGGTTTTCTCTGAAATACGTGCAGAGGATCTGGCAATCTGTTGTGCCTGCTTCTAGTTCTTGAGATGACATTTACTAAATTAAAAAATACATAATTATGTTTTTATAAATTTATAAACATGTTATACGATACATTTGTGTGTGTGTGTGTGTGTGTGTGTGTGTGTGTGTGTGTTTTAGGCAGAGGTATACAATTCCTTAACCTATTAAATGAACTCCACTGAATTTGAATGAGATTTTGGGGTGAGGATTCACAAACTTTGAAAGAATAGTATTTCCTAGAGAAATACTATTGTTAAGTTGTTTTCATTCTCCTCGAGTGCCCCCTTGAGCGGTGTTGTGTGGCTGCCCACGACTCAGGGACTGAGGTGGGTGACTATAGCAAAGGATATGGAATTTACTTGAAGAATGACTGAAAAAATGTTGGTGTTTTTTGGTGGTGTGGGTGACAAGGGGGGAATTTATTATTAAATGAAACTATTTTGTGAGTTTGGATGTGTTTTCTAGGAGGGACAAACTCCTTATTTTGAGCATAATTGGCTTAAAGGAGTAACACCATGTCTGACAAGTAGATGGTTACCTGGGAGCCAATGGTTCTTTTCTGGTTATTATTAATTTCCAGGTGCATCCAGTCCACCATTATGCTATTTTGGTGCCAGGGATGGAATGTTTGAGATCCAGGACTTAAGTGTTAGAACCTTGGGGTGGTCTATTGTTTCTCAAGCATTCCATGTCCTTTTCTAGCTCAGCTTCTTCTTATATAAGTGGTGTTCTGGAGCCAGATTATACTAGTCTTGTACCTGCTGGTTGTGAAATTTCCAGGAATTTTGCAGGCCATATGATATCATGTTGGTATTGGCCATACTGGGAGTGTTTACACAATGAAAATTGGCAGAGTCTACAAATCAGAGCTTCCTCAGAGAGCTGGTTGTTAAACTTTTATCAGCATACCCCATATATGCCTCTCCTTTGGAGACCCCATCTGTTGTGGTTTTACGTTGTTTGCAATTCCTTGATTAACTTCCTCTCCACTCCCATCTCCTGCCAAAGCTAGCCTCTTCATGAAAGCAGACTTCATCAGTATCCATAATTACTATAGCAGTGCCTAGAACATAGTAGGACTTAAAAAAGTATCAGTTGATTGAATATATACCTGTCTTTTGGAACTGTTCTCTATATGGTTTTCAAATTTAGATACTTGTTGAAAGAGAATTATGTGATCATTACTTTTAGGAGAAATTACATTGCTGAGAAAGGTAACCTGTATGAAAAGGCAATCATTAGTTTTGTCAAACAGCTTACAAAGTAAGTGGATGTTCTGATTCTTTGATTTTGCATGACCAACACATAGCACTGCTTAAAAGGGCATGAAGAGCTTGCTTGCCTGCTTTTGTGAGGGAAATTCCAGGCTCTAGCCTGCCATTGGACATTCCAGTGTTGAGACCAAATTGCTGGCCCATCAGATTCTGCACTTGTGTGATACCTGCACTTCAAGGAATGATAAAATTAGTGACTCCACAGGCATCTGGGGGGCAGTGGTTCTTCTCTGGTTATTATTAATTACCAGGTACTTCCAGTCTACTGGTAGGAACATAAGAATCACCAATAAGAATGAGATCCATGGTCCAATTAAGAGTTGGCCAATGGGAGCCCCAAAGAATACACCTTGGAGGGAAACCTTTTTCCCTGATGCAGCTTTACAGGTTAGGTCTTTCTGAGAAGCCATCCGTGACTCAGTGGCATATTGATGTGTCCATACTCCTTCTGCGTCACCTTTTATTCCATACCCGGGACCATATGTTGAGATGAATGAGTTTTGTACCATTATTCCTCTGTGGATGATTGCCTTCCTTTTATTTGTCTTATACTTTGAGTTGTAGAGGGTGTGCCTTATTCCAGTATTTTAGGATTTGGTAAATGAATTCAGAATTACTACTTCATGATTGTGTGGGCTTGAATTAGATACCTTCTGGTACTTTGCAGTTGGGAGAGACCCAACTTTTATAGCCTTTTTCAAATGAGTCAGGTTGCTTTTACTGCATGTAATTATATGCACTTACACACCATGTCCCTCTTGATTAGAAGTGAGTCACTCCACTTTCTCATGTGAGAAAGCTTGGGCTGACTGTGCTCCTGAAGAGTGGTGGAATTGGCCTCAGTTTTGGTGTGAAAGATGTTAGGACATGTGGTTAACATTTTGTGTGCTATGTGAGGAAGCCCAGGTTAGAGTGAATGACAATCCCAGTGAGCAAATGCAGAAAAGTCAACAGTAAATGTGAGGACAGAGGAATTGGCATTGTCAAATACCAAATGGGCCATCAGACAGGCAGAATAAGGCATTAGTGGCTTGATAGGTCTTGATATTTCTACTGAGATGAGCTACAGAACGATAAGGTACTGTTGAGGACGTGCCAGTTATGACATACCTTTTGAGACCACTGTTTTAAACTGTCAGACGACGTTAGGTATTATGGCAAATGACTATAATCATTCTGTTTCAATCTAAAAAAAAGGAATAGGACAGGGTAGTAGAAAAATATGTTCCAAAGATAATGTTTGTACAAGTGAAGTTGAAAGTTCACATTACAGTTCATTTGCAATAACATTTTCCTATTAAATAAATGTTTAAAAAATGTTAAGAGTAATATTATAACTACTTGCTGAGCTCCTTCTTTCCTTACATACCTTTTTGCTTAGGCAAAAGGTGAAAATTAATTATTTAACTATAATAGAAATTATCATTAAAGGTGATTTGGATCTTTAAATACTATAGTAATTATTTTATCTCTTTTCTCTTCTAATATTCTTGTTTAAGAATAAACTTCAGGCAGGTCTGAGGCAGCATTTAGGGGAATGCTGTGGTGCTGGTCCTAGTCCCTGGTGTGTGAACAATGGTATAACTCTGTCTACAGGGCCTCTGGGAGGAGTGTGGGTAAGTGAGTATTAAAAAGGGGTTGTTCTCACATATAGCGGGATCTTTCTCATGCCATACACGTGTGTCAGACCAAAATCATCAGTGTTTCTGTGGGGAGCATTGGGGAAGCCCCTCACATCTGTTCAACAGCATGTAGTGAGATCTCCTGCTTTGTGGATCTGTCTTGGAAGATCGTAGATGTATTTATTATCTGATACATTTTATGTCCTAACTGTCTGTAGGTATCTTTCTGTCAATCACTTCCCCCTTTTATTATGACTTCCTTATACCCTGTAAATACAGGAAAGTCATGTGACGGTATACTGCCCATAGGTGCTGAAATGAGTTGATGTACTTTTCTTCTAAGGCTCTAAAATCCAGAGGAAACAGGATTTAGTGGTGCTAAGGTGTGAATTATGCATGAGATCATATAGGGCGGGTTCTGAGAATTTGATGCTAATGGTGGAAAAATACTGGTCTAGCTTTTGCAACACACAAATTGGTTATTACTGCATGTTGGCTTCCTCAACCTCATCTGCCAAACCTTTTTGACTATACTTACCTGACTTCTCCAAGTTTCCCTCAGTCACAGGACACCTTTTTAATAACTTCATATGTAGCTAATTTCTGCATTAAAATATTTTTTATGGGGAAGAATCAGAATATACAACAACTTGAGGGACTCTAGATGCAATTTGCCTTCCTGAAGAATTCATGATGCATGGGTTCTCTGGCAACCCTGGCATGTAGAATCCCATCAGAATCTCATGAAGGAGGTATTTGTAGTGTCTTCACTAAGTGATGGAAGGAATCGAGAAGCGACTGGGAAAGCTGTTGGGAAATACGAAGGGGACACTAACCCAGGGTTTTTTAGTAAATTAGGGGGTAGCAAGTGGCTGCCACTGTGTACTGCCCTGGAAGACACGTGCTTCAACTTGCTTGCTGCCATGCATGGTTTCGGATGAGAAATTCTGGCATGCATGAGTTTTGACATATGTGATTTTGTGTACAAAGCTCATTAAAAATGTTTAGAAGTCCCAAATTGGCCTTAGAACAAGAGCAAATATGAGTGCAATTTATGCTTTGTTAGGATCAACAAACTTCTTTCCCCATGTACTGAGAGCTGCAAAGGAGTACAATGACCATCAGTTAAATAAAGCTTTAGACAGAACATGAGAGTAAGTCCTCCAGCCTATATAATATGAAAGTCAGAGTTCAGGTTTATCTTCCATCTGTAAGAGAACAATCATGAGCTCATGGGCACCTAGCTATCCATTTAATCTTTCAAAAAACTTAAACATATTGATAAGATGAATGTGATAATGGTATTGCTTCTAAACCCTAAAAAGTAAATTTTTGTCTTTCACCTGCGTATTAGAGACAGTAACACTTTGAAACTTACATCATGCTTCATAGAACCTTTTCTTTGAATATTACAACCAATGTAGATTAAAAAAAATTCATTGTAATCACCCTTCCACCCTGGGGTGGTGGTGAAAGGTGGTATATTTATGAAAAGAAGAGAGTGGGTCTTCAAAGTTATAGCTGCCCAGAGTTGTGAGAGGTGGGAATTTACACCTGGCTTCTACTCCTTCCCTCTTTCACTTCTGAGTTTTTAGTGTCGTGCATAAAATGAGAGTCAAAACAGGGATTTGGAACCTTAAAAACACCCTTGAAATCTATGATGATGGGAGAGCTTGAATTGGCATCCCCATCTCAGGTTTCCTTGTCCAGAGTGATCGAGCTCATGATATGGTGGGAAGACAGAAGTGAAGTGTCTGATGTTGGGTGGAGATGGCACTGTCTACCACAACAGACGCTCTCCTTGACCTGGAGAGCTAGAAGGAAATGGCTCAAATGTGACAGAGACCCCAGGAGGAAAGCAGTGCCAACCAAAGACATCATCCCTGAGGGCAGAAGATCAGCAAAAATGAGGCTGATGTGTCAAAGACAAGGTCAGATGGATAGGATAGTGAAGCTGTGAGGAGAAGATAGTAATAGTCTTTAAGAGGAAGATGAAAAAGAAGAAACCCCAGTGTCACGAGGCATGGAAGAAGCAGAGTGGGAAGAGCAAGAATTCTGTAGGTAACATCACATACTAAGTGAGCCGGCATCGAGGTTTTGTAGGAAATCATGTTCCAGAACAGGGAAGTGAGACTCGTTCCTATCCACCCACCAGAATCAAAGAACAGATGTATCTGCAGGCTGTATATTACTGTGAGCATGGTATCCAAACCCTACACTGGGTGACAGCTCTATGAGTTCATGAAATGGAGAGGGAAGCAGGTCTACATGAGAATTTCAAGTCCACCCTTACCGTGACTTCTGCAAAATAAAATAAAATACAAAATAAAAACCCAGCCCTGTTTCCTGCCCCTAGCCATTTCCAGAGTTCTCCTTGGGAGACATGTCTGTAGGTACTGTGCAAAAAGATCTCCCATCTAATTGTGCTGCTCAGAGAGGAGGACCTTGTTGAAGTGGCAGAAAACAGGGATGGATGGGAAGACCTGCAAGAACAGTCCTTTACTAGAGCAAATAGCACCCCAAAACCACAGCAGCAGGTGAACCTAAATCTAAGAAAAGTCTTAGGATCGGGCCATTCAGCATCTATAACCAGGCGATTATTTCTTAATGCTCATTTAACCTTATTCAACTATGATTTAGCACTTGCCAGATGTATTTTCAGAAACGTTGAATCTTCACAACTGACTTTTGGAGCAGGTGAGTATGCTCTCTGGTGAGTAACTTGCCTGGGATCTCACAGTAGGTAATTTTAGTGACAAGGTCGAAGCCTGGCCCTATCGGGTTCAGGCTCAGAGCTCTTCACCATCTGCCGCTCAACCAGTGTATTCCTTCTGCAAAGTCAAGAGCAGTGGTTTCTGCAGCTGTGATGCTCCTCTTGTAAGGCATATGCCTTGTTCTTTAGAGTATTTTCAAACTTAGAATCATTAGCTCCCTTCTACCCCACCAATATAGACATGCACACTTGTCGACAGTCCCTAGGTACACTGCCTGTGCTTGGAACAGTGTAACAGGATGGCCACCTTCCAGAACTTGTGAGAGTGGGAAATGGGGATTTCACATGAGCAGCAGCACAGCCAGAGAGAACTGCAGCTTCCTTCTCCTGGAAACCCTCCTGAGATGTCCCCGATGCACCAGTGGAGCAGCCCTGGCAGTGGTACTTCCTGGAGGTGTGCAGTATTGGCCACTCCTGGGAGGTGGACTTCATTATTCACCAGTGCATGGTTCTCACTGGCCCATTTGCCTGCTGAGCACGAGCCTTGGGAACTTGCCAGCCTGAAGAGCTGGGTCTGGTTTCCACCCCCCAGCAAAGACTGATCGATGCTATAAAAGAGTAATGAGTAGATGCAGACAGAGCACTGGCCAGAACGGGAGCCTGTGGGTCATTTCCTCTTTGAAATGTGAGCCAAGTGGCTGGGGCAGGCCTGGAGTACCATCCTTCTGGTAGGATAACAAGATTTCTTCTGGATGATTAGCCTCCAGGGACACACTGATCAGTGAGAAACCAGGAAAGCCTGTGTCTGCCAGGGATCCACTTTTCCTGTCCTTTGTGCTTTGTGCTACCTTAAGTCCAGCTTCCTGCTGGATGGTAACATGATGTGAAAGTGACAGCTCAGATAAGATTCCTGTCCATAAATTCTTTGAACTGAATCAAAATAAATGCAAGCCCAGGATCAGAACTGACAGTGCCTGGCAGTTGGTAGGTGTTGAGGTTGGCAGAGAGTGGAAATTGCTGAGAAGGAGGCATGAGATGGAGTTAGGTCCACCACAGTTCATCCTGACATCATCGGCAGCAGTTCAGAAGTTCTCCCTCTAATGAGTCCTGTGAAACCAACGCGGCCCCTTCCACAGGCTTTTGGACTTGCCCTCCTGGGGAGGAAGGTGTCTTTGGAGGCTTCTGTCATATGGCATATACCTTGTTCTTCAGAGTATTTTCAAACTTAGAATCATTAGCTTCCTTCTCCCTGACCAGTATAGACATGCACATGTGTCGACAGTCCCCAGATACACTGCCTGTGCTTTGAACAGTGTAACAGGATGGCCACCTTCCAGAACAATGTGATTTTTATATAAAAGATGACTAATGCTGATGGCTTGCGAATGTCCTTGCTTAGGTAGCTTCTCCTCATGAGGGACATCTTCCAGCTCCCTGGTAAGCACAAGGTGATGAGTGAAGACAGAAGTCACCATTTGCAATCTGTATGACCTTACGTCTCAGGGCATTGGAAACAGGCTCTCCTTCAGGTTTCCTGAGAAATATTTGGCCAAATGGAGTTCAACAGAGAGGGTGGAGAGTAAGTTCTGTGAAAGCAGGGGTTATCCTCACCCCTGAATCCAGCCAGTGTCTTCTCTGTTAGAGCTCAAAGTTATTTGTGGATAAGTGAATGAATGGTGACATGATAAGAGATGACCCTAGGGAACAGTGCTCAGGAAAAGCAGAGTGTGAAGGTGGCTGGGAGAGAGATTTGTGCCATTAATAAGAACAAGGGGCCAGGCGCAGTGGCTCACACCTGTAACCCTAGCACTTTGGGAGGCCAAGAGGGGAGGATCACTTGAGGTCAGGAGTTCGAGGCCAGCCTGGTCAACATGGTGAAACCCCATCTCTAGTAAAAATACAAAAATCAGCCAGGTGTGGTGGCACATGCCTGTAATCCTAGCTACTTGGGAGGCTGATGCAGGAGAATCGCTTAAACCCAGGAGGCGGAGGTTGCAGTAAGCCGAGATCGCATCACTGCACTCCAGCCTGGGTGATAGAGCAAGACTCCATCCCCCACCAAAAAAGAAGAAGGGTCCTGGGTCTGTCTGGGTCACATCCAGAAATGGGTGACACTTTCAAATTAGCATAATTCGAGAAGAGCTAAACAAAGGAACTATTTACACAGGAGTGTGCAGGGTATAGAGAAACCAACCAGGGACCCTGAAGTACCCCAGGGCTACCAACAGCTCCTTTACTGCCATAGTCCTGAAGGAGCAAGGGGAGGAGACCAGCTATTCTTGGAACCTGGAGACCAATAGGGGTTGTGTTCAAGGACAAGAATGGAGACCTTCACTGGGGAGATGCAGCCAGTGTGCAGTGACCTGCAAGGAGCAGCGGGGATGACAAATACCTGTCCTCTCTCTCCTCCCTCCCTGGCCCCTGGCCAGTGCACTCTGTTGGCCAAACCCATCTAGCAGCCAGAGTCAAAGGAGCTGGGTATGAGTCTTTGTGTTTGTCCGTATGCGTCAGCCTCAGAGCAAAGAGCCATGGGGAAGGGAGGAGACTGACTCTGGAGGAGCAAATGAAACCAGTTCAGTCTGTCTGTGAGTTTGTGTACACCTTTCTTTTGTCGATGATGCATTTGAACAGCTGGCATTGGTGCCTCGGTTTTCTTTGGTGCTACATAGCTAAGCACTGTCCTGGCATTCTGAGCTAAGGAATGATCGGCCATGGGTCTTCCTGGAACAGTGTGCACTGGAACACATAAGAAACCTTACACTGTTACACTGTTCAAAGCACAGGCAGTGTATCTGGGGACTGTTGACACATGTTCATGTCTATACTGGTTGGGGAGAAGGGAGCTAATGATTCTAAGTTTGAAAATACTCTGAAGAACAAGGTATATGCCATATGACAGAAACCTCCGAAGACACCTTCCTCCCCAGGAGGGCAAGTCCAAAAGCCTGTGGAAGGGGCCACGTTGGTTTCACAGGACTCATTAAAGGGAGAACTTCTGAACTGCTGCGGATGATGTCAGGATGAGCTGTAGTGGACCTAACTGCATCTCGTGCCTTCTTCTCAGCAGTTTCCACGCTCTTCCAATCTCAATACCTACCAATTGCCAGGCACTGTCAGTTCTGATCCTGGGCTTGCATTTATTTTGATTCAGTTCAAAGAATTTATGGACAGGAATCTTATCTGAGCTGCCACTTTCACATCACGTTACCATCCAGCAGAAAGCCAGACTTAAGGTAGCACAAAGCACAAAGGACAGGAAAAGTGGATCCCTGGCAGATGCAGGCTTTCCTGGTTTCTTATGTCTTCCTGTGTTATGTGGAACAGTGTGCGTGGGTCTTCCTGGAACATGTGCTTCCTGAGAGCAGTGCACAGGGCGGCTCTCAAAACGACAGTGGTCATTGGGTGAAGACATGCCTAGAACTATTAGTTGGTAGTCCTGTGAGATGCTCCTTTCCAAAAGTGGCTGAAACAATATTTTTGATCCTGTAGACCCTTCTAGAAACTTACCACTCTTCCATCAAGAGACTGAATCTATTTCCTCTTCCCTTAAACATGGGCAGGCAGACTTGTGACTACTGTGAAGAGAATAGGAGAATGTGGTGACAGTGCTGTGACATGACTTCAGAGGCTAGGTTGGAAGAGGTGATGTAGCTTTCACCTCTCTCTCTATCTCATATCTCTCCCTTAATTCCTCTCTCTCAAGTCCTTTCTCTATCTTTCTCTCTTTCTCTTCTTCTCTCCCTCCCTCATCCTTTTTCCTCTCTCTCTCCTTTCTTCTCTCCTCTTCCTCCTCCTCCTAGTCCTCCTCCTGCTTCTTCCTCTCTTTCTGTCTTTCCCTCTCTCCCCTTTCCTGCCTCCATCCCTCCTTTCCCCTCTCCATCCCTCCCTTTCTTTCTCAGTTATCCTCACCACCCTCCTTTCCTCTCTTTCTCTCTCTCCCCCCTCCCTCCTTCACCTCCTCTCTCTCCATGCACCTTTGGAGCCCTGAGCTTCCATCTCAAAAGTCCGGCTGCTCTGAGGCTGCCAGGCTGGAGACCACACAGAGAGTTACAGAGATGCTGAGTGCCCGGCTGTCTTGGCCATAGCTGTTGGAATCTCCCTACCTCAGCTACCCCAGACAGGACACCAGGTGAGCCTGCGTCTGATTCCAGCCCCAGCCTTGGCCGCCGTGCTGCCAGGTGGAGGAGAGATGAGCTATTCCTGCCGAGCCCCTGACCCCAGATTACAGATTCACGGGCAAATCATTGTTGTCCTTGTCTTAAACCTCTTGAGTTTTGACGCAGTTTGTTACACAGCAAAATAACAGAAAGACCAGCCTAAGAAGCTGGTAGTTGAAGTTTAATTCTCCCTTTCTTTTATCTCAATGATACATTTTGGCAAACTTGTCCTACCCTCCTCACACAAACCAGAGATCTGCAAAGTATAACAGCTAATATTGTTTGAACATTTCTACGCACCAGGCACTACACTCAGTGCCTTCCCTCTGTTATCTCATTTGAATTCTCACAGCTCCATGAAGCATCCGTTTACTGCCCCCACGAATAATAGACCATGAAGCATATGTAGAGAAGAGGGTAGTTGTTATCTGCCCAGATCAAACCCGACAGCTTGGTCCCAGAGCCCGTCCCTTTCCTGCAAGTGAAATCTTAAAAAGCAGAGTCTCTGAGCAGCCTTGGGAAATACTGGGGACTCTAGCAATTAATTCAGCCCATATTTATGGAGCACCAATATGTTGTGGACACTGTGCTTTGTGGTGGGCATAGGACAGTGAACAAAACAGACAAGACTCCTGCTTTCTTGGAGCCTATATTCTAGTTTGGGGGTGGAGGGAGACAGATAATACACAAATAAATAAACAAGAAAATAGCAGGTAGTGAGAAGTGCTGTGCGGACAATTAAAGGAAGTGATGACATAGAAGATGACTGGCTGGTTACATTGGATAGGAGGCAGCATTTAAGGGAATTTTAAGCAGCTAGAGGAGATTTGGAGGAACAGCAGGAGGAACAGCTTAGGTAGCCCTGAGTGAGGACAAGCTTGGCATATTCAGGTGTCCAAGGGAAAGCCGAGTATGGCTGGCGCCTAGTAGACTTTGGACAGGTTTGAATTGGAGCCTCCTGATGAGTGATGGCTGTTTGGGCAACAGCAATGTTTTCATCATTTATTGGTTATTGATCAGCTTGAGCAAGCAGGTTGGTGCCAGATACAGGAACCGCTGAAGTTGTCCTATCTTGTCCTTCTTTTAATATTTTCAGCATACATTTATTTTTATCTTTTTCTGATTATAAAATTTATATGTGCTTATTAATAAAAAAACTTTGGAAATAGAGAAAAAGTATTTAAAAAGCAGAAAAAAATTCCCCCTCCCTGCAGTCACCACTACTGACATTTCACACATTTTTCCAGGTCTTATTGTGTCTTTTTTCATCACTGAAATTATACACTAGACCTATACTGTCAATTTGGTAGCTGCTAGCCCATTGTGGCTATTTAGACTAATATTAAATTAGTTGCAAATAAGTAAAATAAAAAATTCAGTTCCTTACTCAAAGTAGCCACATTTACGGAGCTCTGTAGCTGCATTGGCTGGTGGCTACTCTATGGACGGAGTGGGATACAACATTTCCATCATCACAGAAGGTACTGTTGGACAGCACAGTGTTGGATACAATCCCATTCCTGCATTTTTAAGTGTAAGCACTTTTCTCTTCATGCATTTATAGACAAAGTTTTGACTTACCCCAGAACTAGTGTTGCCTCCTGTTTATTTAGATGTGAGTGGCTAATGCAATAACATCATCTTCCCTTTATAAGTTTCCAGTTTCATGGAGAACCCCAAGGAAAATCTGTATCATTCCTACAGTCCAGCTAGTCTGTTGTTTTGAATGCTCCTGATGTATTTCCCCAGGGGTGGAAACCAGTTTCCTCCGAGGTCTTCATTACCCACCGTGTGCAATGATGAATAGACTTAGCTGGGAGTGCTTTCACAGCAGCATCACACGCAGCCTTGTGAGCACACAGGTGCAATTGTGAGAAGGCAGGGACTCGTTTGCCTCGGCCTGGGAGGAGACACAGTGAGGGGGTCTCCCTGATAGAACCCAACTGGAATCAGCTCCCACTATGAATGTGTGGCTCTTTGCAGGGCCATTCAAACCCCACATCATGCTCGGGAATCTGGCCTGGATCCTTTGAATGACCTCAGTTTTTTCTGTCCACAAATAACCATGATTTCCTGATGTCTGGTGAGGATTGCTGCAACAGCAGTTCCAGAACTTGAATGGTTTCTGAGTGATGCAGGGTGTTCTGGGGCCCTTCCTCCACCAGAGTCTGGCTCAGCAGCTTTGATCTGAAGGCAGGATGCTGATGCGACTCTCTGCAGCTTGCACAGGGATTGGTGTGCTTGAGCTGATTATAACCACTCTGGAATGGACAATTCCTGTGTTCTCATACTCATTGAGCAAGAACCCTCAACCTGTGTGTTATGGACGACATTTATTTTAGAAAAAATGTTATGATCTTTTTCCCATTTCTTCTTTCTATGTCTCAGCTACTTCTAAGGTATATTCTTGTGTTGTAGTAAGAATGTGTATTCTCAAAATCAATGTGCAAAAATCACAAGCATTCCTATACACCAGTAATAGACAGAGAGCCAAATCATGAGTGAACTCCCATTCACAATTGCTACAAAAAGAATAAAATACCTAGGAATACAACTTTTAAGGGATGTGAAGGACCCCTTCAAGGAGAACTACAGACCACTGCTCAAGGAAATAAGAGAGGAAACAAACAAATGGGAAAACATTCCATGCTCATGGTTAGGAAGAATCAATATCCTGCAAATGGCCGTATGCCCAAAGTAACTTACAGATTCAATGCTGTCCCCATCAAGCTACCATTAACTTTTTTCACAGAATTGGAAAAAAACTACTTTACATTTCAATTTTATATATACATAGACATTCTTTTATATATATATATATATATGTATGTATACATAAAAGTTCTGGGATACATGTGCGGAACGTGCAGGTTTGCTACATAGGTATACACATGACATGGTGGTTTGCTACACCCATCAACCTGTCATCTACATTAGGTATTTGTCCTAATGCTCTCCCTGCCCTTGCCCCCAACCCCACAACAGGCCCCGGTATGTGATGTTCCCCTCCCTGTGTCCATGTATTCTCATTGTTCAACTCCCACTTGTGAGTGAGAACATGTGGTATTTGGTTTTCTGTTCTTGTGTTAGTTTGCTGAGAATGATGGTTTCCAGCTTCATGTCCCTGCAAAGGACATGAACTCATCCTTTTTTATGACTGCATAGTATTCCATGGTGTATATGTGCAACATTTTCTTTATCCAGTCTATCATTGATGAGCATTTGGTCTGGTTCCAAGTCTTTGCTATTGTGAATACTGCTGTAATAAACATAGGTGTGCATATGTCTTTATAGTAGAATAATTTATAATTCTTTGGATATATACCCAGTAATGGAATTGCTGGGTCAAATGGTATTTCTGGTTCTAGATCTTTGAGGAATCGCCACACTGTCTTCCACAATGGTTGAACTAATTTACACTCCTACCAACAGTGTAAAAGCATTCCTATTTTTCCACATCCTCTCCAGCATCTGTTGTTTCCTGACTTTTTAATGATCTCCATTCTAACTGGCATGAGATGGTATCTCATTGTGGTTTTGATTTGCATTTCTCTAATGATCAGTGATGATGAGCTTTTTTTCATATGTTTGTTGGCCACATAAATGTCTTCTTTTATATATATATATATATATATATATATATATATATATATATATACACACACACACACACACACATACTTACCTATATATAGGTAAGTATATATATACTTACCTATATATATGTCTTCTTTTATATATATATATAAGTGTATATATATATATATATATATATAAAAGAATATTTTATGTGTATTCTTTCTGGATCAAAATATTAGGAGCTGCTGCTTGAATTTCTGGGACGCGAAGTGATACACACAGTTTCTCTGACAATAATCGTTCCTTTGAGCAGGTATAAAAGGCAAATTAAGTTAGGGTCATGTGACAGAGTCATGAGCCTACATCACCCCACAGTGAACCTTTCATGAAGACCTCCAATTAGAAGGTTGAGACAGTTGAAATGGTAACATCTCCCCTAGGTGAATCCTACTGGTGGTCAGCGCTTCCTGTCTGAATGGTGGTGTATGCAGTCATGACAGTGTGATCTCAACATTTTCTCAATCTCTATAATGCTTTAAGTATCACTGAAGTAAGAGACACTATTTGGCAAGATTTGGGCTTCAAAAGCTCTGAATGCTACAACACATCTATTTTGTTAGCTACAACATAGCATAAATTCTCTGACATGGTCACTGCCCCGAAATCTCCAATGAGTCCCTCCATGGCCAAATTAACGAATGGATTTGTTCACATTCCCTGGTGAAGGGTGGAGCCTGTTGATACCATGACTATCTGAAAGCAAATTATCACTCCTTGCTGTTGTCCAAACCTACCACTATCCTTCCTTGTTTTCTTCCTTATTAAAATTTTATCTTTTTAATCATAAACTTAACATGGTTTTATTGTTGAAACCATTAAGCTATATGAAAGTATCTCAGCTTTCATTTTAGGACACTACCCTTGTCAGAAAATGCATTGGGGGTAGTGACAAACATAGGGGACCCACAACTCCCAAATGGCTGTCATTTATTTGGGGCAAATGCTATGGGATAAACAGGTCCCAAACTCTGGAAACAAAAAACCAAAGAAACATCAAGAACAAAAAGACTAGTGGTGAACACCATCACCCTGGTACACGTGACCCTGGGCAATTTATGTAATAGTCATTAAGGATGTCTATTTGCTCCCAATAACTTCTTGATTGAAATACTCTGCTTGGCCTTCCCAAAGGCATTTGTTTGTCAGAAACTCTTTGCAGCCTCATACATCGCTTCCTTTTTTCACTTTTCTGTGTGCCACTTTGCAGAGTGGTAAATCAAAATGCTATTTTGGGCAGATGCATTTTGTTGTCTAGATAGTGCTGTGCAATCCTTTCAACCCATTAGTTACCCCATGGGCATGTTGTTGCCATTGAAGCCTGGTGGGCCCCTCTCGCTGCCACAGACCTGCTGAAAAGAAATATCAGACAGGAGCCATTATCCAGGCCATATGGGACAGAGGCGGATGTTTGGATAATCCTGCCCACTGAGTCTTTTCCAGGTCTGTGATGCAAAAGAAAAGTCCTTGTTTGAGCACTTGACACAATACAGAGTGATTTCAGGGACAGTCACTTCTCCCCAGCGATGCCAGGTGGCCCTCTGCCGGGGTGACTCTTTTATTTTCCTGCCCAAATGTGACCTTTGTTGGCTTCATCTGCAGAGGGACAGGATTTGGTTAGTTTCCATCAGGTGCTTTCTGGTGGCTCCCATTTGGAACCATCTGATGCATCACTCCAGCCAGAAGTCCAGGCAGAAGAACTGGTGTTAGAGGGAGTTATCCCTGAGCCCAGTCACAGAACCATAATGCTATACAGCTGAACTCTGTCTTTCTGGCTCCCAACAGAATGGTATTAATTGAATGAGGCTAATATTATGCCCTCAGTTTTTATTGAGGGTCATGGTCAGAAATCATGATATGGGTTAGCACTTTCTGTAAAACAGCTGTTAAGGATATCCTCCATCATGTTGTTACATGTCCTTAATATAATAATACATGTGGAAATTTCCTTTGAGTTCAGAGCTGAGGAAATTGAATCTCTACGGATGAATTCATGTGATAAAAGTCAGATAAAAACTACTTAATATATCATGTTTTATCTCTTGCCTAGGTTGCTGTGAAGCTCAGAGCTAATTTTTGTACTCAGAACTCAGTTCTAAGTTTAGCTTCTTAAAATATGATTCCCATTCTTCCTCACCTTTATTATTTTGCCTTTCGGTTACTGATAAAATATTTTTGGGTGCTTGTTTTACTGCACCTGTGCTTTTTATAATGAGCCATATCAGATTGTTTTTGGAAATGGGTGTGGGAGAGATGCCAATGATTTGTTCTAGAGTGTCCTCCATTTCTCGTGTGATGGTGACCACCCGTAGGTTGCAAGGGAAGGGAAAGTAAAGCAGGAGGGGTGTTAAGCATGGAAGGAAAGAGGATATGACATAATTAAAGAGCATAATGAATGAATGTGGGGAGGCAGGACTTGTGTAGCGGATAGTGAGGCAAACAGTTAGGCCATTGCAGGATACAATGGGAAATACGATAGGAAATCTCTGCTAAGAGAAGACAGGACAGAGTCTTGGAGTCTGGATTTGGATACCAAGCCCATTTAGCTCTGAAAATTGAGATTTTTGGATAGAGGTGGGATAAGATGCAAGTATGATGTAGAATATTTATCTGGCATGCACAGTGATTGGAATTGAGTTGAGATTAGAATTGAAAAATCAGTGCAGAGGAGGTTGCAGAGATGCAGGCATGCCAGATAAAGGCCTAGACTCACAGAGATGGAGAGGGAAAGATGACTCTGAGCTATGATGGAAAGGAGACCCAGATCACTTCCGACTCACCTTCTTCCCTATGCAAAGATGGTCCCAAGTGTTCATGGTGTTGGAATCTATATTAGGCCCCATTTTAGTTTGACTTTGAATCCAGCTATGCATTGCTTTGGTAGACTATATCTAACATTGAGTAGGGTAAAAACATTAAATACTGACAATTTGGCATTTTTTATTATTGCTCTAATATTGCCTTAAAACTATTTGAGGTCAACATTATTCATATTTTTAGTTTTTTTATGACACTGTTGACTCTATCTCCTCATAATGTTACATTTTCTAATAGATGCTTTAGATAATTACTTAAAATGTTAATTGTTAGAGTTATTAGACTGTTTTAAATCCCTGTTTTTGGTTGCTTGCCCATTTCCTCGGCTCTCTGTGGAGCTAGAGTGTTGGCCAGCTCAGGCTGTCATCTGGCTTGGACATTGGTGGACCTGGTGACCAACCCTTGGAACAAACACTGGCTTTCTTGGAATCCCTTGGCACTATGGCTTTCTTTCTGCTGGGTCCTTTAATTAGTTTCTTCAATCTGGCAAGATTTGTTGTCTTGAATTCATTTTCTTACCTTAATGACTTTCCTGAGGATCTGGACTTCAGTCTTCTTGTGATGGCTTTTTGGTGTCCTTAGGCCTTTAAAATCTGATCTAGGTGGGCATTCTCCTCAGCTGTTATATTTCCTGCAAAAGAAAATTAGCCCTAATGAAGTTTATATTGCTCAGTAATGTGTGACCTGATAAACTGGTTCTTAGTAACTATTCCGCAAATTAAAGGACCTGACCTGAAGCTTGCTTGAGTAATTCGACAAAAGGGAGACTATTCTACTTCTCATGATAAAGAATGCTGAAGTTTGATCTCTGGAATAAGTATTATATGTAACTTTTTTTTTTTCCAACAGGGTCCAAATTTTTTCCTTTTCATAGCACAGTGGCCTCAGGCCAGTGTTCTGAATGTGCCTATTCCTCTGTCCAGGTAAAAGAATGCAGTAATCTTTGGAGAATGCCTTGTTTTCACTTTGGGTGCTATTCTTTTTTGAAGGAAAGCAATGTGAAATAGACATGTCATGAATTTTGGAGTCAAGTCTTAGCTCCCTGATTACCAGCTTAAGGTCTAATTATGAAGCTTCTTTGTGCTTCAGTTTACTTATCCAGGGAATGGGGATGAGCATAACTACCTGATCTCTTTGGTCAGTTATCTGCATTGCTTCTAGTGTGGGGCCTTATCCAGAAGTCTTATCTGCCAACATCAGTTCTTGGCCTTACTATTCTTTTTAAATTTTTGTTTTCGTTATTATTATTATTATTTTTAAATACAGAGATGGGGACTTGCTATGTTGCCCAGGCTGATCTCAAACTCCTCAGCTCAAGCAATCCTCCAATCTTGGCCTCCCGCAGTGCTGGGATTACAGGTGTGAGCCACCGTGCCCAGCTGGCCTTACCATTCTTGATGCCCTGGATGGTGCTTGCATCTTACCACTGGTGGATGCAAAATGGCCCAAAGTACAAACTGTCTTTATTTTAGTGATTCTTCTTTGACCAATGAGGTTGGGCAAATTGCTTACTTACAGTGTAGACTGGGAGAAAATTCCTATTTAGTTTGGTATAAATCAGCATTGAACAGAAATCTTTGTAACTGAAAAAAGGCAAATATACAAATATACAAATATTTTGTGAATTACAGGATTCACAAAATCCCCTCAAAACCAATTCAAGTCAAGAACTGAAATGTGAGCAAGGATAATGAAGAAATTATCATATTGGACCAGGTTAGTTAATTTCAAGGCCTTTTTGGAATGTCAGATTCATCCTGAATACAGAGATCAAAAATTGCACACATACAGAAGGTTGAGGTGGGAGAATCGCTTGAGCCGAGGAGGTGGAGGCTGCAGAGAGTGGAGATTGTGCCATTGCACTCCAGCCTGGGGGACAGAGTGAGACTCCAGCTTGGAACAACAACAAAAAAATTGCACCCCTATCCTCTACTTCCTGTAACTCTCAGGAAAAAATTAAAAACTAGTATCCACTGGTGTGACAGTACCCTCTTTAAATTTTACCTCTTCACAATGAAGGATTCATGCCATATTTCCAGTTAATCTGCTGGATGCATTAGTGAAGATGCTGGATAACAATGTAAGGATGGAACCAGATGGAACTTCTGCTTTGCACGATACAATTGAGACTTCTTCCTATTGGTGTTACTTTAAAAATTTTACATGAAAATGAGACTGAAAATTGAAATCTCTCTTTGAGAAAGGGATGCCTGATTTTGTACTCTTTTAGAGTGTCTGTGCAGCATACAAGTATGTCAAATTATAATTCTCCCAGAAATGCGACACGGAAATCACTTCGTTGGATAAATGATGTCTTTGGTTTGTTCACGTGCTAAGGAAGTGAGTGCCAGGGCAGGTTCTGGGATTGAGTCAAGTCATGGAAAAAAATTGGCTTTGGAGTGATGTCAGTACATTTTGTTTCAGCATCATGGAAAAACTCTTTTCTGATTGACTTGCAGCATAACATAGTGGTTTTATTGGGAGGAAGCCTGCATTTTCTATTCTGTTACATTCTCTACTGAACTTCATGTTTTTGGTGGATCAAAGAAGAGCTAATAATTAAAATTGATGTGAATTTTTCTTTTTGCATTTTTCCTAGATCAAAGCTAAACACTCTGGATAGGGAAAAGAGTAATTGAAGGGTGCTCTAAATTCAGTTCAACTGATCAAGCATCTACTTGGGGCAAAGCACTGGAAAGGCCCAGTGTGGTTTTTCTTAGAGGAGCACGAGGAGCACCCAATCTTAGAATAGGAGGAGATCTTAGCAACTGTCCAGCTGTCTCATGCTACATAAACCAAGTTGTGAATGGGCAGAACAGACTGGATTTAGGTCACAGAGGTTGTCAGCACAGTTTCTTATTTTTGTTTAGTCCAATGTGAGAACTGGTCTTCCTTATGGCTTTCCCACTTCTGACAGGTCTACCTGATTTCATAGGTGAATTCACTTTTGCATCCCACTTTGCAGATTTGGGGAGCTTGGTTGCTCAAATACTGGTGGCTTTGTTGACCTGATGAGCCTGGTGTGTCTGTTCTGGTCAGCAGAGGCCAGAGAGTTTTGCTTTTATCTCTGGTTTCAGGAGGCTGGGTAGGCTCTAGATTATATGGAAACCTTAGCCTGAAGGCCATGAGGGAGGAGAGGGTGGTTGTTTCCTTCCTCAGAGTCCATGCTTGCAGTGGTTGAAAGCGTGGCCCTTGGACCCAGAACCCCTGGTTCTGCACCTTGGCTCTGCCACTTACTCTCTGGGTGACCTTGAACAAGTTATTTTGCCTTTTTGTACTTCTGTCTCCTCATCTGTAAAATGGGAGCAACATTATTAGTAATTTGTTACATGTAAAACCCTTAGAATAGTACCTAACAAATAATGAGTACTCCCTTGGGATGAGTTATCTTTTTCCTTAGGTCTACTTTTGTCTGTCAACAGTGTACCCTTTTGGATGAGGCTGCTCCAAGACACAGAATCAATGAACTAAGTATAGCCTGCATCTGCAATGGGTGAAGTGGCCTTGGATGCCTTTGCTGTGCTGACTCTGAAAGTTCTGTCCCAGTTCGCCTGACGACATTGTGTTCTTTTCTAACCAATGGGATTATTGATTTTCTTTGTCAGCCTAGCACTTTTGAAGGTAGCATACCCTTGCAAAATTGACACAAATATGACTAAATTGAGTGCTCCAGATTATTATAAGCCTTTGGCTATGACTATAGGATGCTCAACCAAATATTAATTGACTTAAAAAATCAAATTGTTTGATGTTATGGACAAGAAAATCCTTCTTGTGGCTGCCTGCTGGAGTTTTTCTATTCCTAGCTCTTGATATTGGCATCAAGAGAATGCAGCCATGGAGCTTCATTTTTGTCTTAATCATGAATCATGAATCCTAATGCCAGTAAACCATGAAGTGGCAAAGCATTTCTTCCAGTTTTTTCAAAGGGGTCACTATGAAATGATGGTGTCTGAATGCTTCATGTCAACGTTTAATTGAAAAAGTTTCCACTCCCGCGAGTTCATATTAGTTGCTCTGATTTTAAGGTTTACTTTAGGTAGGGTTGACTTTATGCTGCATTATGAATCACAAGTTTGTTTTATTAACATTTGGCTTCTCTCCTTGATTATCTTTTTCTTTTTTGTTAACTTTGAACAACATGAGTTTGAACTTGGTTATCCTTCTTACTAAGTTTTCTTTTTAGTCTTGTTGACATTTGATGTCTGACTAAGGACAATGATCTAGGTCATCTTTCTTTGAGCAGTCCATAAGGAGGTTAATTCCTAATGGTGAGTTAAAATCAGATCTCTATTTCCTGGTCTTGGTAGTTTATGATCTTGGAACTTTAGGGTTCAATATCCAATTGGTCTGGTGTTCCATGGAAAGCCCCGGAACATACCTCTCAGCTGCAATGAATCATGTACTGAGTAACAAGTTTTTTTTGGGGAGGTGTGGGGGACTGGTGTACAGGAGATTTGGGGAAGCAGTTTTTCAGTTTGTGCTTGATTATAGCATTTAAGTAACACACACACACACAATTATGGATTACTACTCATAATCACCATGATGTCTTTGGCAAAGACACTTAGTGCCATTTTTTCAAATATTTATTGCATGAGGCAATGCTCTTTATGCTTATGAGTCATCAGTAAAAACAAAGGATAAAACCCTTTCCTGAGGAAGCTTACATTTGAGCAGCAGGTAGGGATTGGGATGGCAAAGAGGTTGGGGCATGAAGAAAAACAATAAACAATGTAATTAGGTTTGCCAGCAGCATTCTTACTCTAGCTCATTCTTAATTTTCCTTTAATTTATATTATTTTCATTTAATGTAATTATCTTTCTTCTGATGGGCTGCAATCATTCAACAAACTCCACAGTTTTAAGACATATCTTTTTCTTTGGAGTTGTGTTCTACAAATTTCTGAATGTAGGTATAATTTTCCTAAGTCAAGGTTAAGGTCACTAGAGTTACATTCCTGCTCACCCCAAAACTAAGAGATAGACTGATCACTGCATTTTAACTTTATGCTAATGATACCAGGGTATAGCTTCAGATATATTCATGAATTTGTTAGTATCACATGTAACAGTTGCATTGCAAATTAGGGTGACTTGATGGTATTGTTTTTGTTAACTTCCCTTTCTGCCCAACCACATCTATAATGGGACCATTTCTCCACCAGGCTGGGGAACAGAAACTTAGACTAGCTTATATAAATGAGAGAGAGAAAATTCTCAGTCACTGGGTAAAGAGAATGTGGCACATATACACTATGGAATACTCTGCAGCCACAAAAAAGAATGAGATCATGTCCTTGCAGGGACATGGATGGAGCTGGAGGTCACTATCCTTAGCAAACTAACACAGGAACAGAAAATCAAATACCACGTGTTCTCACTTATGTGTGGAGCAAATGATGAGAACACATGGACACGTAAAGGGGAAAGACACACATTGGGGCCTTTTGGAGGGTAGAGGGTGGGAGGAGGGAGAGGATCAGGAAAAATAACTAATGGGTGCTAGTCTTAATACCTGCATGATGAAATAATCTGTACAAAAAAACACCGTGACCCAAGTTTACCTATGTAACAAACCTGCACGTGTCCTCCTGAACTTAAAAAAATTCTCAGTCACTTAAGGAGCACATTTACATTTCCTTAAAAGAAGTCAATGAAGAATGTCACCTCTACTAAAAGATGGGCCAGAGCACAGTCCAACTACTTTGAGTTCTGTCTATACACATATGAGGTATGTGTATACCTAACTTACAAGCACAGGTATAATAAATACAGTAAGATGTAGACAAAATATAGCAGTTATATTCTATTAACATAATATAATAATAGTATCTAAAATATCTGTGCCTATATACATACATGGCAGTCATTGATGAAGAAAACTGCAGCCGCCAGCGTGCTCTGCAGTTTCAAAGCTAAACAAGTAACATTATGCATACATAATATATAATGTAAGGTATAGAGTACAGGTTATCCTATTAAACAATAGTAAAATTTTGGCTCTTGGAGGGATCACAGAGATTCTTTAGGTCAGTTGTTTTTCACCTGGAATCTGTGACTGCTTTTGAACATCATCAAATTGGACATAAACGTCAGAGTTTAGGTGGAGAGCCTTCATAACTTCCATCAGACTCTCAAGATGGTGAGTTTAAGAAAGGCTCATGGAGACCAGATCTCAGAGGTAGCAAAATGGAGGCTAAGAGCGGTACCCGATTTATTCAAGGTCATACTGTTTTTGTCTGCCCGGGTCCAGGTCCTACAGTTCAGATCTTGAGACCAAAAATATTTATATCATAGTAAGGTTAAATTAGGTCAAATGGTTTTGTCCTATATAAATATTAAATGTTTATGAATATGCAGAGTTGGGGACTTGCTTGCTAGTGAATGGAGTGGGGAGTCATTCTTTTTGCACTTCTTTTAGTAATTTGTAGATGTGTCTATGGTTAAGTATTGAAATCTGTTTAAAGAAAGGTTTAATAGCTAAAAAACTGAGTTCCTCTGTGTAGCCCCATTTCCAATGTTTACTGAAGTCTAATGTTTTCCAATATCTTCAGAGACTTTGAAAGGATGCCCCATCCGTGTCTTAGGACAAAGAAACACTCTTGTTTAGATATGAAACTGCCGGGTACCCTTGCAGCTGTAGTTTTCTTCATCAATGACTGCCAGTTCTGGGTGCTGCAGAATTCTGACCAGAGAGTGTCAGTTTTATTTAGGTCACCACATCCTTCAGGACAAAATGCAGATGTAGAGACGTGATACGTTAAAAAAAATAGTATCACATTTCTTTCAGTAGAAACCTGGCTAATTTTGTAACCTCTATTTTTAAGGTCTACTTTTCAAACCTTCTATTATAATTTATTTTTATATGATGAGTGTTGTACAATTTCAACTGCAAAAGTTAAGTCTACTTTTTTCAGCATCGACAGCCTTAGAAATTGGCCAGAATTTTTAAAATCATGTCGAAATCTAGAAGAATAGGGCATCAAGGCAAGATTAGATTAGATTTTTGGTGTCTGGGCACTGACTCTTTGAATTGGTTGTCATTCAGATAAAGGAGTAAAATACATCTTTTATTCAAAGTCTTTCAGATGGGCAGTTGGAAAATAAAAACAACTCCCTCCCCAAGTACCCTTAAATAACAGGCACATTGTGAGTGCTTAATAAAGTCTTACTGAATGAATGAATTCATGTTGAAGGAATTGGCAAGTCTTCATTTTTAATTTGTGTGAATCTTTGGAAGCATCATTCCAAGATTCAAACAAAATATTGCCAGAGAGAAGTCTCACTTGGGTCCCACTTAGCTATTTAAGGATGCTGCTTTTGCAACAGTGTACCTGAAGGCTTTTGAGCAGGAAGGACATGTTCATTAACACTTGGGCAACTTGCATCGTCAACCACGGTAAATAGGACCAGCAATGCCAGTTGGAAGTACTGATTTCTCTGACATCTTCAGGCAAAATAAAAAGTGCTTCAGAAGATGCTTGAATAAAATTTGCATATGTTAAGGTCAGAGAGTCAGCTGAGAGAATGAATAAAGTCAGATATCACCATATCTTCAGTGTGCATGCTTGTGCAGGCTAGGTTTACCAGGCAATTAAGGTAATATGACCCCGACTCCCTGATCATAAAGATAGAGGTCTTTCTAGCATTTTTATCTTAGACTGACGAGCTGCTTGTGTTTGACTTCAGCAGCATTCTGTTCAATTCCAATTCAATTCACTGTTTCATTTTTAATCTTCTTGTTCTCAAATCATTGACTTAGGGACATTTTACATGTTTTTAAGGCCTATAAGGAAGAACCAGTTTTTTTTTTAAATTAATGATCATGAAATTCCCTTGAAATGCAGGTATCCCTGAAATTTAGGAAGTTGCAAGCCTGACTCTATCATCGCACTCCTGAATGGATTTCTCCCTCCAAATTTAGGAGAGCTGCTGGCTGGCCTGGGTATGACTGCTTATCCACCCGGCAGGTATTTTAGCTCTCAGAGATGGAGAAGCTGTTGTGAGAGTCTGGATACAAGAACTAGGTTGAAAGAGGTCATGTTTCCAAAAATAACGAGTTGCTTAGGCCTTACGTATCATCTTCTTGTCACATCGTATGGCACTAAGCAAACATTTGAATGCATGTTGACTATTACTTAGCTAATGAAGATAAAACATCTGGAGGTAGGTATCTTTAGGACCCTAACAACTCTCCTTTTGTTACTTATGTCATGTAGTGTTGAAATTGAAAAATCACGGTCCTAAAATTGTTTTTTGAGGAACTTCCATGTTGCTTATCTGTATCCCTGTGTTCACTGCGGCATTATTTACAGTAGACAAGGTATAGAACCAACCTAAATGCTCATTGACAGGTGAATGGATAAAGAAAATGTGGTATCTATATACATTGGAATATTTTTCAACCACAAAAAAATGAGGAAATCCTCCCCTTTGTGACCACATGGATGAACCTGGAGGACATTATGCTAAATGAAATAAGCCAGAAACAGAAAGACAAATATTGCATTCTCACTTATAGGTAGAGTCTAAAAAAATCAAACTCACAGAAGCAGAAAGCAGAACAGTGGTTCTGAGGGGTGGGGAAAGGTGGAGACGTGGATCAAATTTTCAGTTTTAAGATGAATAAGTTCTGGGATTGAAGGTACAACATGGGGACCACCATTAGTAATACTGTATTGTTTACTTGAAATGTGCTAAGAGGGTAGATCTTGGCATGTTCTCACCACACACACACACACACACACACACACGTGGTAACTGTGATGTGATGGTCTTGTTAATTACCTTGACTTGGTAATCACTTTACAATATATATGTGTATTAAGTCATTATGTCGTATACTTCAAATATATACAATTTTAATTTCTTAAGTATGCCTCAACAAGGCCAGAAAAAAAGAGAAAAATCATTGCCTTCATGTTTTTCAGAAAGTAAATGAATTACATTATAGTTTCATAGCTCCAGGACATCAAAATCTCTCAAAAACACATTTGCTGAAATTAAACTCCTCCTGTGAGAATGAATGAGTAAGTGTCTAGGTGTGAGAGTGGAATGAAGCTGATAATTTTAAGTGTTATAAATAGAAGTGTGGCTATCAAGGCAGTGGAGTTATTTTAATTATTGACAAGAAATGTACCGAGAATAACAGGTTCGAGGGGCTAGATGCTGGTTCCCTTGCAGTGAGCTTTTCCCTTCCTCGTCCTCCAATCCCCAGGCTCACATTGTGGTTGGCTGAGCTGGAGCTCAGCCCACGCTTAGTGGTAGGGAATGAATCTCACCATGTGTCTGCCCCTCACCTTGCACTTTTCCAGAGGTGATCCCATTCATTCCCAACAACAGTATGAGGTAGGGACTGTTTTTTGCTGCTCACCTTTTTAGAGATGACCTTGAGGTACAGAGAGGTCAAGAAACATGTCCAAGGCCACACTGTGAGTAATTGTCAGAATCTGGATTCAGCCTAGGTCTCTTCAATCTGAAAGCTTCTGCTTCTGGCCATGTGGATGATACCTGTTTCCCATGAGACTGCAGGTCACATGTGGTAACCACAGGCAAAGGATGGCTTTTCACAATTACTTCATTAATGGCTCAGGTGCCTGTATTAATTTCCTAGGGCTGCAGTAATACATTATCACACGCTGGGTGGCTTAAGACAATGGAAGTGTATTCTCTTACAGTTCTTGAGGCCATAGTCAGGCATCAAGGTGTGGGTGGGGCCAGGCTTCCTCCAGACACTCTAGGGTCTAGAGGAGGATTCTTCTTTGCTGTTTCCAGTTTCTAGTGGTTTCTGGTATTCCTTGGGTTGTGGCAGCTTAACGTGAATGCCTGCCTTCATCTTCATGTGGGTCTTTACACGGCCTTCTTTCCTGTGTTGCTGTGTCTGTTTCCCACCCACCCCTTCTCTTCTCTTCCTTTCCCTTCCTTTCTCTTCTTCCCTTCTTAGGACTTGCCATTGCATTTAGGACCCACCCAATCCAGGATGATTTCCTCTGCAAATCCTTAATTTAGTCACATCTGCAAAGACCCCCTTTTCCCAACAGGGTCACAATGCATGGGTTTTGGGGGTTAGGACATGGACATGACATTTTGTGGGGGTGGTCACCGTTCAGTCTACTCTTAATACATCTCTTAGTTTCTTTTATGTATTCCAAATTCAACCAAGTTCTTTTTAAATGAAGGACCAAAAGCCATTCACTAAATGATCGATTTAGTGAATTTAGACCTTCTGAACTGTCGTATTTGCCTCTGCACTCCTGGATCTTAGGCTTGTGAAAACCTGGTGAAATCTCCTCTCTTTTCCTGAGTCTGATGGTATTTAAATCGCATCCTCTCTCACCCCTAACACTCCAGGAGGTTTTTAAAAGATGCTTTTCTGGTCTTAGTTATCATTTCTTACATTTTGTTTTCTTTTTTTACCAGTCCCTCTTTTGAATTCATTCCTTCTGCTTTCTTTATTTTTTAACTTAAAAATTATTTTTGTTATATATTTGTATATTTTATTTCATTTCTTTTGGTGGTCGTTCTTGATTGCACCTGGCCTAATATGTAAAGATATCATGCAGCTTTGAGGGGTGTTGGTGGTGGTGATGATGGGCCCACCATACATTTCACTGAGTACCACGGCCTTATGTGGAAATGTACTGGGATTTGGGAATGTTTTAAAAACTAGGTTAGTAAATTGTTCATTCTATTAGATTCATCTCAGTACCGATGAATTTTTTTTAAAACATCTGAAAGATGTTTTAACAATTGTCAGAAGCTATTTTAATGATGCTTCTGGTATTTCTTTATGTAGTTTTTTTCTTGTAGAGTTTAAGACTATAAAACCAACACTTCTAGTTGGGTCACCATTGACCTTTTGACTGATGAAAAGTAACATGTCAGTGTGCTCATTAATGAGCATATCATTAATGTGCTCAATAAAAGTGTATGGGCTGAATTTCAGGTGGCTTGTGAGGACATTCTGATTTGGCCAGGAAAATTTGAAATGTGTGAATCTGATTATAGCGTCTGTAGCTAAGAACCTCTTCATCTTGTTGTTTCAGGGCTCTGACCCCAAATTGAGACTTGTGTGACACATAAGCATAGGCAGTGCCCGAAGGCCAGAGAGTTGGAATTCGGGACCTTCTCTGGAAAGGGCTTGGCTGCCACAAGCATAGATAACAAGGCAGACAAAACATAACCTCTGGGATGGGATTTCAAACATTACTATTTTTCCCTTTAGGTATTATTATTATCTTTGTAATAAATTCATATTGAAATAAGACAAAATCTTTACCACATACTTTCCCTGAATCTCTCCCTAAAATATGGATTTAAGACAACTTTGCTGGACATTTGGGTTGGTTCCAAGTCTTTGCTATTGTGAATAGTGCCGCAATAAACATACCTGTGCATGTGTCTTTATAGCAGCATGATTTATAATCCTTTCAGTATATACCCAGTAATGGGATGGCTGGGTCAAATGGTATTTCTAGTTCTAGATCCTATTCTGAGCAAACTATCGCAAGGACAGAAAATCAAACACCATATGTTCTCACTCATAGGTGGGAACTGAACAATGAGAACACTTGGACACAGGGTGGGGAACATCACACACCGGGGCATGTGGTGGGGTGGGGGGAGTGGGGGATAGCATTAGGGAGATATACCTAATGTAAATGATAAGTTAATGGGTGCAGCACACCAACATGGCACATGTACACATATGTAACAAACCTGCACGTTGTGCATATGTACCACAGAACTTAAAGTATAATAATAATAATAATAATGAAAAAGACAACCTTGCTGAACGTCCTCATGACTTTTGTATTTTTCTTTGGCATTTTGCAGCATGGTTAATCTTACACCAAGGAATTTCAACCATTAGCCTGTACTAAGCCCCATATTTTCCCCTATGTTGGGTATTTCCTTTTAGGGTAATCAGATGGCCTAAGGCTTACAAAGCACATGTGTTACATGAATGTGAGGCCACAGCAGGGAAAGAAGTCACAGCTGTAGGAGATGGATTCACGGAAACTTAATGGGAGCTGGTTTTACTCCATTGCCTTTAGCTTGGTGATGGAGCATTTACTAGTTAATGTAAAATGAGCCCCAGTTAATATTTTCTCATCAATTTGAACTGCTCAGGCAGGAAAGGAGAAAAAAAAATTGGTGTTGGGCAGGGGGTGCTAGCTGAGGCTTGGTGCATATGTGTTTATAAAAAGAACTCACAGAGCTGAAGATGCTGGCCATCCACTGAGAAGAAAAACTGTAGAGTGAAGAATTTATATGCTTTTAATTTTTATGACAAGTGGCTTGGGGGTGAAAGGCAATGATCTTCTGCTGGGCTTGGGACTGATGGTTCTCAACACTACAAAAACAAAAACCGGAATTTGCTTTCATGGCCAACTCTGGGAGCTGGGAGAGACAATGCCTTTCCTACTGCTCTGCCCAGCAGAGGTGTCAGCCTCGACTCTCCATCTCCAGCAGGACTGGGCAGCAGCTGTCAGCAGCAGAGGCGGCTGCCTCCCAAAGCCAGAAATGGCTGGTGATTTTCTCCCCGAATCTGTAACCCAGGAGCTTCTAAGATACTGTGTGACACATGAAAAGAAAGCTTGGATTTTCAGAGTGCAATGGGGAAGAGTACAGAAGCAAGTGGAAACTGAGCCTCATGGAAATACTCACTGCTGTGCCCACTGAGATGCAGGTCCAAATTAGCATGCTGGCATCAGAGTCCATAGCTCAGAGTACTAACAGCAAATTCCGGGGAGAAGAAAGATTTTGTGTGAGCAATTGAGCTAATCATCCCCGACCCCACTCATTAACATACTACCCATGCCGCCGCCTCTCCATGCTCCCTTTTGCAGGATGTGAACAGCTTTTCACAGCTTCTTTTCCATCTGCTGAAATAAACAATAGCCTTTGTAACCAATGGGAAAAACAGCAGCAGGTGAAGAACTATTTTTAGGCATGCTGAAAGCTTAATGTTGATTCCTGTATTTCCACACCTAAAACACCCAAGATACGAGGCTGAAAAAAATTGATTTTTTGCCTGCTTCTGAGCTCATCAATATCTACTGTCTTCCACATTGCTGCTTCCTGCCTGACACTTTCTTCTGTCTCTAGGGTGGACACTGGGGGAGAGCAGTCAGGTTGCCTCCCTTTGTGGTATCTCTTTCAGCTCACCTGATGGCATTTTATAACAGTTACTGCTCTTCTTTTCTTCCACCTCTCTCTTTAACATCATATTGATGGGATTGGGACCATTTGCTTATGTATTTTGATGTGCACGTGGTCCATGGTTCATGTCCTTTCTATGATGCTCTGATAGATGCACCTAGTGTGCTTACCCTATCTTACTGACAACTTAAGTGTTAGTTGGTCTTACACATTATCTCATTTATTTTGCAGAATAAATCTGTCAGGTGGGGATCTCATTCACTTTACAAAGGAAGAATGAGAACGAGAATGAGGTCTCGGAGAGTTGAGGAGTCTGCGTGGCCAACCTAGCTAGCCCCAGCAGAACATGAATCTGAACTCAGCTTCTCATTCAAGACCTCACTCTTCCTGCTACCTTTCTTAGTGATTTCATTTCAAACTGTTCTTGACTGCAGGGGGCAGGGCTCCTTTTTTCTTTTGATGTTTCCTCTAGCTCTTTGATTCTATCATTAAGTAAATCTGCTTTGAGTACAGTTTTCCTTTTTTTGAAATGCTACAGTAATGACCAGTAATAGCTAGGATGTCAAATGCCTGCCATTTTTCCTTTTCTAATTGAGACAAATCCACTATGTTCCCCACTGACTTTCTCTCTACCACCGGAGTGCCTTGTTTAATTGCCCCCATGGTTGCTTTAAGGCTATGCTACTGAATCTTAAAAGAGTTGTGGTTGTTGGCCCTAGGGTTGTTCTGACGGATCATGCTAACTTGCATGTTGCTCCTTTGTCTAGACTCTGTTTGATTGCTAGTTGCTTCCTCATGTTCCTTTTTGAAATCCAGGGACTTATTCTGAGATGTCACCTACCAAAGGTCCCCTTGGCTAAATTCATTGTTTGGGAAAAAAAGAATCCTCCATCTGTATTCTGTTCCAATGTGCTGTCTTTTATCCTCACTTGCTCCAGGCTGAGTTATCTAAAACAGACCCTAGGGAGCAGCCCAGGGAGGGACTCAGCTTGAGAATGGATAGAGACCTGGCTGGGTCCTTCGGCACCCTCAGCTCCCAAAGAGCATCTGTCCTGCAATTCTGCTTTCTCTGAGACCCAGGTGATGTCTTGAGAACCTGCAGAGGGCAAAAAAGAGAGTGATTCCAGGGCTTGCCCATGGCCAGAGCTTGGGAGAGGACACGCAAGTGTCCTCTGAGAACCATAGGAAAACATCGACGACTCAGAAGACTTTCCTCCTGTCTACCATATCTGTCCACCAGTCATCTATAAGTGTGTTTATGTCAATTAGAGTTCATCAGTTATTAGCAACAGAAATGGACTCTCATTAATTGAAGCAAGAAAGGAATTAATTGGAAGCGGCAGGGCAGCTTGCTGAAATGAAGATGAAACTGAGCAACCAGCTGCTCAAAGAGGGGATCAGGGAGGCTCTGGGAAGCAGTAACCAGTGAATGGTCCTTTCCTGGGATGCCCTTGGGACACTTCAGCCTTTGTCCTCTCATCACTTGACTCAACTCGAATTAGAGCGAGGCTGAATGGCCTGGCTGTGTCAGGGGCCACCTTTAGGCATGCCTTGATTGATAGTTCCACTAAGCCTCCCAAAGAGAAATGTTGGTGCTCATCCCAGATAAAGGGCAAATGATGGAGAGGCAAGCAAAACTGACATGTGTCCTCTACACAATGGGTTGATCCCAGGCCCCATCCACTCTATAGAAAGCACTTCACAGCTGCCCACCCGATGCGTCCCAGGGCCCTTCAGAACCAGCCATAAAGTGGCCCCTGGAGAGGAAGAGATTCAGAGACCAGACACCATCAGGTGAGGCAAGCACCAGCTTGGAAATGACAATGCACAGTGACTGGGTGACTTTGGGCAGGTAAGTAGAGCCCGTTCTGGCAGGTGAGTGGTACCAGATAATGAAAATACTACGAAAAGGAACCCTGAAAGAAAACCGTGTGTAGGGGCCCTTGGGGTGGTGGTCGTTCATGGAGGGGTGGCAGCAGGTGTGAGGGGCTGAGATTTAGCATCCAAATGCCCATCATGCAAGTGAAAATTTGGTATTGGAAGTCCGGTGTTCTCTCAAGAGGGTCTGACTCTACTGAATTTGTGGGATGAAACCTGCTTTTCAGGAGTAGCCCTAGGCAAGTTTGCCAAATTACGGAAATGTGTTTTCATTTGCAAAACCTTTTCCCTGTCCTTGGTGATGGGTGTCTCCTTAAAGTGTAGAGTACAGTACAGGATACGTTTTTTGTTCTCCCTCCTCTAATATGCCTTCAAAACCTGGGCTCTGATACTTCCTTCACACTGTGGTGTGAGTAAAGGAGAATAGTTTAGTGAGGGAATATGCACATTTTTTTCCACTGGGAGTACAGCCCAAGTGAAGGGTTGAATCTCCAGCTGATGAAATTTCCTTAGTCAGAATGTACGGGACAGTAGGTTTCTTGCGTTTATTTCATGGGATGTAAGTTACACCTGGGAGTTCAGCTAATGATTCTGATACCATTTCTTTTTTTTTTTTTTTTTTTTGACGGAGTCTTGCTCTGTCACCCAGGCTGGAGTGCAGTGGCATGATCTCGGCTCACTGCAAGCTCTGCCTCCTGGGTTCACGCCATTCTCCTGCCTCAGCCTCCTGAGTAGCTGGGACTACAGGTGGCTGCCACCACGCCCGGCTAATTTTTTTGTATTTTCAGTAGAGATGGGGTTTCACCATATTAGCCAGGATGGTCTCGATCTCCTGACCTCGTGATCCGCCCGCCTCAGCCTCCCAAAGTGCTGGGATTACAGGCGTGAGCCACCGCACCCGGGGATGCCATTTCTTAAGAGAAGATGTGAGAAGAGATAGCAGGAGAGGAGTTAAGAATAATTCTCATCCACTGTATATAAAGTCTAATGACCCCAGGTGTTGGAAATTTTCATCATGTTGTAGGTTATAAATACAAAACCCTCCTTGTATCTCAATTGCTATAGTCCTCATATAATTTCAATGTTCTTAGCTAGCATCAGGTGTGATGGAGCCAACTCATACTGGCTTGCAAGAGTTGTGCGCATCTTGGCGTTCAGTGACATCGTATTGGTAGCTGAGAACTGGTGGGACTATTTATAATATAGAAATTGGAAACCCTATAAATCAGGATTTTTTTCCCCCTAGAGTTGGTTGTTAAACATTTATCTGCATATCACTGGATGTAATTCATTTCAAAGTAACAGGGTTACATAGCTAATGCTTTCCTTTCTATGGAGGACAACATATTTTAATATGCAGTACTGATGAGCGTATAAATGTATAGTTAAAATTTCCAAAGCATCTTTGCAGTCAATCTTTGGTATTAGCTTATTTACCTTAAAGAAAGGGGAAAGAAAAAGAAAAGGAATAGAAAGGAAAGTGCAGTTTTCTGATTGCAATAGAAATAAATCCTGAATGATGGTGAATTAGAAGAGCCGAGAGTACTCGCCAAGGCCTTTTGAAGCTGCTGCTGTTGTCCAGCCTTTTCTTGCCTCCTCCTCTCTCCTCGTCTCTGTTACTGGAAAGAACTACAAGGGTCAGTGACCTGTTAAATGTAGTGACTTCAGGACAGCATATGCTTCATTCATGGATTTTGGCCTCACTACACAGGTTAGCTGAGGCACGTTATCACTCGGTAGGAAAAAACCTACTGTAATTGCAAGCACATTTTCAATAGAGGAAGAGTTTGCAAATTAACAAAAAAGGTTTGGAACAGTGAATATAGAGGTGATGAGTTATTCTGGGGCAAAGTGTACTATTCAGAGAAATGTCTATTAGCTTTTTGCATTTGAATCAGAGAGAAACAATGTGTCAGGTCATAGATAATCAGAGCACATATGTAGAGGAAGTTTACCGTATAATATCTGTAATAACTTGCTTTTGTTATCATAATGACTTATGCATATGCTGAGAAGTTCCAGTGCAAAACTAAAGATTATTTTTAAAAAGAATTCTTTGGAAAACTAGATATTCTAAAATATCGAAGTCATTTGACATCTCTGGGGTGAAGTAATACAAAGGAAAAGGAGAAATGCAGTAGCTACAGCGACTTTAGACAGCTTCAATTCGGCACTTCCAAGTGGTACAAAAAGCGAACAGTTATTTCAAGCACCCAAAAGCTCTGCAAAGAGAAAGCTCTAAATAGTCAGAATGCAGAACAGCTTAAGTGTTACTCCAGGGATAGTATATGCTTTGAGTTAAATACAAGACAATTAATTTGCACAATGGATAGATGATTCAAAATCATGGAGCTAATTACTTTGAACTTGTAACTTACATAATGTAGTTGCTTTTATTGAGCATCTACTAGGTACCACATACTGCGCTAGACTCCTGGGTTGCAAACATGATCCTGGTACAGTCCCGTATCTAGGTTAATGGGAAAGCAACAGCATCAATAAACAGAAAGAGAAAAAGACAAACATAAGAATGAAGAACTCAGTGCCTCCCCAGTACACTAAAATGACAACACTAAATTTTATGGAGCACTTAATACATTTCTAACTGTGGCTGGCTCCTTTATTTTTTTTCAGTATAAAAAGGCTAATGATAGGCTAATGATATAAAAGTGTATATTCCTATTTCTTTAGTTGTTTTCTCCTTATAAATGTGCATCATGACCTTTGTGGAACGGTTAGAACCTTTAGAGAAATAAAAAGAAAGTAAGTCACTTGTAACCTCCCGAATCACAGATGATTATCTTTAACCATTTCCCTCATAATATTATTCACATGTATATGCAAATATGTCATAGATTTCAAGTATATTTACATATACAATTTTATACTCTGCCTTTTCCCTTAAAATTCTTATGAGGATCTCTGCATGTCATCACATATCATACAAAAATTGCTTTTCAATCATTGACTGACAGTTCGTCATCCAGATATATTGTAATTCATTGAACATTTATTGTGTTGTCACTTCGAAATTGTTTCCAATTTATTGCTAATATAAGTTATAGATATCTTGGATGTGGATATCCACAACTGTCTTTATATAAAAACCTTTGTGCACATTTCTGAATACATCTTTACCATATATTTTCAGGAAAATAATTACTGAATTGAACAATTATGATATTTGTAATAGTTTTTGATATCTATTTCCAGATTGCAGTCTATAAGCATTTCCGGGTTTATGTTCCCACCTGCAATGATGTGAATATTCTCAAAACGTGTGTTCTAATATTAGTGTAATGAATTCAAGTGGGGAAGTTGAGTTCTGAAAATCATGTCAACTGATTAGTTTTCACCCAGGTGAAATAATTTGCCCTTGCTGTCCCCTCGGGCCTGACTTGTTCTTTTCCTAGATTGCTGCTCCCTGGTTACATTTGGCTCTCTCCTCCCACGTCACCTCCTTAGGCCATCCCGGAACCCTCTGACCTCTTCTTACCCTGTATGTATGTATGTATGTATTTATTTATTTTGAGACAGAGTCTTGCTCTGTCGCCCAGGCTGGAGTGCAGTGGTGCAATCTTGGCTCACTGCAACCTCCTCCTCCTGGGTTCAAGCGATTCTCCTGCCTCAGCCTCCCAAGTAGCTGGGACTACGGGCGTGTGCCACCATGCCCAGCTAAGTTTTGCATTTTTAGTAGAGACGGGTTTTCACCATGTTGGCCAGGATGGTCGCGATCTCTTGACCTTGTGATCCACCCACCTTGGCCTCCCAAAGTGCTGGGATTACAGGTGTGAGCCACCATGCCTGGCCACTCTGTTTTATTTTTCTTTTTACTACTAGCATTGCTTGATATTAAATATTTATTATTTGCTTTTCTATTGTCTCTGGCCTCCTGCATGTAAGTTCCATGAGGCAGGGACCTTGTCTGGTTCACCGTGGACCCTGAGGACCTGGCCTAGGCCTGGCACAGAGTGTGCATTCAGTAAGTGGATGTCAGAAGGTTGTGCCAATAACACAAGGTCAAAAATACTTGTAGAGTTTGGTTGCTTTTGCTTTTATATTGTTGATTTTTATTCCTGTGGAGAGCCTGAGTGTAATGTTGTGTAACGAGCATCTGTCAGAAGTTTAGTTCATCCTATTAGTAACTCAGAGATGGCTGGCTCAAGCCTTTTCCTCCATAAGTTCTGTCAACTGCACAACTGCATACACAAGCATAATGTACTTGGTCAGCATCAGCAAAATACAAATGCAAATTTATGGTTGTTTGACTTATCAGTTTTGATGTTTGGGATTCTGCATTAAACAGATACAACATTATATATTTTTGCATTGCAAGCCATCTGTGTTTACAATGCTTTTCCAAATCGTTTTTTGGCGATTTTATTATTTATTACACATTTTTTTCTTGGCAATCCAAGCAATATGCTAGTCTGTGCTTGTTGGGACTTGTTTAGTCATTGCCACTTCTTATAATGACGCCTTAAAATTAGAAGTGGAAAATAATCACACTCGGGACAGGATTACCGGATGCATAACCTCTGGTTTTATTTACTTGGTGCAGCTTTCATAGAAGGCATGGAAAGGAGAGAAATACAGAGAGGGAGCTGCCAAAAGTTAGATTCAGGCAGCAACAGAAAAAAGATTAGAATCCACATTGTCAGGGAATTCATCCACCCCTTGGTCTCCCGGCAAAGTGGCTGAAGGAATAGATTCCCCCAGACAACTTATTTCTGGTTGATTTCCTTGGGGAGAACTAGACCTCTTTTCCCAACTGTGGCTCTCAGGACTGTGTGCATATAGTTGTTTGTGTCTGCTCTGCTTACACTTGACACCTGGGCTCAGGAATGCTCCTGATGGCTTCCTCTGCAGAGTGAGGACTGACAGCTCCTTCATCACGGTTCTCCTCAGTGCCTTGCACAGGACTTGGCACAAGGTCAGGAAATATTTTACTGAGTGGATGAATGAAAGAAGCTCAAAGTAAAACTGTTCCATCAGGCCAGATGACGTTAATTCTCCACCAGCTTTTATACAGGGTGACCATGTTCCTGGTTCATCTCCTTGTAATTATTAATAGCACCCCTTTTGCTCTAAAGGTGACCTGATTTGAAGGATAAATTACAGTCGTCCTACATTTCAGGTACTATTGACAGATTGGTGAACATATTTGCAGTAGCTAAAAGAACGTGCAACTCAGTTTGGGCAAAATGCATGGCCTATTTCTAGGGCTCATAAGAACTTCAGTTGTCCCAGAAGAACAGATTGAGAGGGATCTACAATGTTGTTTAGCATAAGTTTGATCCTGTTCACCTATTAACTATGACTTGCTACGTTAGTAGCAAATATTCTGGACTTCTTGCTTGTTCAATATCCAATACAAAATGCTTTAAAAATTTTCCTGGGCCAGATGCATGTCTACAATCCCAGCACTTTGGAAGGCTGAAGCAGGAGGATCCTTTGAGGCTAGGAGTTTGAGACTAGCCTGAGCAACATAGCAAGACCCAATTTCTTAGAAAAAAATACAAATAAAAAAAATTTAACCGGGTGTGGTGGTGTGTGCCTATAGTCCTAGCTACTCAGGAAGCTTAGGCAGGATGATTGCTTGGGCCCAGGAGATTGATCATGCCACTGTACTCCAGCCTGGGTGAAGGAGTGAGATCCTGTCTCTTAAATTTTTTTTTTTCTACTAAAGGCACTAATGCCATGGCTTCTTCAACTTGGATTCAATGGACTAGTGCCATCCTAAGGGTCTGGATTTAGCTCTATTTGTGTCAACAAACACCCTGCAGATGTCAACAGTTACCGATTACTCATCTTTACTTCATAAAGCAATATTTACAGCTGATGGGTTGTGCAGTGTTGTGATTGAAATACCCATTACAGTTTAAAAATTAGAGCCATAAATTCAGCATAAACATCTCTGTAGTCACTCCTGATGATCTAAGGAATGGTGCATTCATCTTCTCTTAATTGTCAGGATGAAAGAGCCTTAGAAACCTGCAGCTGTAACTCTCAGGTGACCCTTGAGTTTGGGAGCATCTATACTTAACACAATACTGAAAAATAAACTCTCTTCAAAAATCCCAGCACTTTGGGAGGCTGAGGCGGGCAGATCACCTGAGGTCAGGAGGTAGAGACCAGCTTGGCCAACATGGCAAAACCCCATCTCTACTAAAAATATGAAAATTAGCTTGGCGTGGTGGTAGGTGCCTTCCGCGTAGCTGGGATTACAGGAGGCTGAGGTAGGAGAATTGCTTGAACCCGGGAGGTGGAGGTTGCAGTGAGCTGAGATCACACCACTGCACTCCAGCCTGGGAGACACAGTGAGACTCCAGCTCAAAAAAAAAAAAAAAAAAAAAAAAAAAGAGAAAGCAAGACAGTCATCATACTTGATGGATGGAGGGTATTTAAGCAAAGTATAGTGACCATGCTTGAGGGGATGGATACCCCATTTTCCACGATATGATTATCACACATTGCATGCCTGTATCAAAACATCTCATGTACCTCATAAATATATACAACTACTAGGTACCCACAAAAATTAAAAATTAAAAATTAATAAAAGTGTAGTGATCCATGACATTTGGGAAATTTGGGGGCAGGTGCAGGGCTGATCCCTGGGCTGGCATTGTCTGGGTGTTCACTAGTCTGCATCATGAACAGTCACAGCTGTGCAAGCCAATGAGGCATTTGCTGAGTGTCTGCTTGGTGCAAAGCACTGAAGTGGTGATGAGGGGCATTTGCGTGGTTCTTACCCTTCAAGGTTCTTTGAGACAACGTTAGGCAACCATCATCTGGGAAGGTAAGAAGATAATTGACTCTGAGAAATTAAAAAGAAAATCACAAAATGAAGGGACTGCTTTGGAGCATAAACAAGGAAAGAAAATGATACAGAGATAAAATGTAAGAAAATGGCTAAGTATGGCAAAAATGATGCTCCATGCATTGTGATAACATAAGTCAACATTTACTGATGCCCAATTCTTTTCCGGGCTGTTAGGCACTTTCCACGGATTTAAACTTAATCCTGGCAACTCTACCAGGTAGGCATTGTTACTATCATGATCATCATCTCCATGATACCAGTGAGGAAACTGAGGTACAGGTAGCCTAAGTAACCTACCCAAGGTTTGACAGCTAGAAAGTTGCAGAGCTGGGATGGAAGACCAGGCAGACCTGTTTCAGGGCCTGTGCTCCTATCTGCTATGCAGCTTCCTCTCCCAGTTCAAGACTGGGCAGGGATTATCCTGCTAATCAATGAAATCCATGCGCTAATTCTAAGTGTGTAATGCTTTCCAAACTACAAGACTTCTTTCACAAACATCTCCTTTGATTCAGGCAGACAGCTTAAGATAGGTGTCATCACAGTATTCACTGGGAAACTGAGGCCCATAAAGGATATAACTTGCCTAAGACCACATAGGTAGTACCTCCTGAGACCACTACACTATTCAAATTCCTTATTATTATTATTATTTTTGAGACAGGGGCTCACTCTCTCACCCAGGCTGGAGTGCAGTGGCATGATCTTGGTTCACTGCAACCTCCATTTCCCGGGCTCAAGGGATCCTCCCACCTCAGCCTCCTGAGTAGGTGGGAGTAAAGGTGAATGCTATGATGCCTGGGTAATTTCTGTATGCTTTTGTAGAGATGGGGTTTCACCATCTCTCGAGACCACCCAGCCTGGTCTCGAACAAGTGATCCACCCGCCTCCCAAAGTGCTGGGCCTGCAGTCATGAGCCACTGTGCCTGACCCCTTAGTATTATTTTTTAAGCTTCCATATTCTATGTGCTTCCCTGGCCCTCCATGGCCTCAAGTAATATGAAAGTAATGCTCTCACTACATTGGATCCTACTCAGGCCACTACTGGAATATTTTGTTCAATTGTTGGTTCTCTGCATTTATAGGGGATGTTTATACCCTAGAGAAGATTTGGTGTGATGTAGAGAGAAGCTGGATTTTATTGCAAATATCTGTTGAGGAAGTCCAAAAGTTCTGTCTGCAGAGGAGCCATATGGGCACTTTTTACACAATCTCCTTACAGGAAGGGCAGTGGCTCACTCAAGGCCCTGCCACTTCCGTGACTCACCTGGCTTCAGGGAAGGGCTTCTCTTGTTCCTCTCTGGTCAGGAGCCAGAGGTCAGCCAGACTGCCCTGGTCATGTTTTTCTGCCATGTGTTGTAGCTTCTGGAGTCACTGACCTTGTCAGACCTTGATGTTTATGCCCAACAGGCCAATCTAAACCATTTCACTTTGCTTTTTTTCCCATAGTATTTTCAGCGGGCGTCTGTCACTGCAGGGGGAATTGATGCCTCTTTGCAAAACTTTGTACAAACTCTGTCAAAGTGGCTTTCTCATTATTAGAGAAGGAGTGCATTTCCTCAGGTGAATTGTTTCTCGGGTAAAAATGAAAATAATTGTTGGGATTGAAAAAGCAGAATTTAGAGAAATATTAGTGATTTCTCTAAAAGCTACAGTAAAATGTCTTAGGTACTTTCCCCCTTTGAATGAAACCTTATTCCCAATACTAGGAAAATCAATTTAAAGACAAGTTAATAATTTAGCAGTATTTCAATATAAGGTAATAGACTATGTTTAATGCAATAAAAATATTAAAAGTGATACAAGTGAGACTTTTATAATCATATTTCTTCACTATTTCTCGCTGCTTCTTCCACAGGTGTGTTCCTTGTTTCTCCCTTCTCTGATTACTTTCTCTCTCTTTCCAATCCTGACACCCTAATGTTATATCTCGGAATGTGGAAGGTTGGCCAGACCTCTAGGGTCTTTTGATTTCACGGGGCATACCATAAAAATCAGTATTCCACCAGAGGGAGCTGAGAAGTAAAGAGGAGACCAACCTGCTTTCTTCACTGAAATGCAGGATTTTATATTATTTCTCAACTTCCTTTAAAAGAAAAATTTAAATGTCCCAGAGGGTTGTCTTCATGTTTTTCCTTTTTGATTTTTATTTCTTTTCTTGGAAGTCTATTCATTAGCATATATCTACCTGCTTCATTTTTCCCAGTATGAAGGTTGCAATATTGCTAATGGATCAGAGGACCAACATTGTAGTTCTCTACTTCCCTGTCTAGAAAGGTCATTTGTTTTAAAAAGTCTCTGGGGTCACAGATCTGGGGTATGAAATTAACTAGGTGAGCAAGTGTGTGTGTGTGGGGCGGGGGGAGGGAAAATTCTTCTAGATTCCCAATATAACTTGAAACTATTGTTCTTTTGCATTTGCATCTGTGTAAAAAATTGTACTCTTTGGGAGCTTTTCCTGCCGTAAACTCTACTCTGTCATATCCCCACATTCCTCAAAATCTGTCATGTCTGATTTTGTTTTCTTCTCCACCTCTAAGTCCTGGTGACACTGGTTTCAATGCAACATACTATTAAAGATCCATCCAACTCTCCAGCCTCACTGTGGCTGTGTCCCCTCAGCTGCCTCTAACCTCACCCCCACTCCAGTTCAGTCAGCCTTGCTCACGACTGCGTGTTGGACAAAGTGATCCCTAGAACTGTTGACTTCCGATATTTCTGTTTGCAGTGTCCTGTCCATACCATTACCATGCATCCTCCAGCTCCTGGCTCATTTATTCCTCCTGCATCTGTCCTTCAACTTCAACAAGACCTCTAGGGCCTTTAAGGCTTTATTTTCTCCCACCTAGCCCCTTCCAGACCCAAGACAACTCTTTTCCACCTTCTCTTCCTGCTTGCTAGTGGAAGCCATGTGCTCCATTGAGCCAATCTCTTGCCCATACTCTCAGCTCCCTCACCCCTTTGGACATTCTGCTGCACCTACTCAGCCGAACCGCAACTCAGTGTTGTTCAGGTGTTGACCTTTTCTATCCAAAACCCTGGAGTTCTGCCAGAGAAAACTGCCCATCCATGACACTGATGCTGCTGTATATTCATGGTCTCCAACTTCCGCTAGGTCCTCAGCACACTGTCCAGCAATCCATTCATGGCTCCAGTGAACCCTCTGCCATTTACTTCCTGATGTTGCCTCAATTTTATTGTGCACACATTGTTCTGAGAAACTGTCAACCTCAGACGCGTAGAACATGTTTTGATATCCTTCTCTTTCTTTCCTGGTGTACCATGATTGAGAAGAAGTTGAGTAAAGCTAAACTGATTTGAAATATTTTTTGATTCCAGGAATTATCACAGATATTTTGAATAGTCTCACATAGGCAAACTCCTCATACCACATGAGTAGAGAGAAAGGTATTTCTGTGACAGCTTTTTTACAGGTTGTACTGAGCTACTTTTCTCCTCCTGTATCATCTGATGATAATGTTTTGCTCACTATTCAGATATCTTTAAATAATTTGGCACATTTCTATACTAATCCTTTCAACAAAGCTATGACTTCGTGAGTGGGAAGTATTGCATTGTAATGTAATCCTGAAACATGCAAATCAGAGCTGAGAACAGAGGAGGCGAAGGCCTGCCACGATAGAGCTGAAATTGTGTTGACTTTACTTCACGAAAGCACACTTGGGCTGATATTAGCCTTTTATAGTTGTTTTTGTTTTGTCTTGTAACCCTTTAAATTAGCCTCCTCAAGGTGCTATAATTTCAGTGGTGCAGTAGCAAGGACAAGTACTCCTGTAAGCTGTGAAAAGAAATCAGTATTTGGGGCTATGGGAGAAGGACTTCTGCTGATGTTTCCCTTTCTCAGTACAGTTTTTCTTCAAGGGCTCCTTCATAAATATATGCTTGTAATTAAGATCCAAGTTCAAATGGAGGGTTGTCCCTTGGAGGACAAAGCCAGAGCTTGCATTCTGGGTTATTTTATCAGTGAAAATGTGCAAGTCCTATGAGCTCCTGAGTCCGACACTGGATCATCATTCAAGGGCCTGCCCTTGGGTTCTTCGCTGCATCCTGGCCGATTTTTGCTCCTATCTTGACTTCCTGGCCCAGTCCTTTGGTGGCCAGCTGCTTGATGTCTGTGAGGATTGGGTCTGAAGCCCCAGTCTTATCTGAGCATTGCTCTTAGCTATTTTTCCAGATGCAAATATAAACCCTCAAAAGCTTAGTTTTATAATGCATTTAGGAATCATTATTTTTATTCTTTGTGGAATGTCCTTGAGTGTTTCAAGAAGAGATTTCAAAATATTTAAAATGGTTGGAGGAAGCCGGGAGTGGTGGCTCATGCCTGTAATCCCAGCACTTTGGGAGGCCGAGGTGGGCAGATCACTTGAAGTCAGGAGTTCAAGACCAGCCTGGCCAACATGCCAAAACCCTGTCCTACTAAAAATACAAAAGTTAGCCAGGCGTGGTGATGGACACCTGTAATCCCAGCTACTCAGGAGGCTGAGGCAGGAGAATCGCTTGAACCCGGGAGGTGGAGTTTGCAGTGAGCCGAGATCTCACCACTGCACTCCAACCTGGGTGACAGAGTGAGACTCCATCTCAAAAACAAACAAACAAATAAAATGGTTGGAGGGAAAACAGTCTAAAATAATTGGTGCTTATGAGAAAAAACCCTATTTTCTCATTTCTAAAAGCTGGTTTCCCATAGCTTTGTCTGGTTTCTAAATGCTTTTCTTTGAGTCCACATGGTATGGTCATAGAGATGTGTGTTGGTATCACCTGAAGGGAGTGTTCAGGGTATAAACCTAACCTCACTCCCAGACACTGCCATTCAGAAAACTGGGGAGTCACATTTATAGGAATTCCCCAGGGGCTCTGCGTCAGGTGAGTCCAGGTGGTCATAGACATTGAGAAACCCATTGGATTCAAGCAGCAGAGCAGAAGCCTGGAGACCTGGCCTTGAGGCTTTTGGTGTTTTTGGATTAGGAACCTAATTTCTTTGGAATTTATTTTCTTAATCTGTGAGGTGGGTTTTACCGATATAGTTTTGTAGATTGCTTTGTAGTTTGTCCCAAATAAATGACTATATGTCTTAGTAGTGAAAGGATATAATTCTAAGTAATATTTTTATTTTGGACTTTTGGCTATAGGTTTTGCAGGTCCCAGTAGATAAATGAGTCCTGCACTTGATCAATTTATTTAAATAATTAGAACAGAAAATATCCCTGTGTCTTCTAGTTGGAATTAAATTCATATAGTGAGGGAAGATACCCTTTTTAGGTCTCTCTTTCTGCCCTTCCACTCAGGCACACTGCATGTCAAAATGTGCAGGTTGAAAAGGAGATTTGTGCACCAAGCGAATGTTTTTCATACGGGTATTCAGTTGTCCCGCACCATTTGTTGAAAAGAGTATTCTTTCCCCATAAATTGCTTTGGCACCTTTGCTGAAAATCATGCATTTGTGTCTATTTCTGGACTCTTCCCTACTGATCTATTTTGTCTGCCTTTAGGTGAATACTATACTGCTTTGATTACTATAGGTAATCTGTACTAGACTGCAATTATGAAATTAGATAGTTTAAGTCCTCTTAACTCATTCTTTTAAAAAATGGTTGGTTCTTTTAAGTTCTTTATGAGGTTCCACATAAATTTTAGACTGTCTATAAAATATTTTTTCAATCTCTATAAAAAAGCCTGCTAGGATTGTGACTAGGATTGCGTGAAATCTATAAATCAGTTGGGGAAGAATTGATATATAAACCACTGTAATTTTTTCCCTCTCTCGTATTAGCTTTGGTTTTAAAGGATTGTTCATAATTTAAGGAAGAAAAATCCTCATTAGCTCTGAATAGAACACAGATAATGAATTCAAGTTTCCACTAATATGTTTTATGTGGCATCTATTCCAATTATTTCCATGGTAATAGGAATATTAAATAATTTTCTTAAAGCAACTTGGTAATTTTTGAAATAAACCAAGTTAAGTAAAAGGTACAAATAAAACATGATGGTATTTCCATATTAACAAATGGCCAAATGCCTCCATGTCTGTAGAAAATAATTAAGAGGATGATGTTCAAGGCTGCTTTTTCCTTAGAGCAGTGGTAAATATTTAACAGCTGACTCTCCAGCAAAAAGAAAAAAAACGCACTTGATTTGTAGTCTTTGCCAATTTCTACATTGCAAATATGCCCCATACAGCTGATTTCAAGCTACCAAGGTGATGTCTCTGAATGCAGAGTTGGGAAGAGATACACGCTAGAGCACCATTACATAGAATTTCCATCCTATGGCTACAATAGATGCCAATAATTTCAAGAGTGTGGATGATAAACTGCAGTAAAATATTTAGGAAGAGATGGGTTTTGAGTATGCATTACCTTTGCTTTTAGTATAATTTAATGTAAGTGCTTACTTTAACATTTATAATGTTTGCTCTTAACAACAGCTCACAAAATTCCTGAAAATTGCCTCGCAATTGGCAATGAACCAACTTCAGCACACCACTATGGACCAAGAGTAAAGACTAAAGCATATTTAATATCAAACTAAACTAATAGTTAATTGTCAAACAAAATGGAATGAATGGAAGCTTGTTATGTTTTGTAACTTTAAATACCCCATTCAACAATTCTAAACTGATGGGGTTGGGTAGATATTGTATTACCATTTTATGAATTAAATGATTGATGACAGATGTAAGTATGTGTGTGTGTGTTGAGGGGATGGGAGTGGGTTGGGGAAGATCAGCTGGAACTTTTCCTTAGTTAGAGTGGGATGGGTGAGAAAACAGATGGACCCAAACCTGTAATGGTTCCTCACAGAAGTTTCTCACTTGAATAGTGGTAGTCCAGGGCAGTTCCAGGTGATCATGGCTGATTTTTGTTTTATTTTTATTTTTTGGAGAGTGTCAGTTCCACTCAGTCATTTCAGGGATCAAATTAAAGAAAGCTCTGCAACTTTATTCAAGATCACACAGGGGTTTCATTCTGGTCAGTGGGAAGGAGAATGACCAAGAAGGAGCCAGTCAGGGAGGTTTGTATGGCCAGGCCTGGATCTGGTACCTGTGCCTTCCTCTTACATTCCATTGATTAGCTCATTCATGTGACCACACCCAACTGCAAAGGAGTCTGGTAAATGTAGTCTATAGCTGTGCCTAAGTAGAGGGGGAAAACTGGTTTGGGGGAACAAGTTCATACCTTGTTAGCTGTACTGATGCAACATGACTTAGGGACATTTCAAGTCTTGTGATTCAAGTCTCATGATTTCAAGGAACTTGAAATTTAGTTAAGTCTTATTGTTAGTGAGCTACGCTTTTGGACAAGCCCCATCCTCTCTCTGGACCTAGTCAGTAAGACGCAGGACTTGCACCAGGTCCTTCCTAGATTTGGGACTCTCTCATGCACTCTGTCTTTCCCTCCTCAGCATTTCCTGTTTCCCCATCTATCCTGTCTTCTCGAGGGTGCCTTCTGTTCACCCCTTGGTCCAGATAGGACTTTTTGTGCCAGTTGAACACTATCTTCCCTATGACTTGGCACCTCTGTGCCACTGGCTTGGCTTGCAACCAGGGCAGGGAGCACAGGGGTGCTTCTGACTCAGGGATTCTGAGGGACTGAGCCCAGCTGTTGGATGTGAGGAGAACTGTGCATTGGGCAGCTCAGGAGTTTGTTGGGAAGCTGTTCTCATTTTGCTTCAGTCAGGAAAACGCTGAGTACGATATGCTGGTACAAACGGTTTGCACCAGCAAACAATGCCTTGGAGGAGTTACGGTGTGCCACGGGAGAATGTGGCCTCTGAAGAAGATGGCCTGGGTTCAAATCCTGGTTCTGTCTTTTCTGAGTTTGTAACCATGGCCAAATTACTTAACTTTTTTGTACCTCAGTTTCTTACTCTGTAAAACGTCAACTAAAATAACAATATAAAAAATATATATAATATAAAAATATTTTCTATAAAATAACCCTCAGAGTTTTTTTGAGGATTAAGTAAGTTAATACCTATAACATGCACAGAACAGTGCCCAGTACATGGCAAACACTACACAAAATATTTGTTTTGCTTTTGTTACCAGTACATGGTAAATGTTGTACAAAATACTATTTTTGCTGTTGTTATTAATATAATGATTATTTCCCAGCATATTTAGGAAATGGTGCTCCTATGGACATTGTGAATAGGAAGTAAAATGATCACTATCAGGCTCCTTCTGAACTGACAGTTGATTCAATTGATTGTGCAGTGCAGGCTGCTCACAAAAAATACAAAACCATTCCAATTATGCTATGGGCTAACTTCCTCTTCCCTTTATGCTCCTCTTCCCTCCTTCAGTTGCCTTTCCTGCATGTGAGGAATAAAGACATTGAGACTTGTGTCAATACTGAAGTGCCAGCCTAAATGCTGCAGACATCTAATCAGATCAGTATCATACAGTGTGCCGGCCCCTCTTCCTCTTTGTACCCTTGGTAGACATTGCTAATCAATATGGGAGTTTTTTTTTTTTTTTTTTTTTTTTCCTGTGGGACCTTAGTGCATCCATAGAAAGGGCCGTGGTCAGAACATTTAACATGTGGTATTGTTTGACCAGTCAGAGCTGACCCTGGCCAGAGGGCTGGAGGTCTCCTGCTGTACTAGGCATGAACCCCTTGGTTGCTGCCGAGGAGACAGAAGGAGTTCCCAGGAAAAAGCCAGAGCATCCAGGGAACAGGCATGGGGAGAGGGGAAGGGAGGGGTGCTCAGGGCAGCATGGAAGAATGGAAGTATTTCACTGTGTTAACAATTGGAATGGTTGCCTTGAACAAATGGACTGAATATCAACCTTGCATGGAATTGTGTCAACACAGACACTGCTACCAGCCTCACTGGAGCTTGAGATGAAAAACTGACAGTCAAGCTGTCATTAGATGTGGTTCAAAGAAGAGGGTCACTGCTGTTCTCAAAAGTTAAGGAAAAGACCTCGCGGAAGAAGGATTTGGGTTGGGCCCTGAAGGGTTTCCATTGGTGGGGGGAAAGGGCATTTCAGGTGCCAGAAGGGGACAAGTGGCCGGGTGCTGTGAACCTGACAAGGGAGGCAGCCCCTCCTTCCCGCTCGCAGAGGATGCTGAGCCAGGTTGCCATGGTGATGACAGACTCCTTTGGGCCGGCAGCCTTGTAAAGCCACCAGAGCAGAAAAGACGGGCAATTCCCCAGTTCCCAATTCTGCCCAGACTGTGAAATGGCACTAAATGCCAATCTATTTTTTTTAAGAAAAAGTGGTTTCTCCTTGAGCCTTACATTATAAGTTCAAAATAGCTCCAAAAGCAAATTCCGGATGTAATTACATCCTTACAAAATGTAATGCTTTTGTTTTTCTCTTTTTTGAGTATATGTTTCTAGAATTCAGAAGTAAAATTATACCATTTTCAGAATTATTCCCAATACAATGTAACTGCATGAGAAAAATCATTTCCTCAAATTTGTTAAGTGAGAAATGCTGCAGTAGTGTGGCGAGAGTACAGTGGAATTTATTGGGATATTTCACCCACTGCCTCTCAATTTCCTCCTCACAGAATGAGATAATATTTCAGAGAAAGCTTGGAGAAAGGAATGAAGGAAAGAAGGAAGGAAGGAAGGAAGGAAGGAAAGAAGGAAAAAGTCCATAACTCAGACATAGCTATTATAATTTTTTTGCTTATTCTATATGCATATTTGTTCAATATTTTTAACGAAAGTTACAACCATGGTCTACATTTAATTTCATCTTCTGCCTCCTTAAGCTGCCTTCTTTCTCATTTCCATAGGCTGTGCATGGGTGTCATTGTCCCTTAGGAGAGGACAAAGTCACAGCCTGCTGGGTGCCAGCCTACATAATTTACTACTTAAACTCAGTCTTCACAGTGTTTTTACTTGGATAAATATTCTGGTATCCTATTTTCTAAGCCAGTTGCCTATGTGCTTGGCTTCAGGCTGTCTGTAAGGTGCATGAATAAAATAGTGCTTCTGTGACCTGCGTTAAGAACCTTCAGAGAAGGAGTCTAGAGGGAGGACGCCTTGCCCAGAGACGCTGCTCTATGTACTTCTGGCTGGAGCGCACCTCTCTTGGATGTGGATGCTCTTACCCAGTGGTGCCGGGAAACAGGGTGGTTTGGGCGCCTGCTGTCCACTATGTCCCAGCTCTTGGGAACAGGCCCTGAACGGGCTGCTGCTGGACAGGCATGCTCACCCAGGCTTGCAAGGAGCTATGCTTTCTGTTCCAGCCTGCCTGACTAGATTTCACATTGTGGCTTTGTTTCACCTTTCATACTTGGGATTTAATTTTTTGTCTGCTAAAATCTTAAATCATTGTTTATATTACTTTGGATTCATTTTAGATTTTCTAAAGAAATTCTACTATCTTAGTTGTTTAGTTCCCACAATGTATTTTTTATTTTTAAAAATAAGGTGGCATAACACCATTATGTTTAGCAAGAAAGAGAAAAATATCCATGACCCAAATATAACTCCAATAATTTTTGTTTATTCCCTAGAGATATTCAAAATATTTAACAAAGTTGTAAGTGTGATAGGTGAATGATTTTATATCCTGCTTCTTTCCTTAACACACCATTATTTACATTTTCTGTATTGTTTTAGAGGGGGCTTCTGTTTTTTAACAGTTGCCATACTCCACGTGGTCATTGTACCAGAACTGGCTCAACCATTATCTAGTGTCATACATTCAGTTGTCCTGAAATTTACCATTAAGACATTTTTTGACATTCAGCTTTGAACTTATAGATTTTCTCTTATGAAATTAAAGATTACTTATGTCACTTATTTACTTATTGTCTCATAGGTTTCCTAAAGAAGGGTACCAATTTACAACATCATAGGTAATGTTGAGATCAGTTTTACAGAACAGTTGCTGACATTTGATACAATAATAATTATTCATTAATTTATTCTTGCTAATTTAGTAGGGAAAGCGGCTATCTTTTTTCAGTTTGCATTTTTAGTTACTGGTAAACTTGAGCTTTTCCCCATGTTTGCTCACTCTAGAGCTTTTATTTTGTGAATTATCTTTTTAGATCCTTTGAAGATTTGGGCCTAATATTTTCTTATTGTTTTAGTTGAGAAAAATGTTAACACTTTGTGGCAAATACTAGTTTGTTTACTAATTAATATCATCTCTGGGCTGATATTTATATTTTTGTGATCTGGACTACCTATGTTAACACTGCAGTCTAAATAGTACTGCTTTGTAATTCTTTCAGAACTTTCTTTATGTTCTTATCCTCTCCTTGGTACATGACATTTATAATTATTTGGTGAGTTGCTCCAGCCTCCCATCCTGCACAAAAATTCCTGCCTGAACTTTGATTGTAAATGAATGAAATCTGCATCTTGATTTTGGAAGCATAGATATTTGTGTACCAGTTAGTGCTTTATTAAGGAGACAAGCCTTAGTAAATGTTTGTGAAATTGAGTTCTTAAGATGCTCCATTTAGTCACAAAGATGTGCTTTGTGAGCTGCTGAGTTTCTTAGTATGCAAGCGCTATATTATAGTTAGTGTTTATTTAGCTTTAGATTGAATGTGTCAGAGTCTCCTACTCAATGTTTTGTAATATGTTAATTAAAAACATGAGTAACTTTGAATTTGCAGGCTTCTTAGAAGCAGTGTTTCCAGAATCCTTAGGATATTGGAATGCTTTCTTTAATAATATTTTGGCTGGTATTGAAGTGATACAATGTTTGACTTCTCATCCTTATCAGCTAAAAGTGGTATCTTCTGTTCAATGGCACTGCCTTTGCTGCTGAAGTTTTAATTAAAGAGACATTCACAGCGCTATATTTTGACAAGAGTACTTTATATTAGCTCTAAAAGTTCTGTAGTGCAGAGTTTATTGGGTTAGGAAAAATACTGGCAGGAATATTTTATTGGTTGATATAGAATTAGTAATAAGAGTGACCATAATGGAAATAATTCTCGCTGACATTTGAGCTCCGTGTGCCAGTTACTTTTGTTAGCTCGTTTAATTCTTAAGACAACCCTATGAGGCAGATGCTGTTATGATTTCCATTTTGCAGATGAGGAAACTGAGGCACTGAGCAATTAAGTTACTTCCATGTCTTTTCTTTTGCTCTTTCGTGAAGATGTGGAGATGGAAGCACTGGTGACTGGCTGTGCAGCAGGCATTTCTGGTGCAGAATTTAAGAACTGGAAGTGTTATCTTCATATCATTTAGTTCATGGTCTGGGGTTGTCACTTTTCAGGTGAGAAAATCAGAGCCCTGAAAGTTTCAGTAATCCTTAAAATATATATTTTTTAAATTATGAAAATAATAATGCTCAGTATGCAGGAGTACATAAAGTAAGAAGTCTTCCATTTTCTTTCTTCTGATCTAATTCTACTCCCCAAGAAAGCTCCATCAGCAATGTGAAGTGTCTTCCTCCAGACATCTTCTTTCTATATTTTAAGAAGAAGCTGGAGGGGAGCTCAGAGTAGAAGAGAGTTCTTCTAGGGACTCTATGATGGCTTTCAAAGAAACCTCTGCTCCAAGAAATCACTGGGGTACAGGAAAATGATCAGGAAACACTTGTAGCCACAAACATTGCACCTGGGGCAAGCCCCATGCGTAAGTTAGCTGGTCTTTTCCAGGCCAGCCAATGTCTTTAAATGTTTTTTTTTTCCCTGCAGGTATGAAAATAAAATAAGGTGCTTTCCCTAAAAGTGGAACTACCATTTGACTCAGCAAGCCCATTACTGGGTGTATACCCAAAGGAAAATAAATTATTCTACCAAAAAGACACATATACTCATGTTTGTCACAGTGCTATTCGTGATAGCAAAGACATGCAATCAACCCAGGTGCCCATCAGTGGTGGATTGGATAAAGAAAATATGGTACACATACACCATGGAATACTACACAGCCATAAAAAAGAATGAAATCATGTCCTTTCCAGCAACATGGATGCAGCTGGAGGCCATTATCTTAAGTGAATTGACACAGGAACAAAAAACCAAATGCCACATGTTCTCACTTATAAGTGGGAGCTAAATACTGGGTACAGTGGACATAAAGATGTAAAAATAGACATTGGGGACTACAAGAGTGGGGAGGCAGGAAGGGGGGCAAGGGTTGAAAAATGACCTAGTGGATACTATGCTCACTACCTGGGTGATGGGATCAATCATACCCCAAACCTCAGCATCGCATATGTCCTTGTAACAAACCTGCACATGTACCCTCTGAATCTAAAAAGTTGATTTTTCTTTTAAAAAAGAAAATGAGATGCTGTCAATAAAAAGCCTCTGTCCAAATATATATATTAGCTTGCGATCCCTGTGCCATGGGTAAATGAGACATATTTTAAACATCTGCCAGAAGATTTTATTATTATTATTATTATTATTATTATTATTATTATTATTATTTTGAGATGGAGTCTCTCACTCTGTCGCCCAGGCTGGGGTGCAGTGACACCATCTCGGCTCACTGCAACCTCTGCCTTCCGGGTTCAAGCAATTCTCCTGCCTCAGCCTCCTGAGTAGCTGGGATCACAGAAATGTGCCAGCATACCCGGCTAATTTCTGTATTTTTAGTAGAGACAGGGTTTTGCCATGTTGGCCAGGCTGGTCTCAAACTCCTGACCTCCGGTGATCCTCTCATCTCAGTCTCCCAAAGTGCTGGGATTACAGGCAAGAGCCACCATTCCTGGCCCAGAAGGTTTTATTTTTTGTGAGTCTATAACACTTCTAGGGTCTCTTTTTATAGTTGGTGTTGAATGAATGAATAAATTCTGCTGAAGCTTAACATGCTTTTTATGTAATTATCCATTAAAATAGAAGATAGATAAACTGCCAACAAAAACATTGGAAAATGATTAGGGATAATAGATTGTGCCTATAGATGAGATTGCTAAAAGAGGCACACATTCTGTGTGCTCCTAATTTGAGACATATTTTCTGCCAGTCATAATAACCTTCTAATATTGTGTTGGATGCTTCTTGGTCACCCTTTCTGAAAATGCCCAAGTTACTGCATATGATCAAGAAGCAACCACAATAAATGTTGTTTTAAAGATCCATCTATCAAAGATAAAGTCACCTACAGATGCGGTCACAGAGGGACAAATATTCAGAATGCCACCTCACTGCATTTCTGGGTGCTGTCCCAGAATGCCCAGCGAAGACTTTTCAAACGTGAATGCTTTGATACAGGGTAAATGAATCAAAATTGTGATTTCTTTTGTTTGCCATTTTCCAAGTCTTCGTAATAAGAACATTTTCATTTTGGGATGACTGGAAGCCCCACAGCTGACTGCCTGTCTGAGACACTTGACTCCATGTATTGCTCAAGGGTCTTTTAAGGGCTGACTCACTCAAACTGGCACCCTGGAGTTGCTAACTTGGCTGATTCAAATGGGGGCAACAATTCAGAAAGCTCTCGTTACCATTTCTGCCCAATGAGGTCTCCACATAGTGACTACAGTGCTGTTGAGCCACCTAAGTAAGTCCTCCTTAGTAAAATGTAAAGAGACCTATATAAGTCTAATCATATGTAAGAGTTTTGTTCTTTATGGTGCATCTCAGGCATTATCTATAAATTCCTCCTTACTAGAATATTGGAAAGCATTAAGGTTTAGTTAGAAAAATAATGATGACCTAACATTTATTGAGTGCTGACTATCACATATGAATTCATTTCAGTCTTACAATTCAATGAGCAGGGTTTGTATGATGATTGCAGCCAATTTGCAGCTTGGAAAACAGAGGCACAGTTACTAAATTGGCAAATTTGGTATGGCAATCTACAGAGCTGAGATTCAGAGTCTAATCAGCCAACCACCAGGCAAAACACTGTCCCATTTCTTTTTCTTGCTCCTTTCCCTGAGAGCAAAAAACAGTGAGTGGAGAGAAGAAGAAAAGAGGAAGGAGCAGGGTGAGGGGGTGTTGGTATTTTTAAACACATGTTAAGATTAGGGTGAAAATATGTTAGGGGAAGCAGTCACACTGCAAGATGGAAACGTCAGTGGTCAGATCCTGAGACAAAGAAGAGGCTAGACCAGGGGTAGTACCTTTTTGATGTCCGGGGTTCCAACTCTTGATGTTAGAACTAGGTTCCCTCTGGCTGCAGAGGGTAAGATTACGAGCTGTTGACTTACATTTAGACACTGCCTCAGGAAGCTGGGTTGCAGTGATGACTTCTTGGGTGAGGATTGCAGGTCCTCTCTGTAGCGTTACCATGGTCAGTGCACTGGCCCTAGGATCATCCTTCATTCCACCACAGAGCTCCTTGACATTCTGGACACCCTTGTCCACCGCGTCAGAGCAGCTCTGGTTATTTCTGTTGAATATTTTGGGGTTCTTATAAGATATCTTTTGGACAAAAGGCCCAGTCGTTCAAAATCAGTTGAAAATGGCCTCTCTGCAACACTTAGTTGTTACTACCGTGTTCCCGTGTTTTTGGTGTCTATTTCTGTGTAACAAATTACCCCAAAACTTAGTTGTCTGAAACTGCCATTTTATTTTGCTCACAATTTTATGGGTTGGACATTCGGAAAGGGCTCTGTTGAGGAATTTGTCTCTGGTGCATGAGACACCAGCAGGAGTGCCTGAAACTGTGGATATATGACTTTGATGACTTCCTCCTTCCTACAGCTGGTGCCCTGGTACTGTTTGATCTATTTCCCCTCCTCTGCCGCTCACCTCGGTGTCTCATGCTTCAGGGCATCTCCATGTGGTGTAGGCTTCTCCCAGCATGGTGGTTTTTGGATAGCCTCAGTTCCAACACAGTAGCTGTCTTCCAAGAGGCAGGAAGTAGTAGCTACTGGACCAGGCGAGGGCCTTCCTGGACCTGGCATGATGGTCTACCCTGCTCTATTGGTCAGAGCAGCCACAGGCCTGCCCATGTGTAAGAGAGGGGAGAAAAGGACTCTACCTCCTGATTGGAAAGTGGCAATGTCACTCAGCAGAAGAGGATGTGTGGTGGGAACCATTGTTGCGCCATGTTGGAAAATACCGCCTGCTGCCTCTCACCACTGCAGTGCCCCTGGGGCTATAGATGCAATTTCACTGCCTAATCCCTTTATTACCTCCAACTTGCCTGGGGTTCCTAGCTCTTCTCTCATTTCCTGCTTGTGAGGGACTCTCTCCTTCCCTAGTCACACTTACAACTTGCTGCTTACAGTAAACTTGCTGGTCACAGCTTGTTTTTACTGGGAGTCTTGTTTTTTCAGCAAACAAATTGCCATCTATAAGGCTTCGCTTGTTAATCAGACCTCTCTTTCTTCCACATGGCATCCTGATCATGGTTTCATTGATGCAATCTTTGTGTCTTTATTTCCTTCCTTGGTTTTGTTCATTGTTAATAGGTGGTAAATACCTGTTTAGTTGCTTCAAATATTTAAAAATTGTTTTCTTCTGGAGCTGGCACTAAACCAGAAGTCTAGAAAGGTTGGGTACCAAGTGGTTAAGCTTTTATAAAAATTAGGAAAAGTCTTTATTAATTGAAATCTGTTATGTCTAAAGTTGTGAAATAAACAGAACTATCTGATTTTAGGTGACCTGTTGAGCTATTTTCCTTTTCTATCTTGTAACTAGTTATATTTATAAAATACAGGGTGATGTGTGTTTATTAAATTACAGATATTCGCAGTCTGCATCTGTAGGTGCTTATTGTGAGGAAAGAATTGAGAGAGTGAAGCATTTGTGTGGATATCTCACAGGGTCTTTGTCTGAGGCTGGCACTAGATATTGTTTCTGGTGGCTAATTGGAAGGGGACTAGAAGTACAAGTTGAGGTACCATAAAGATTTACACTGCATACAAAGAGACATTCTGATAAATTCATTGGGACCATGCACTTCAGTGAAAAGAAAAATGTGTTGCCTGCTCTGAGACTTGGGTTGAGTTATTAACATCCCTTGACCTCAGTTTTCCAACGTGATTGATAACAGGGTTCGACCCCATGATCTCTGTCATTCTCATCAGCTCTAAAATGCCCTGGTGGTTTTTTAAAGGTGACTTGAGTTGGATATTTCTTTTATTTTCAAACAGGCATTTCTGCATGCTCTCTTCTTTACTGTGTGGACAATATGTTGTATGTACTGAATTCAAAGTCAGTTTCAAAACTTAAATGACTTGATATTTATTTAAAGTGAGAAGGCTTTAAACAAGTCCAGACTTTAGGATGACTCAATTAAAATATCTCCTACCAATGCTGCCTTTTTGTTGGTTGTATTGATTTATTAATTTACTTTATATGGGAAAAGCTGGTATTATTTCCCAAACAGGCAGATGGGGTATAGGAAAATGTTGCTTCTTTTATAGTTTCAGCATGTTCCAGCCCTTTCATTAGGCCCTTACAATGAAAGGAACATTGATTCTCTGTAATTGCCCGATTCTCTGTAACTACTTCTGGTAATATGTTTGAATAATGGTTGTATAAGCACATGGGAGAAACTGCTAAATTTGTGCTTTGTCTATCTTTCCTATTTCTAAAATTAAAGAAAAATTAGTCTGTACAAATTTTTCTTAGATCATGAGATACATCCTAGTTTCTGATGAGTTGTTCGGAGTTGCATGTAATGGTTTGAACAGCGGATTGCGTTCCTCCTTCACTCAATATTTCCCCCTTAGCCTTTGGATGCAAAAGAAACTTCTACTCCAACCTATGTCATTGAAGTTGCATAGTAGGCCGGGCACGGTGGCTCACGCCTGTAATCCCAGCACTTTGGGAGGCCGAGGCAGGCGGATCACGAGGTCGGGAGATCGCGACCATCTTGGCTAACACGGTGAAACCCCGTCTCTACTAAAAATACAAAAAATTAGCCAGGCACTGTTGTGGGTGCCTGTAATCCCAGCTACTCAGGAGGCTGAGGCAGGAGAATGGCGTGAACCCGGGAGGCGGAGCTTGCAGTGAGCCGAGATAGCGCCACTGCAGTCCGGCCTGGGCAAAAGAGCGAGACTCCATCTCAAAAAAAAAACAAAAAACAAACAACAACAACAACAACAAAAACAACAAAAACAAAGTTGCATAGTAGACAGTCCTTCTGGCCTTTCCATACCTGTGAACTCTTTCAACTCTCCCTCCAGTCTAGCCAAACTGGACCTTTTTGCTGTCCTTCAATGCCACCTATTGCATTCCTGCTACCAAGGCTCACGGTAAGTGGTTTCCAATACTTAGGACAACTTTCCTGCCCTACCCCTATGCTCTCCTCTTCATTCAAACTCACATTCATTTCTTCCATAATTATGTTTCCTATTGATAATGTGCCCAACTTATATAATCTGTAAGCTTTTGATAAGAGGCTCTTTGTTGGTTCTAGAGCTTAAATCCTACCTAGGCAGAAGTGGAGCTTTCCTCTGGCCCTTGAGCCCGCTCCCCTCCGTCTCCCTTGTTTTCTGGCCTTTGATATGACTCGGTGACCGGGCCTTCATGCTCCATTCTGGCCATGACAGCTTTGTTCACCTGAGCAGTGGAGGAGGCTGGGTTGATGGGGGAGGTGTCAGTAGATGTTGGTAAGGATGTGAGAAGGTGGCAGTAAGGGAGTGGAATCGGGAAGCAGGTGTCAGAAGGGAAAGTGTGGGATTAGATGGAAAGAAGAACAACTGGGAAGAGGGAGAGCTTCCTCCTGCCACCCCTCCCAGCCCCCGGTGATTTTCCATGAAAATAAAATACAAGAGAGCTACATTGTAAAATACAAGAGAGCTACACTGAGGAAGCAGATTTTTCTGAATTTGCTTTATGTGATTTTCCTTGATTTGATCGCAATTTCTATTTAGCCTTGGGCTTAGGGGTTTATTTTAAAGAAATACCATCATCCTATAAAATCTTCTCATATTTATCTTCAATATATAATAAAACAAAATAATAAAATGAAATAATATAAAGAGTAAAATGAAATAATAGCGAATTCCTCACCCTCATGTAGAAATACTTTAGGAGATTTTGCTTACATATTTGAAATCTGAGGAAATTGACTAAAAAAGAAGTAATAGAAATTGGAGTCCCAGAGTCCATTGAGCTAACCTCAGCAGGAAAATTAAGAGGGATGATTTGAAATGATAATTTGTGTAGCCTCCAGAAATGTACACAAATACAAAGGTGTTATGTAGCTCAACTCTGGCTCTGTCAAGACTGCCTGGGAGTGAGGGTGGAATGTCATAGTCTAAAAAATGCAGAGAGAAAAACGATTTCGGGTTATTTTAGCATTGGTGAAAACTGCTGATTGCATGCAGGCAAACGTACCTGATCTTGTTGAAATCAGGACACGCTACTATTTAAGTACTATTTAAGACAGGAACTATTTTATGCCCTGTTAATTTGCTGGAGGTAGGAAAACATTAGTGTATTTCTGGTTTTGGAGAAAAGTTTGGAAAGTCTCTTAAAGCCATTATTTAACTATTTTTTTTTTAGTTTATTATATTGTTCCAGAGACTCACCTTTTTACTTTTTAGTGCAAGGAAGAGAAAATGGGTAAAATGTTGAAGAACGGACTTTTAGGTTCCTTTAGTATTTTTCTAGTAGGTGTCTTGCTGCAGAATATTTCCTGTCTGTTAATGAGAGATTTGAGCTGCTAGCATAGGATTTAGGAACCTTTAAGTTTTCTCGTGGCTTACTCCATCTTCCTGCTTTTTTCTCTTTCTTAACTTCACTTTTAACTTAGAGTTGTGTTTTCCTTTTGTTATATTCTTACCTGCCTTCCCTGCTGTTTCATTTTCCTGATGCATCTCTTTAGCAGGTGCTCAGGAGGAACAACTAGCTGACCCCAGCTTTCTGTTGTGTCTGCAACAAATTCTTTCACTTGCTCAAGAGACTTTTATAAACACTGTCTGAAAAATTTTTGTGAAGCAGCTGGGGTGGCTGGGGAGCTGGATTTTAAGACTTTTAAAGTCCATTCCAACCCAGGACCTCTGTGATTCCGTGAAGCCCCACCATGGCTGTTGGTTATTCACGTGAGGCCTGATTGTCCCAGTTCATGGATAATATGGGACATCTGTTTAGGACTTTCCTTTAAGCATTGAAGCATGTGATTCTTAGAGAGGAATGTGTGCAGCAGGGAGAGAAGCAGAGGTGGAAGGAGCTGGGGGTTCCTTGGCTCTGGGATGGGAAGCAATGCCCTAAGGCAGCACCCACTGCAGTGGGACCAGATATCCATAGGTCCCCACTCACCTGATGCTGGTGACAACAGTGCTCACTCCAATGACAGCAGCTCTGTGCCCACCTCCCAGCCTCAGCCCATGGAGTCTTTCTGTAGTCTGCAGTAGCGATCAAGGACTTGTCCAACAATTTCTGTCTTCTTCCTTATTGTGGTTTTGAAACTCAAATGCCAGGATTCTGTGCCTGCCTTCTCGGGCTCCCAGTAGCAGGCCTCCCCTAAGGACAAGTAGCTCATGCCCGGCTGCCTGGGCTGGGGGCAGGGATCTTGGAAAACAAGTAGGTATGGGGGTGGGGAACACACACTATCCCTTTACCAATGGTAGACTTGGAAAGGCTCCTTCCTGCTGATGGGAGGGGGAGCAGGCAAGGATTTGAGGGGAAATGGCCAGGCAGCATGGCGGAAGCTAAGGTAAGTTGCAAAGAAGGTGGGTGGAGATTAGCTCATGAGGAGCACTGGTTCTTAACCACTTATGGACCATAGAGCTTGTCAAAGAAAAAAACAGCCCGGGCTTAGGTAAGGAGAGACTTCATCGAAAGCGGTGATTGTCGTAGGGCGAGGGGGAGCTTTTACAATTAGAGGAGGGGACTATTGCGCAATAGGGAGAATGCTCCCACCATGAGGTCTGCGAGAGTCTCAAAGGTCAGGCAGAAAGGAACTTTCTTTTGTAGGGAGGATTAAACATGCTGGAAAGACCTAGGGTGGAGGAGTAAGGATGAGCAGGTGGCACAAACCAACGGTTGACCAGATGTCTTTCCTTGGTTGTAGTAGATTCCTGGGGCCTCTGTGCAAAGTGCCACAAACTCAGTGGCTTAAACAACAGTAATTTATTCTCTCACAGTTTTGGAGGCCAGGAGTCTGAAATCAACATGTTGGCAAGATTGTTTCCTTTTGGAGGAATCTGTTCCAAGCCTCTCTCCTGGCTTCTGGTGTTGCCTGCAATTCTTGGCATTCTTTGGCTCATGGATGGATCACTCCCTTGTCTGTCTCCAGCTTCTGTGTCTCTGTCTCTTCTTCTCTTCTTATAAGGAAGCCAGTCATGCAGGCATCCATGACCCACACTAATTAGTATGACCTCATCATATCTAACTATGTCCACAAAGACCCTGTTTCCAAAAAAATCCACATTCTGAGGTACTGGGGATTACAACATCAACAAATCTTCTTTTGGGGGTACACGATTCAGCTTGTAACACAGTCCGTGGCTCCTAAGGAGGTTACTCTGCATTCCCGTGCTGACTCAGGCTGAGGGGGGATCAAGTTCAAAGACCCGCAGGGCAGAAAAGACTCAAGCTTGGTTAAGTCACATTAGCAGGTATCTTGCTCAGATGGGTCAATGGGGACAAAGCTTCAGCTATTCATTTATGAGAATTTGAGGGTTTTGTGTCTGGCCTTTGGGGGTCAAAGGGGTCATTGGTGAGTCTTATCTAAGTCATATGGGGAAGGGTGGTTCTTTGCAGTAAGTTGTTTCCTGGAATACAAAGGGATGGCAATTTCACAACCATCACTATTTTCCAGGTGTACAGGGCTCAGGTAAAACTCAATGCTGTCAAGCTCTTTGAAAATCTGATGAGAATTATAGCCCTCTTTCTGGAAAGAGGTCAGGTATAGAGAGGAGTAATTATTTATATGCAATTTCTTTTTTTTGTTTGTTTGTTTGTTTTTTTGAGACGGAGTCTCGCTCTGTCGCCCAGGCTGGAGGGCAGCGGCGCGATCTCGGCTCACTGCAAGCTCCGCCTCCTGGGTTCACACCATTCTCCTGCCTCAGCCTCCCGAGTAGCTGGGACTACAGGCACCTGCCACCATGCCCAGCTAATTTTTTTTTATTTTTAGTAGAGACGGGGTTTCACAGTGTTAGCTAGGTTGGTCTCGATTTCCTGACCTCATGATCCGCCCGCCTCGGCCTCCCAAAGTGCTGGGATTACAGGCGTGAGCCACTGCGCCCGGCCCTTTTATATGCAATTTCAATAGATTCTGAGACCCCTTGGGAGCCTTCTGAGCTCAAAAGGCCCAAGTAAGAAAAACCAAACAAAGGGCAAGGAGTGAGGGTCAGGCCAGGTGCATCCAGGTGGCCCCAGATCATCCTGTTGGGAGCATGTGGGAAGTGTGGGAAATATTGTAGTAGGCATGGCTGGGAAGGCTTTCTGAGCTCAAGAGGCCCATGGTTCCAGGTTAAAAAAAAAACCAAAGGGCAAGGAGTGAGGGTGAGGCCAGGTGCATCCAGGTGGCCTCAGATCCTCCTGTTGGGAGCAGGTGGGAAGTGTGGGGAGTATTGTGGTGGGCAGGGCTGGGAGCAGGTGGGAAGTGTGGGAAGTATTGCAGTGGGCATGGCTGGGAAGTAGCATCGGGGCCAGCCTCTCCAGGGCCTCATATGACACTTTCATTTGGTCGTCAATGAGAATCCAGTGGACTTTTCTCAGCAGGTGAATACAATTTTCAACGCTGTGCTTTAGGAAGATTCTACTTTGACAACGGTATGTAGGAATGATCAAAATAGGGCAATGAGAAACTGTGGGGAAACAGGAAGTCATTGCAGTAATTTCTGATGGTAGGCGTACTCATGTAGTTATTATTTATCACTTTTGTTTTGTTTTAATATCTGCAGTGTTAAAACCCTTAGTAAGAGCACTTAGTAATGATGTCCTTAAGGACTTGTTTACTCTTGGAAACACGCAGAAACTTCTTGTATGAGTTAGCTAAGGCGTCATAACAAAGCACCGCAGACCGGGTGGCTTAAACAGCAGATATTTATTTTCTCACAGTGCTGGAGCCTGGGAGTCTGAGATTAGGTGTCAGCAGGTTTGGTTTCTCCTGAGGCCTTTCTCCTTGGCTTGCAAACAACTGCCTTTTCACTGTGTCCTCATACGGCCTCTCCTCCTGGCATGGGCATCCCTGGTGTGACTCCTCCTTTTAAGGGCAGTAGTCCTGTTGGACCAGGACCCCACCCTAATGGCCTCTTTTTCATCTCATCACCCCTTAAAGACTTTGTCTTCAAATACAGTGACATTCTGACATACCGAGGGATGGGACTTCAATATATGGATTTTGGGGGGATGCAATTCAGCCCATAACACTTCTCAAGGGACTGACGCCCCATCCCAGTGTGGGGTTGGTGTTTCTCTGAGGATTTGCAGGGAACTCTATCAGGAAAGCAAAAGAGAACGTTTGTGTCTGCAGGAGCTACCGAGCACCCCAAACCGCAGAGGGCTGCTTCTGCCTCGAGGCTGCGGCTCATCTCATCACACGCAGTGAGGTGATTGACAGGAGCCCTTCTTGAAGGAGTGATGATGGCTGAAGCCCGATGGCTGACATTTAATTTGTTGGGGGTAAGGAGAGTGCCAACTGTGAGGCTAATGGCTTGTGGTGATATCCATAATTATAACTCTGATATGAAAGTAATTTGAGCCAAAAAGATACATGAAAAAAGATTAAATGGTAATTTTGATATCTGGTTTTGCTCAGCCCTTTCTGTTGACAGTTCCTTAATTGCTTTCTGAATTTATTTCCTTTCCATTATTATTTCTATCCATTGTGTCTCTCGGGAGCGATGCTCTCTTCATATCACATTCCGGCCCAGGAGGGGAGGGTGATCCCGTTCTTCCGCGACACCCACAGGCTGAGAGGGTGCCCATCCGAGTCGCTTTGGTTCTGAACAAACTTCCCGTGCATCCCATGTTAGCTTCATCAATCTGCTTTCTCAAGTGCGAAGAAACTTCACCCTGGTGATTTTTCACTTCCTCTCAGCTTCATAATAATAAAAGAATACTTAATTGCTTGATTTCACAAGGCTTTTCCTTGTTCAAAAACAAAGGTGAGGATGGAATAGTAGTGCAGGTGGAGAATGACCCGTGGGGTGAGAGACGAAATAATAGATGTAAACATTATCCAACTAGAAATCACTGTAGTAAGTTTATATTCACTATTATTTAATGTAGTAAGTTTATATTCACTATTATTTAATTATTTAAAATATAGTACCAGCTCCTTTACCTAGCATTTGATAAATTACTTTAAATGAGTTTCCCAGATACCTGAAGTTTATTCTTTAAATTCTGATATTATTCTTTGCAGTCATTTTTAAGAAATGGTCCCTCAGTACACTATACGTACCAGCAGAGCACACAGAATATAATTTACCCTCTCTGTTGTAACTGAAGGGCATTATCTTGGGCATTAATTTAGAATCAGGCAGTAACTGAACAGAAGCCCTAGGACATTGCCGTCTCACCCCCAACTCCATCCAGTGGCCTCCAGTGGCCAACTTCTTGACTCCATGTTGCTCCCTTTCATATATTTTTCCTGCTTCTTTCCAAGCCAGATGTCTCTCTGCACTTACATCACTGAGCTGGTTTTTAGTAAAAACTTTTCTTTCTAATGTGTAGCTTCTAATTTATTTGGGCTATGCAACTAGATAATTTTGTTAGATAACGTGTTCAAAATGAAAATAAAATATCCTAACCATAGGCCTTCTCCAGGCATACAGTGCATAATTATTCAATAAATTTTACCTACTTTAGGATATTTTAGCTTTGTTCAGTGGCATATGCTAGGTAAGTAAATTATTTTATGTGTGTGTGTATGTGTGTGTGTGTGTGTGTGTGTATAAATTTTTTTAGAGACAGGGTTTCACTTTGTCCCCCAGGCTGGAATGCAGTGACACAATGTGACCTCGAACTCCTTGGCTCAAGCGATCTTCAGCCTCTTGAGTAGCTAGAATTACATGTATAGTCATTGTGCCCAGCTAATTTTAAAATTTTTTGTAGAGATGGGCAGCAGGAGTGGGTGTAGAGGGAGTCTCGCTATATTGCTCAGCCTGGTCTAGAACTCCTGGCTTCTAGTGATTCTCCTCCCTTAGCCTCCCAAAGGGATTACAGACATAAGCCACTGTGTGTTCAGCTATGTAAAATTTTGATTGAGTCATGAGGCCACTTTAAGAGACATTAAAATAAAAGCGAGGAAATTTAAAAAGAGGAATATCATTTTATTTAGCTTATATAACAGTTACTGAATTGGCATACCTAAAAATTATTAAATTCAGCCAATTTACTAATTTTATTGACTTTAGTCTACTCACAAATAGAGTATGAAATGTGCAACATAACAATTTGGACGGCAGCTGAGACTTGGTGCCCTGGTGGAAGAACTAAGCCTTGTTAAGGCAGAATTCACTGGGGTGGGCTGTGCGTCCGGGGCACCAGCTTTGCGAGGCTGATGCGTGGCGAGCTACATCACATGCTGCGTGAGAGGCCCTTGGAAATAGGCCTTCATGAAGACATGAGTTTGAGTTGAGAATTATGGAGCCCACCTTCTGGAGCCACATAGTATAAAGCATAATAAAAAAACATGTAGTGCGGTTCCATTTTTCCTGACTATATTTTTCACAGGGAGGAATTGGGAAGAACTCTTATTCAAACGAATGGTGTTGGCCTGTTGTCATCCCCTTTCTAGACTGACAGTGTCTTCTCCTGTGGGGCCTTCACAGCATGAAGCTTTTTGTGTAATAACACTATGTATTTCCACCTACCTCCAGACTCTTACGGGAATTTTGGATTCACTATTTCCTGGCCAGTAGTACCTGTGATTAAAAAAACAGCCATTATGCTCTATTGCCTACATTATGTATCTATGAGAATATAGGGCTGGCAGGCTCTGAAGGCCATTGGGCACAGCTCCTGCCTCTTGCAGGAAAAGGGGGGTTATCTCCATTGGATGGATGTAGCAACAAAAGCCCAGGGGTCATGTGACTTTTCAAAGATCAGGGGACTACATTTCTTTTCTTTTTTGTTTTTTGAGACAGTGTTCACTCAGTCGCCCAGATTGGAGTGCAATCATATAATCAGTGACATGATGTTGGCTCACTGCAGTTTTGACCTCCTGGGCTCAAGCGATCCTCCCACCACAGCCTCCTAAGTAGCTGGGACCACAGGTGTGTGCCACCACACCGAGCTAATTTTTGTATTTTGGTAGAGATGGGGTTTGCCATGTTGCTCAGGCTGGCCTTGAACTCCTGGGCTCAAGTGATCCTCCTGTGTTGGCCTCCCAAAGTGCAGGGATTATAGGCGAGAGCTACCATGCCCAGCCTGAATTTCTGACCTGGGACTCTTTTCATGCTTATAACAAAAAAACTATTTTTCCTTTGTCTTCTTTATGAAGTATGGAAATAAATGACTTACAATATCAGCAAAAAATATAAACTTTTTTTTTGTGTGTTAGAAAATTGAAATAGAAAAGGATACAACCAATGTGTTTAGTGGATCAGTCTTTAAGAGCCTTTTTCAGAAGACTAAAAGTTATTGAGAACAGTTGTATCTAAGCAAAGCTAATTTTCAAAATTATAATTAATATTTCATTGTCTAAATTATAAGGAACATATTTGGTATAATAGTCACAGGTGATGAGGTTTTAATTTAAATGGGAAGCAAAGCAAATCAGTATTTAAAATAGCTCCACACAATTAGGTTGCAATTATTTGAATAAATTGGATCTAAATACTGGAAATATAACCATGTCATAATCTCTGTTCTGGAATGTACATTTACTGTTATGGAATCAAGAAAGGGAGCTCTTTTTTTCTTATTTTAGTTACCATACTCTCCATCCTGATTTTTACTCATTGTAGAGCTAATGTTAAGTTTTGATAAATAAAATCAAGTGTCATAAATGATTTCCTATTTATTGAATTCATTTTGCATGTTTTGAAATCAATGCAAGGTTGAAATCCCGGCTTTTCATCTTTCGGTTCTTCTTCAGTGGATGCGCTCTGGTGTCTGCCAAAATTAGCCATATTCAGGACCTTTCCAGGGCACGTTGTCACAGCATGGCCAGAGCAACCTGTAGCAGACCCTCCCATCTGCATAAGCATGCCAAAGGCCTCAGTCCAGAGACCAGGACAAGCCACGTGTCCAGATAAACACCATGATTTAAGATACATTAGGAATGCTCACTTAGCCTATGTGAGCCTTTTGCCCAGAGATGGTCCTGGCATCACCCCAGGGTATTAGAGATTAATGGCATTATAGAAGGTGGATCTGCCAAGGGCCCTAGACATGATCTAGATCTGAGACAGCTCCCTCACTTCACCCGTGACACCCAGAGAGTGGAGATGATGACCACAAGTGGATAGAGAGTGCCATTGTTCTCTTGATTCCCCAGTTAGTGTTCTTCTACAGCAATGTTTCTGGGGACAGAAAGAGGAAGGAGGGACATACACACTGTCTGTGGGTGTATTCTCAGGGAGGTCTGTGAGTTGGCTGAGAAAACGTGTAATGTTCGTGTGCTCTCTTGTTATCATCACCCTAGATCAGAAGTGACCACTTTATGATTGAGTACCACTCTGAGATACAAGGCCTGTTTGGGTTGATCATAGAGTTGGCCAATGAGAAAAAAAAAATCAGTAATAAGTAAATGATGTATTTGCTCCAAGTGAAGGCCCAAAGTCACATGGAACCATAGGACAAAAGTTTCAAGGTGGGTTGAATGAGGAGAGGATGTGGGAGGATTCCACATCACACGGCCCATGGTGGCCCCATAGCCCGTGGTGGTCCGTGGTAGTAGCATCAGTGGGCACACTCCAGAGAAACTTCATGAGCATGGTCACCTATGAGCAACCAACTAGCTGCAGCAAAATAATATTTTCTACCACATTATATTAATTTAAGTTTATCAGTTTTGCAGTTTTTAATAAAAATATACTTGTATCTATTTGGGTAACAACTTTAATGGAGGTTAACATTGGGTGTTTGTGAAACTTGTTTTCCAGTAAAAGGGGTTCCTTCACTTTTAAACTTTGATAAAGCATTCCATGCCACGCTGGCCTTATCATTCAGATTCCTACATGCAGGTCCATGTCTACCTGGGGAATTAGACCCTCAGAAACCCAGACTCTTAGCTGGATCCTAGCTACCCTCACTTCTTGTGGCTGCTTGCTTTGCAATAGCTTTAGACAGATTTTTTTTTTTTGCCGCTAGTCTCCTAGTGAAGGGATGACCACTACAGAAATGTGACACTTTGTCCTCTACAAAACAGTTCTTTTTTTTTGTTTGAGACAGAGTCTTGCTTTGTTGCCCAGGCTAGAGTGCAGTGGCACGGTCTCTGCTCACTGCAAGCTCTGCCTCCTGGGTTCACACCATTCTCCTGCCTCAGCCTCCCGAGTAGCTGGGGCTACAGGTGCCCACCACCACTTCCGGCTAATTTTTTTTTGTATTTTTAGTAGAGATAGGGTTTCACCATGTTAGCCAGGATGGTCTCGATCTCCTGACCTCGTGATCCACCCGCCTCGGCCTCCCAAGGTGCTGGGATTACAGGCGTGAACCACCGCGCCCGGCCTTTTTTTTTTTTTTTTAAGACGGAGTTTTGCTCTTGTGGCTCAGGCTGGGATGCAAAGGTGCAGTCTTGGCTCACCACAACCTCAGCCTCCAAGGTTCAAACGATTCTTCTGCCTCAGCTTCCCGAGTAGCTGGGATTACAGGCATGTGCCACCACGCCTGGCTAATTTTGTATTTTTAGTAGACATGGGGTTTCTCCATGTTGGTCAGGCTGGTCTCAAACTCCTGACCTCAGGCGATCCGCCTGCCTCGGCCTCCCAAAGTGCTGGGATTACAGGTATGAGCCACCACGCCCGGCCTCTACAGAACAATTCTAAACCCTTTGGACGACTTGAAAAATGCATCATTGAGTGGGGGTGGGGAGGTGTCACCAGCTTCCCTGCCTTGACTATGTCGTTATTGTAAATTCCCATTTACCCTTCTAAGAATGAAACTTTGGTGATAAATGTTACTGCTAATCCTAGTAGATAAAGTCTTCGTAGATTAGTTCCTAATCCTAGCAAATAAAAGCAACTATACATACAGAATGTTAGACTTCAAGTGACTGTATCTTGGTTAATGGGAGGTAAATATTAATACAACTTTAAAATAATCACCTAATATCATATTGCACTGTACTTTTGATTTCTCTAACCAGCCATGAGGAAAGTGGGCACTGGTCTTTTAGATTTTATATGAGGAAGATGCAATTCAGAGTCACTGTCCAGTCTGCAGAGGAGGCAGGGCTGGAGCCCAGTCTCTTATGCCCGGGTTCATAGCTCTGTTCTTTGCCTCATTCTGTAGCCTCAAGACAACCCTGTCTAGCTCCAGAAGAACTGCAAGAAAGTCTTTGGGGCATACAGAGCTACCTCCTTGTCCCAGGAAATTATGACCCTGTTAATAAAAACGTCCTGTAGGAGAGTCCAGAAACAGGGTGGGAAGGAGGATGGAGTTAAGGCCAGGAGACTGGGCTTGGAGCTACTCTCACTTGTTCCCAATGGTAGAGGACTTCAGAAAGGCTGGGTGACTTGAGAAACGAACATTCCATCTTTTTGTGTTTCATGTTTTTTTCTGATGGATCTTGAATTTTTAGATGCTTATCTTCAGATGTAAATCTCAAACTCTGCTCAGTGCCAAACAAAATTACTTTTGCCTTACTCCTAACTTGCTTGTCTGTGCCATGATGTCCTTCAATTAGCACGCATGATTAGGAATTTATTTATTTTTATTTTTTATTTTATTATTATTATTTTTTTAAATTTTTTAATTATTATTACACTTTAAGTTTTAGGGTACATGTGCACAATGTGCAGGTTTGTTGCATATGTATACATGTGCCATGTTGGTGTGCTGCACCCATTAACTCGTCATTTAGCATTAGGTATATCTCCTAATGCTATCCCTCCCCGCTCCCCCCCACCCCACAACAGGCCCCGGAGTGTGATATTCCCCTTCCTGTGTCCATGTGTTCTCATTGTTCAATTCCCATCTATGAGTGAGAACATGCGGTGTTTGGTTTTTTGTCCTTGTGATAGTTTGCTGAGAATGATGGTTTAAAAAAAAAAGGAATTTAAAACTCAACAGTTATGAAGGGTGGCTGAAACAAAGACTAATGATTTGGGGGCTTGATACTCTATGTAGTTACTTGTTTCTGAATGTATGCTAAGATTCACCCAGCTCAAACTGTCTTTCCTTTAAAGTAAATGAAATGTCTTTAAAGTAAATGAAATGTCTTTAAAGTAAAAGTAACGTCTTTCCTTTAAAGTAAAGAAAAAAAAAATACCCAGGAAACTTAGCTCTTAATTTTCTTTTTTTTTGGAAATGTAGAGTATAGTAAAAACAATCTGGCATTGACTCTTCCCTGCGCCATATATTATGTTTGTGGTTTGTGAACTTTTCTAAGTCTTAGATGTCTCACCTCTGAAATGGAGTTGGTAATATTTGCCTTACAGGGTTACTTTTAGTTTTGGAAATCCTATTTTCAACGCTCATAGCACTGCTCAGTTATATGAAAATTTGTCATGAATTTTATTTTCTACGCAATGCATTGAGTATGTTATTGTTCATAAATTAAATTTGCTGTGACTGTAATTCAGGTGATCTGGCTCTTTGGCAGCCACATGCTTGAATGCTTGATTTTGCTTTTTACAATGGTTCATACTGATTGCCAAACTACTAAAAATGCTGCTGTAGTAATTGGTACTGCTGTTTGGATTTTATTTTTTTCTGTTACCAGCAAAACTTCTGTTTTTAGAAGCAATATTTATAGAATGAACTGGCCGTTAATCTATATTCTATTCAGCGAAATTAGATTTTTAATGGCTGTTTGCTGAAAATCTTCCCTGAAGAGCTGGGCACAATAGAGATACTGATAACAGTATCTCATGTTGGACATTTTACAATGCGAATGTTTTAATGAGGATGCAAGTGCGATTGAATTTTAACTAGAGATAAGCTATTGTTTTATTTTAGCAAGTCACTTGTACATTTGCCTGAAATATGCAAATACATATTTTGGTCCAAAATAGTTTTGTATATTGGAATACGTTCTTGCTTTCTACCACATAGTAATAGAACTTGTCACTTTAAGATTTTTTATTAGTTCATCCAGTTCTCTCTCCCCGTGTGTGTAGATGTGATAGGGAAAGTAAATAACTGAGTCCTTCATAAAATTATCACAGACTCTAGATGTTAGGTCAGAAGACCAAAGATAACCAGTTTGGAGCTCATTGTGCCTACTATTGGTCAAAGCGAAACCTGGGCCAAATAGCCTGGTAACTCCAGGCCATTCTGGCAAAGTGCAAAAAACAGTGAGCCCAGCATGTTCCACCCAGCTTTGTGTCCGCAGCGAGGCTTCTGGAATCATAGAGCTGCAAGCTTCCGAGGGACAGCTCTCTTTGTGGACAGCTCTCACGCACAGCTGGGCCAGTCTAAGTCTGATACCAATGGAAGTTTTGGACCCAGAGCTGTTCTCCCTCACCTGAGGCATCTTTACTGGCTGTGGCTGGCTCTACCAGATGCCTTCCCCCTTTACAGTAAATCTCTCTCTGGGATGTTTTGTCCTTTTAACAGTCAGGCTTCCACCAGGGTCCCCCAGTGTATCCAGAATGCCCATAATGTCTGATCCCCAACAGTGGACTCAGTTGAAGCCTTTCTGGCCTGGTCAGTTGATATTTATGTGGGTGACCAGAGATCCCAATTCCACCGATCAGAGTTTTGTACCCAAGTCCTAGATTCTCTCTGTTAATCCTCAGCAGTCCCTCAAAGAAAGTACTATCCCCATTTCAAATATTCAAAAAGTGAGGAGTTGAGAAGTTACTTTAACTCCTTAAGGACTAAGAGGTATTATGTGGCTGTGCTGGGATTTGACTCTAGCAGCGCTTGACTCCAGAGTATGGTTGACTTCAGTTTGCAACTAATGCCTTAATCCACGCTGTGATTGATCAGCTGCTAAAACATAGGAACAATAGGATAACAAAAAGTGACAGGCTACCAATGCAAAAGCTTCACACTCCTTACCTGCATATCGAAGAAAAGGGCTTCAAAGAGACTCAGGACTGAGTGGTTATGGAGACGGTGTAACATCCCACCGACACTGTGTGACGAAGGTTTCAAGGTGGTTATTTATGATTTCCTGTCAGTACGTCTTAGAGGAAGGGCTGGTGGAGCCAGGTTCAAAGAACTGGGTTGGAGTTCTGCTCTGTCACTTAGGGACCCTAAACCTGCATCTAACCCCATAGGACTTTGGTTTCCTTCTCTGTAAAGCGAAGGTGAAACCTCACAAGGTTGGAGTGGTTGGGGGATCTTTCAGAGCTGTGTCAGTTGCATGCTTTGCCAACCTAGTTGATTTCAATCAATTTGCCGATAAGCCTGTTCTGTCTGTGGTCTGCCTACTGGTCTCCTGGAATTCCAGCTATTTGGTTCTTTTAGAAGATAAGGACTGATTATTGAGATTTCTAAAATTGTTAAGTGGCAGAACTTTGTAAATTTACTTCTTATGTAATTTATAAAGTGACCCATTTTATGAAGAACTTTTAATGTGTTGTGTCACAACAACTGTTTTCATGTAAGCCAGGGATTCCCAAACTTTCTTGGTTCCTGGTGGCCTTAGCATCTCAGTAAATTTTTTATAGTGCTTCAGGCCAAAAGGCATTGCTAATGGTTCTTTTTATTAAGTAGTTGGATCCCAACAACTTATGTGCAAATGACTTCGTAGCTGTTTGAAAAAAATAACACATAAATTGAAAGAAAAAAATACATTTACTTTATTCTTAAGTAATTGCAGTTACATACTGCTGGGACTATGTGCCTGTGGGGCACTATACAGCTGCTCAGTTGATCACCTCATTTCCTGTTCACATCGACTTTCAGGGAGTGTTTGCTTTTCTTATCCCAGTAATTGCTGAAAAACCCAGCTTTGGTAAGATATGGTATCATCAAAATGTAACAGGATCTAATGTTGAAACAATGAACTACTTCTAGCTAGTAGTTTGTGAAATATCTGACAGAAGTTGTAGATCCTGTGTTTCTCTTGAAAATTTAAAAAATATAATCTGTGGTGCCTTGTGCCTTCAGCTTGGCACCCCATAGCACTTTGGCACACAGTTTGGGAACTGTGG